>NC_000007.14:46906908-47209938 GCF_000001405.40 Homo sapiens | reverse complement strand
CAAAGATTGCAAGTCAGATCTGGGAGTTAAGGCTGAGTTAATTACAAGGTTTAGTTGAACAACCGTGAGCAAGTTAGTTCCTATGAATTTCAGTATGTTAATCCACAAAATAAGGAAAATAATAGCAACCTCAGTGTATTATTGCAAAGGTTAAGTGTGCCAGTCTGGTACCTGGCACATACATTTATTAAATGGTTGTTATGATTAACATATTTGACCATGATATTAAATAGGGCTTACTGATTTTTCAGCCCTGAGAAGTCCTAGTTCAGGTTTCTTTCCAGCTAGTGAGAGCCTGTCTGGTGTGAACCTAGTCCAGAGGTATGAAGAAGGGACCTCAAATGCTGAGGGTGAAGGAACCCTGCTGGGTCAGAGCAGGTGGAGACCTCTCAGAGTGACAGGCCCCTAACCCATGATGTCAGCAACTGGGATGACAAATTAAGTATTCCTCTTAGTGCCACTGAAATTCTGGACTGCCGGCTTGTTCCTGGAACAATGTATTGAGTTAAGAAGTCAGAGCTCTCTCCTCTGGCTCTGTCCTCCAGGCTGACTGTACGGCACTGAGCAGGGGCAATGACTGTTCTTCCTTTCCAACAAGAGGCTCCCCATCTGGGTGATCTGTCTCTGCATGCACTGGGTGGGAATAGTTGAGAGAGAAGAAGGGCCTTTTCCTTTCCTCCAGCCTTCCAGAATGTGGTTAGACATCAGTCTAATGCTAACATCAGTAAGGAGACTGATTCTCCCTCTCAGATCACTTCCTCATATAATGAGATGGGAGGTTTGCCAGCCGGGAGCAGCTATCGCCCTGCAGTCGGCAGCTTTACTCTTAAGAGTACATCCTACCTGGAGCCATGGAAAAGCTCTTGCAGGGGAGCCAGGGAGGGCTGCTGCATTCTACATGGATTTTAGCCTTACCTGGGACTTATTAATAGCCTTACTCAGTCATTTACTAGCCCTGTGATCTTAAACTCTCTTCACTCTAGTTTCCTTAATTGTAATGTGAAGATAATGCCACCTATTTTGCATGGTAGACATAAAAATCCAACCAAATCATTTAGAACATGCCTCATGCATGCCTGGAGTGTTGGAGAGGCTGGAAGCCTCACAGTTATCTGATCATGCTACCATCTTCTCCTGAGGACCATGTGGGTGGTCCCACATGCAGCCAGTGGCTGACATGAAGCTGCTTCTCTCTTCTCCCTCAAGGTGGACAACATGGGATGGAGCATTTCATCCAACCTTTCTCTTATCCTGAAGTCATTCCTTATTCATGATTAAAGGCTAATTAAGGCACCACATTGTGTTATAGTCGATTACAAACTCAACTTGTGCCATTGCTCTTCCACTCCCCATTAGTGTTCCCAAGCTCAGAAAGAACAATAAAATTTACCATCATCAGGATTTCCAACTCCATCTGTCCTCTGTGATGGTTGGTTTTATGTGCCACCTTGTCTAGGCTATGATCTCCAGTTGTTTTAACACCTGTCTAGATGTTGCTGTGAAGGTATTTTTTAGAGGAGATTAAGATTTTAATCAGTAGACTTTGAGTAAAGCTGATGACCTTCCATAATGTGGTGGACCTCATCCAATCAGTCGAAGGCCGTAAGAGAAAAGGCTGTGGTACCCCAGGAAGAGGAATGTTGTCTCCAGACTACAACATAAAAATCTTGCCTGAGTTTCCAGCCTGTTGCTCTGCAGAATTTAGACTCAAGACTGCAACATCAACTCTTGGTGAATTTCCAGCCTGCTGGCCTGCTCTATAAACTTGACTTGCCAGATCCATATTGTGGAAGCCAGTTCCTCTCTCTCTATGCACACACACACGTGCACACACACACACACACACACTCCCTCTTTCTGTCACACACATGCACACACACACATCCTATTGGCTGTCTTCCTCTGGAGAACCCTGCCTAACACACCCTCTCTGCCTTATGCTTTGTCTTGTAGCCACCATTTACTGCTTCCTTCCCACAATATCTTTTTTCATAAAAAAGTCGTCATTTCAGAGGCTGGCTGTGGTGGTGGCTCACGCCTGTAATCTCAGCACTTTGGGAGGCTGAGGCCAGTGGATCACGAGGTCAGGGAATCGAGATCATCCTGGCTAACACGGTGAAACCCTGTCTCTACTAAAAATACAAAAAATTAGCCAGACATGGTGGCGGGCGCCTGTAGTCCCAGCTACTTGGGATGCTGAGGCAGAATAATGGCGTGAACCCGGGAGGTGGAGCTTGCCGTGAGCTGAGATTGTACCACTGCACTCCAGCCTGGGCAACAGAGCGAGACACCGTCTCAAAAAAAAAAAAAAAAAAAAAAAAAAAAAGGCGTCATTTCCTGCTATCCCATGTGGCCTGAACACGGCTATTTGCCTGTCCAGCAAGCGTATATGTTTTGCCCTTATTAGCAGCACCACAATTTCTTTCAGGTGAACTCTGCTCCACCACCAGCCTGTAACTCAGGGGAAGCTGAGGTGTTTCCTTGTGGCCATGGCTCCACTGATCTTTATACCCAGCTTGATACTGGTGTCACACTTTTTTGATTCTTCTACTTTTATACTGTCTTAAAATCAGAGAGTGTGAGTCTTCCAACTTTGTCCTTCTTTTAATACATTTGTTTTGTCTATTTCAGGTTTTTTGTATATCCATATATGTTGTAGAATTAGCTTGGTAATTCCTAAAACACTGTGACATTTCTTGGGATTACATTAAATTTATAGATCAATTTGGAAGAATTCACATTAACAACACATAGTCTTCCAGTCTCTTGATTTATTTTGTTTTATTTTCTCGAGACAGGGTCTCACTTTGTCTTCCAGGCTGGAGTACAGTGGCACGATCATGGCCCACTGCAGCCTTGAGCTCCCTGGGCTCAGGTGATCCTACCACCTCAGCCTCCCAGTAGCAGGTACTACAGGTGTGTGCCACCACACCTGGCTAATTTTTTGTATTTTTTGTAGAGACAGGTTTTTGCCTTTTTGTAGAGATAGGTTTTGCACAGGCTGGTCTTGAACTCTTGGGCTTAAGTGGTCCTTCTGCCTCAGCCTCCCAAAGTGCTGGGATTACAGGCATGAGCCACCACGTCCAGCCTCTTGCTTTATTCAGGACTTCTTTAATTTCATCAATATTTTATAGCTCTCAGTGTACTGATCCTGCACATATTTTATTCCATTTATCTTTAAAGAGTAAATATTTCTCTGATGTTACTGTAAATTGTATTGTTTTATAAATTTCATTTCCAATGTTTTTGTTAGCATATAGAAATACAATGGTTTTTTGTATATTGACCTTGTATTATTTGACTGATCTTAGTAACTTTCTCACTTGTTGTTCTGGCTAGGTTCTTCTGTGCAATGTTGAATACAAGGTAAAAGTAGAAATCTGTGTCTTCTTCCCTATCTTAAGGGGAAGTAGTCGGTTGTCTATTAGTATGGTGTTAACTCTAGTTTTTTTGTACATCCATTTTCTAAATTTAAGGAAATTTCCTTTTATTTTTAGTTTACTTGGAGTTTCTATCATGTGTGGGTGTTAAATTTTGTCAAATGCTTTTACTGCATTTACTGAAATGATGATAGTTCTTTTTTTAAGTCTGTGGGTACAGTTTACAGTGATTGATTTTCAAATTTTAAACCAAGATAATATTCCTGGGACAACCCCAATTTGGTTTTGATGTTTCATCCTTTTTATATATTCCTGGGTTTGGCTTATAAGAATTTTGATTGCATTTTTAAAAATCTTCTAATGCCTTTGGTCTGGTATTAAGATATTAGATACTCTGTATTGTTATCAGGATAATTCTGGCCTCAAAAATGAATAGTAAAATGTTTCCAACTCTTCTCTTGTCTGGAAGAATTTGGGTTAATTTGGTATTATTTCTTCCTTAAATATTTGGCAGAATTCACCAATGAAGCGATGTAGATCTGGAGTTTTCTATGTAGGAAGGCTTTAAACTAATATTTTAATATCTTTTAAAGATGTAGAACTATTAAGTTTATCTATTTTTCTAGGTTGATCATTGGTAGTTTGTGTCTTTCAAGGTATTTTCCATTTCATCTAACTTGTCAAATATATTGTTCTAAAGTCATTCATAATATTCCCTTATCATCTTTTTGATGTCTGTAGGATATGTAGTGATGTTCACTTTTTAATTCCTTATACTGGTAATTTGGATCTTCTGTTTTTATTTTTTCCTAATAAGTCTTGCAAGAGGTTTATCAACTTTATGAATTTTTTTCAAAGAACAAATTTTGGTTTCACTGATTATCTCTATTGCATGTCCACTTTTCATTTCATTAGCTACTGACATTTTCTTTATTATTTCCTTCCTTCTGCTTGTTTTGGATTCAATTTGCTCTTCTTTATTGAGTTACTTAATTTGAAACCATTTTTCTTTTTGAATACAGTAATTTAATGTTATAGATTTCTCTCTAAGCACTTCTTTAGTTCTACATCCCATATTTCGATATTTTTCTTTCCAATATCTTTGAGTTGCAAATGTCTTTACATTTACTGTATTGCTTCTTGCTTATTTAGAAGTTTGTTGCTGAATTACCAAATATTTTCCAATATGCTAGATTTCTTTCTTTTATTCATTTCTAGTTCAATTTTATGGCAAAGAACATATTTTATATAATTTCAATCCTTTTAAAAGTGCTGAGACCTGTTTTATGGCCCAGGCTGTAGCCTATATTGGTAAATGTTCCATGTACATTTGGGAAAAATGTTCTGCTATTGTTATGTAGAATCCGCTGTAAATGGCACTGAACTGAAGCTGGTTGATAGTTCTTTTGGTTGCTTTTAGCCACAAATACATAAATTATCTTTGGATCTGCTCAGTCACAAGACTTACAAGAACAATTTGTACTGCAGGCTGAGCAAGTGACACATGCTTCTCATTTTCTAGTCCTGCTCAAAGCTAACAGTCTTTTGGACAAGTGTGTAGAAAAATCAAAGCATCAAATTCAAACACGACTTGTATGGCCACTCCAAATCCAAAATGGCCTCCTAAGCAAGTGCCTCTTTTTGTGGTAGAGGGTATAGGGCAGTGACTTGCATTTCATCTTGGAGGTAGAGCTGTGTGATGTTTTGTGGAAAGCCAAGATGATCAAGATCTCTGCAGACCGTGTTACAGCAGACAGCTACAATACATCTGGGTAGCTGCAATTGGAGCACTACCTGATTAAGTTTATAACAATCAATAGTCATTCCATAAGCCTTCTGCACAGGTCTAACTGGTGAGTTAAATGGCAGTGTGATAGGTATCCCTGCCCTTGTTTCTTTGAAGTATTTTATAGTGACATTAATTTCTGCAATATCTCCAGAGAGGTGAAATGGCTTCTGCTGGTATCATTTTCAATTTTTTATCATAGAAGAGATTGGAAATTTCATGCCTATGTATATAACCAAGAAAAATTAGTATTTCTTGTAAAAGTTTTGTGTGAAAATGTTTATAGATGCATTATTTGTAATAGCCCCAATCTGGAAACAGTCCAAATGTCTATCACTAGGAGAAGGTAAATTGTGGTATACTTGTGGTAAACACTTTTTATCTGTGTAACAACATGGATGACTCTTGTAGTCTTCATGTGGCAAAAAGAAAATAACAGAAAAATGTTCAGACTGTGCAATTCTATTGATATGAAATTCACAAAAGACAAAACTAATTGATGATGATACATTTCACAATAACACTTACCCTTAGAAAGGAAGGGATTGGTTATTGACTAGGAAGAGGCATGTGGAAATTTTTTAGGGTGCCATTCTAAATTTTCATCTTGTGGATATATACACAATCATATACATATGTAGAAATTTACTGAGTTGTACTAAAATTAGTTTGCTTTATGTACATTGTGCTAAACCTCCATAAAAAGTAAAATGAGGAAAAGGAGTAGAGAGGGAGAAAGTGAGAGGGAAGGGGAAAGAGGAAGGGAGGGAGAGAGAATAGGAAGAGAAAAATGAGAGTAAAAGAATAATGATTTTTTTCCTGTTCATCATTATGTATAAAGTTATATTTGTTCCATATTAAAAATAATACTAAGTGAAAGAAACTAGACAAATTATCTCATTCCTGTAGCAAATGCCAGACAAAATGAGGACTTGATAAATTAGTGTATGGAAACACCAAGTAGGATAGAGATGTTCCTCGCTTTACGCTGTGCTCCATAAAGTGTTTATTCTGCATTTTCACAGGGACCCAGGAAGTAATGATCTCAGAACTCTTGTTTTCCATTTCTCCATATATTGACATCCCTTCTATTACGTGATGTAACCTATTCAGGCCTGGAGCCAGCCTGGGCACGACAAGGTGCACTTCCGGGTAGACAATCCTGTGTCCTCATCAGTCCCCAGACACTGGCCTGAATGCTATGGGCTTGCCAGGGGTCTCACACAGATGAGCTGCTTGCTGCACAGTTAAGAAAGTGTCAGTCACAAGACAAATAATTTTACTACATAGGGAAAATAATTCAATAATGTTTTCAAGGTAAGTGTAATATTTCAGTTTTGCTTTCCCTCAGTCACTTTTTTTTCCATTACCATAGAAATCTTTATTATAATAATTCTTGAATTCAGCTCTAAAAAATGTAATATGCAAGTTACATGAACAATTATAGCTAAAAATATATACAGCAATTAAAAGTTTTTTAAAAGCTCATGAACATATTATGAATTTTAAATATGGAGATATGTTTTAATTCAATATTCTATTTTTGTAGAATTTTGGACAAAATGTCCTGCTAAGTTCAAGTGAGCCAAAACAAACTACAAGGGGTACTTCTTATATTGAAGAAGGTATGTTTTAGTTTAAACATTTTTCTCTGATCTTTGTTCCCAGTGATTTTTTTTCTTGTATGCCTATTCTCAGATGCTAACGTATTATGTAATTGTTAAATCACCATTTAGAACCTGAACTCTCCTCACCCCTGCACATCCAGGTCATTGTGTTTCTTTATTTTCTATTTTTTTTATTATACTTTAAGTTTTAGGTACATGTGCACAACGTGCAGGTTAGTTACATATGTATACATGTGCCATGTAGGTGCTATACCTAATGTTAAATGACGAGTTGATGGGTGCAGCACACCCTCAGTCACTTTTTATGTGGCTGAATGAAATGTGAAATATATGTCCCCTCACCAAAACAAAAAGAGCTCATTGAATATGATGAAAAGAGAGAGCAGTTCCATGGGAACAGAAGCCAAATAGGCTGAGTGAAAAGCAGGGAAATGGAAAAACTCACTTAAAGGCACTGAGCAGCAGAGCTTGGAGGACTCCGAGAGCCCTTGCTGAAGCACATGGACAGGGCTGGGCGATGTGGCAGCAGCAGGCTGCTGGCCTGTGAGTGTGCTGTCGATGTCACAGCCAGCTCCAGGTATGTGGCAGCCACCACTGGAATCTCATCCCGAGCCCTGCCAGATGATGAGCTGTTGATATTGCTGATTTACAACACTCAAAGCCAAAGTCATCCAAATTTTTATGTCATGGCATAACATAAGCTCGAGATGGCTTTGTGTTTTTAATTCCCACCTACTGCCACTCAGCTTTCCAAAGCTGATGCTCGCCATGGGGACAAGCTCAGGCATGCATATTCTCTGGCATTACTCAATAGGCCTTGGCCCCAAATCTTTGTACAGTCATCTGGTTTTAACTCTGTGGACCACTGGAGCTGTAGGCACCTCTGAGGTCAGGCAACAGTGAAGTCTGCAGCCTCCATGGCTGAAACCAGCCCTTCTGAGCATCCACTCTGCCCCGTGCAACATTAGGACTCTAGATATCAACACTATGACTTTGAGAAAAAGGCAAACTCAAGACAGCAAAGAGAAAAATCATGCCTCCCAAAGGTGCGGAAATAACTAGTCCTGCTCTTCATAGTCCAGTGCATCAAAGAAAGTATGCCATCCTCCTTAACAAAGGATATGTGTGCAGCTTCTAACAAACCAACCAAAGGGTTGAGAAGAGAGAGGGGAATGATCCAAACAGATGAATTTTAAAAGATGGTCTCTGAATAGGGGGAGATTGTGATTGTGAGTATGCCATAGGAACTCAAAGCTTCAGTCCCATCTTGTTTGCATCAAGTCACCACTGCCTAGTAATTAACACTCTAGCCATCCTTCCCTTTGACCTTGCCTCACCATCTGGAGAGTCTCCTCAGGTAGATAAGTAGCTAGCTAGCTACATAGTATTATTTGATAGGTCATTGTTATGGTTTAAATGTTTTTGTCCTCTCCAAAATTGTTGGAAGCAATGACTGGATCTTCAGCAGATAAGAAACCTGCTGGCACCTTGATCTTGGACTCTCCAGCTTCTAGAACTGTGAGAAATAAATTTTTGTTCTTTATAAATTCCCCACTCTCAGGTATTCTGTTATAGCAGCACGAACTGACTAAAACAAAAATTGGTACCAGGGAATTGGGGTGTTGCTACAACAAAAACCTAAAACTGTGGAAATGGCTTTGGGACTGGATGATGGCTGGCACTGGAACAGGTTTGAAGGGAATGCAGGAAAAAGCCCAGATTGCCAAGAGTGGTGCATTCACAGTGATGGTGGTGAAGGCTTGGAAGAAAAGGAGAGCTGTAGGAAAACCTCATTCTTCTTAGAGATTACTTAAGTGCTTGGCCAGAATGCTGATAGAAACATGGACATTGAAGACTATTCTGCTGAGGTCTCAGATGAAAGTGAGAGACAGGTATGAGAAACTGGAGGAAAGGCCATTCTTGTTACAAAGAACTTGACTGACTTCTGTCATTGTCCTGGGACTTTGTAGAATGCACAACTTAAGAGCGATAAACTAGGATATTTGGTGGAAGAAATTTCTTCTAGCAAAGTGTTCAGGATACTGTATGGCTTCTCTTAACTGCTTATAGTAAAACGAAAGAAGAGAGAAATGATTTAAAGATGGAATTTGTAATTAAAAGTAAAACAGAACCTAAAGATTTTGAAAATTCTAAGCTTGTCTATTTAAAGAATAAATATGTATGCTTAGAAGAGAAAACCAAGGGTATGGCCAAATGAACATTTGATAAGGAAATTAACATGGATAGAAGGGACCAGATGCTATTCATCAAGACAATGGATGATGACCCCAAAGCCATTTCGGATATATTTGGGGTTCCCATGCTCATTGCAGGCCCAGAGTTCTAGGGCCTTGCGGGCAGAACAGTTTCTGGGGAGAAACCAGGATACCCATAGGACCTCAGGGTTTGTGGCCCAAGGCTGTCCCAAGTCTCTGTTCTCCACATTCTGGTGTAATGCTCCTTGGCCACCCCTGCTATGGCTTAGAGGGGACCTACATGCAGCTGGGGCCACTGCTACAGAAGACACAGGGAGTGAGATTTAATGTTGTTTATGTGGTGCTAATTTTTCAGGCAAGCAGAATGCAAGAGCTGTGGAGGCATAGCTACCTCCACCTAGATTTTCAAGAATGCCTTGAGGCCAAGGCATATCTGCCACAGCGGTGGGGCTGTTACAGAGAACCCACCCTATGGGAATGCTTAGTGAAGTTGTGGGGACAGGACCACCCCCAGAGACCTCATGGCTATAGAAACACCAGTGTGCAGCACCAGCCTGGGAGGGCTGTAGGCACCTGGACTCCCACCTGAGAGAACTGTGGTATGAGCAAAAACAAAAATCTCTAGCAGAGCCATGAGGGTGGGGGCTGCCAGGAATCTTGAGGGCAAATCTCTGCCCCAGTATGTCTGGAAGGTGATACATGGACTCAAAGAAAATTATTCTCTAGCCTTAAGATTTAATGTTTGCTCTGTTGTGTTTCGGACTTGTCATTTCTTTCTTCTTATTTCTCTCTTTTGAAATGAAAATGTTCTAATGTAAGTATTTCTTGTAAAAGTTTTGTATGAAAATGTTTATAGATGCATTATTTATAATAGCCCCAATCCGGAAACAGCCCAAATGTCTATCACTAGGAGAATGAATAAGTAAATTGCGGTATACTTGTGGTAAACACTTTTTATCTATGTAACAACATGGATGCCTGTCCCACTATTGTATTTTGGAAATACATATCTAATTTGATTTTACAGGTTCACAGCTGGGAGGAAATTAGCCTTAGGATGAATAGTTCCTTGAGTCTCACCCACATGATGTTTACATGAGACTGGATTTAAAATTTAAAATTAATTCTGAGATAAATTAAGACTTGGGGGCTACTGGGGCTGTTGAAATGGAGTGACTGCATTTTCTTTTTATGTAAGAAAGAAGTGAACTTTGGGGGCCAGGAGCAAAATGCTATTGTTTGAATGTTCATGTCCCTCCAAAATTTATGTTGAAACTTAATCCCCACTGCAACCATATTGGGAAATGAGGTCTTTGGGAGGTGACTGGGTCATGAGGGCTCTGTTCTCATGATAGGATTAGATGCCCTTATGAAAAAACTTGATGGAAGTGGTTCATCTCTTTTTGCCCTTCTGAGGTCTCTGCCATGTGAGGACACAGCGTCCCTCCACTCTGGAGGATGCAGCATTCAATGTGCCCTCTTGGAAGTAGAGACTCGACCCTCGCCAGAAGGCTGAACCTGCTGGCATGTTGATTTTGGATTTCCCTTTCTCTAGAACTGTGAGAAATACATTTCTGTTCTTTATAAATTACCCAGTTTCAGGTATTTTGTTACAGCAGCACAGGTAGACTAAGACAGTCACTATGACAAACTCTAAATGGCAGCACATAATGACGATGTTATGGACTAAATATTCCCCCTCGAATTCATATGTTGAAGCTCTAACCCCCAATGGGGTGATATTTGGAAGTGGGGTCTTTGGGGGAGATTGAATTTAGATGAGGTGATGGGTGGGCCCATGATAGGATTAAGTGTCTTTGTAAGAAGAGACAAGAGAGACCAGAGTTCACTCACTTTTTGTCTTCATCTCTCTTTCTCTTTCTCTCCCTCTCCGCCTTCCCCCTGCCATGTGAGGACACAGAGAGAAGGTGACCATTTGCAAGTCAGGAAGAAGGCCTTCACCAGAACCCAACCATGCTGCAGACATTCTGATCAAGACTTTCAGCCTCCAGAACTGTGAGAAAATAAATGTCTGTTATTTTAGATGCTTAGTCCACGGTATTCTGTCATTGCAGCCCAAGTTGAACAAAGTAGATGATTGTAACAATAAAAATGAAAATAAAAACATCAGCAGTGAGCGTTTATTGAGCACGTGGGTACCAGGCATTAGGAGGAGCACTTAGTTGTGGGTTTATCTACATAAGCCACAACATGCCAGCACACTACTCTCTCTATAGGGTCAAACACTATCTCTATCCTACTGATAGTGAGCTGGCCTTAGACAGCTAAAATGACTTAAGCATCTAGGGAATTAGAAGAAACTTCCTAGGAGGAGATTCTTGAAAGACAACATGGGTTGGTTCGATATAAAGTGGGTCAAGGTGGGGGCCAGTTAGGCAGAAGCGTAGAATGTGAGAAGCCATGAGCAAAGTGAGTTTATGCTACACACTGGGAGGTGAGCACTGGGGAATGGTGAGGGATGAGGCTGCAGATGAATCAGGGACAGATCTGAAGGGTCTGGCAGGCAGTTTGGACTTTAACCTGGGCTCTTAAACTGCACTAAGCAGTGGGGCAGTGTAATCAGAAGAGCATTGCAGCTGTCATGTGAGGAATGAATTGAAGCCAAGAATATGACTAGAAAGGATGACTGTATCACAATCATCCAGTCAGAAGAGTAAATTGGGCTGGACCAAAGATGTTAAAGAAACATGATAAACAAAGGCAGGGATGCCCAGGGATTGATCTAGTGCTTTTTGTCTGGTCAAGCAGCAGCATGGAAGTGCTGAGGGCTGAGTGGACGATCAGTCTAAGGGGATAGAGATGATGTGTTTTCTTTTAGATATGTTGAATTTTCAATACCTGGGGGACTCTTAGTAAGGAGTTGGAAATGCTATTTGGGAGTTGGGGAAGGAAGGCTGTACAGAAGACACAGGAGGTTGGTCATTAACACGTGGTGGTGGCTGATGCTAGGGAGGTGACAAGGCAACTAAGGGAGCATGTGTAGCCTATGTAAAGGGAGACAGGAAGGCCACAGGGGAAGCCTAACATTTTACAGCAGAAGGAGAGTTGCTAGCTAAGGACACTAGAAGGAAGTGGTCACAGACTTGGGAGAAATCAGAAGGATGTGTGTGATCCTAGCCAACAGGGCCCTCAAGAACTGCAAAGAAATCCTTCTCTTCAGTGGATATATAATTTCTTTCTTTACCCCCACTGGAGGTATTCCAAACACTTTACTTACTTCCCACACTCCCCATCTGTCCTAGTTGGCTTGGGCTGCCATAACATAGTATCATAGGCTGGGTGGCTTAAGCAACAGAAATTTATCTTTTCACAGTTCTGGAGTTCAGATGACAAGATAAAGGTGCCATCGTTGGTTTCTGGTGAGGGCTCACTTCCTGGCTTGTAGACGGCTGCCTTCTTGCTGTGTCCTGACATGGCCTCTTCTCTGTGCATACAGGGGTGGTGGAGAGAGTACCCTACTCTTTTTCTCTCTTCCTATTCTTATAAGGCCACCAGTCCTAGCAGGTTAGGGACCCACTCTTAGGACCTCATTTAACCTTATTTACCTCCATAAAGACCTTATCTCCAAATATAGTTATATTAGGGGTTAGGGCTTCACCATAGGAATTTTGGGGGAACACAATTTAGTCCATTATACCACCCAGCTCACTCAATTTTTGTAGAAGGTCTCACCAAGAGATTTGTCAAATAACTGTCGAAGGGATGTAGGAGGAAATAATATCAACTGCAGAGGTGAGTGGGACTAGCCTAGAACATGAGGATCCTGAACTCCCCAAGACAGGAGGGAAGAGAAGACGTGAATGAGAGCAGGGACAAAAAATGAGAACAGAGAGAAGGGGATGCAAGGGGCTTTCACGTGGAGTGACACATTGTAAATGACTTCCTCTACTCCAGTGACTTTTTGAAAATTAATTTCCTAAAAATTGTGCTTGTATTCCCTCCCCACCTCTATTTTTAGCCATCCATTGCAGTAGATCATTTATGCTGTGAAGGTCTATTTTATGCCAAGTTCTGTGATTGAAGCTTGGGGAGGAACATGTGCCTCAGACATAGTTTCTCCCCGTTACAGTTTCACTGATTCTTTGAAAGGGGGCTTAGACATGCAAAATAAATTACAGTATGGTGTAACTGGCCCTGTAATACAGGTGTGTTTTAAAATCTATTATAAATAGTTGTTCAAAGTCTAACATGAGTGACATGTGGTATAATAAGCAAAGAAAGCTTTGCAGGCTGCCTCTCCCTCCTGTTTGTCTGTTTGTGCCTGTGTAGAAACTGAAGTGATGCAGCTTACAGAACTTCCAGGAAAGCTTTTGATTTTGAATTAGACTTATTTCAGGGGCCTCATTGAACTCTCATAGGCTTTTGGCTGTCATCTGCTAGTGAAATTACTGAAGATCATGAAAGCTTATTTTAAGGTGCCCAGCACACCCAGTGATCACAGATTCTGGGCATGGGGGATTGAGTGCTCTGAACACAAGTTAGTAAGCATGGCAGACTGCATGGAAGGGTACATTTCAACTGTGTCTTGAAGCATGAGTACCTTACTAAGACTGAGATTTGAAATCAAGTATTCTCTGGCACCTTGACCTTAGCAAAAATGGGACTACACTCCCTGAGGTCCATTCCTGTGATAAAATTCCTATGAGGCATGTTGAAATATTAACAGGAATTCACCTATTCTGGAGTTTCTCGGTGGTTGGTGTGCCCACGGACAGTGTAGATCAATAAGTATAAACAAACTGGGACCCGTTTTTTGAGTTTCTTCTTATTAACAATACCAGTTTTTTTTTTTTTAAATCAGGACTTAAAAAGATTAACAAATGAAGAAACACAATAAACAGATGATTGATGATAATTGAATCATGTCTATGGAATTAATTCCTACAGTTGACATTCAGTGGGCTCTTCTGTCAGGACCCCTGGACATCACTGACAGCAAGGGGCCTGGGGTCTGGGAATCCTTGGGCCTGTGCCAACCCAGAACCGGTCCCAGGCCTTTGGAAGGCACGGCCACTGCCGTTGTGGCTGCTCAGCCGAGTGCCTGAAATCCTTCAGACATAATGGAGCATCTGCTTGGACCCATCCTTCCCAGGAAGCTTCCAGGCTTCCCTAGTGGTCAAAATGAAGATTACAGGAACATGCTGTGTCTGTTCATCCAACACTTGAGAACCTACCTGCCAACACAGCTCCCACTTTTCTACGCACATGAGTAAAAAGAAACTACAAATTTAATGTTAGCTTTTGTGGACAGTAACGCTTATAGGAATGGGATATAGCCCCTCTGGTTTAGCCGGAATGTGCAGTCTTCTAGGCTGCTCAGCCACTCTGAATGTAACATGCCTTGAGAGTCAATTTTGTGACTTCGTAAGGTCTGTGAGTTCACCTCTGTTCCGCACAGCACTTTACCACCCTACCTATAATGTTTTAAATCCGTGGAAAGAAAAGTATCATTTTGATTTAAGAAATGCACGTGTGGGGAAGGACACTGATATATCCTGAGAGACTAGCAAACCCTCGTACACACCCTACACGCTGTGCCAATAAGTTTTAGATTTCCGTCTTATTTTGTCCACCTTCACGGAAATGTAATTTTTTCCATGTGTCAGATGACGAAGGCCACATCTTTCTGTTTCAAAACCATGAGTTTTTCCCACATCAGAGCCAGCCAATAGGATAATGGTGTCTAATTCTCTTTTTAAGCCACATTGAGACCAACAGATAGCATCAGTTAGGGTTAGGTTTGGCTGCATATAAAAGAAACCTGAATGCAGTGGTCTAACCAAATGGAAAGTATTTTCACCCATAAGATAAGTCCAACCCATAAACTGCTCCAAACCCACAGATAAGTTCCTTTTTGGCTTCAACCATGTTGTTCTGTGATTTGCAATTTTTGAATGTATTACCACATTTTAACAAAAATCATATATCATATAGAAATACACATTGTTAGGCTCCTTCCCGAATAGCAGCTGTTGGCTGACGCTGCCTAAGCTGTGACTGCCCGTTCAGCTCCTGCATGGCCCTATAGTGACCATCCATCCCTCCTCTGTCACGCCAGTGCTGAGAATGAGGGTCTTGGCCAAGTACCTCCTAGCTGCTGCCCTCTGAGTCTGCAGCCTCTGGCTTGTGCTCCACCATCTGTATTCATCTCCCAAGACTGCAGGAACAAAGTACTGCCAAACCGGTTGGTTTGGGACAACAGAAATTTATTGTCTCACAGTTCTGGAGACTGAAGTCTGAGATCAAGGTCTCAACAGGGCCAAGCTCCCTTTGAAATCTGCAGGGGAAGGATCCATCCTTGCTCTTCCAGCTTCTGGTAGCCCCGGGGGCTTCTTGGCTTGCAGAGAACCACCTTACCGCCATGCTTCACATTATCTTCCCCTGTGTGTGACTCTGTGTGTAAATGTTCCCTTTTTATAAGGACACCAGGCCTATCCAGTTAGGGCCTCACCCTAATGACCTCATTTTAACTTGATCATCTGCAAAATCCCTATTTCCAAATAAGGCCCCATTCTGAGGTAGTGGGGGGTTAGGACTTCAATATCTTTTAGGAGACATGATTAAACCCATAACACTTTCTGAATCTCCTTTGGTCTTTCATTTTCTAAACATTTCCCCCTATTTTGGTACTTTTTGTGTTTTAACTCCTATCCTTTCTTATGGCTCCAGTTACTACCTTATCACACCCCTGTTTGTGGCCATTTACTTTTCCATTAAGAAAACTTCAATTCCAGTTAAAATAGCTTCTATCTCTTCATCTTGGTCATTCAAAAACAAGTTTAGCTCCATTAGGATAGACTTTGTTTAATGCATTTTTTTCAACAGAACCATTTGGGTGAGGATGGGAGCCTGACATGGGGGTGACACATTTGTCTAATCTCATGGGAGTTACTGCCTGGATCCCTGTACAGAGAAAGACATAAGTCCCAACCAGACTCAGTGGTTGGGAGTTCTGTGAGGGATGGGTGGTGTCTCCTTAGGTGCCAAGGAGCAGGGCAGGGAAGGGTGTGGTGGGGTGCATGCTAGGTAGTGCCCATCTGGCTTGTTCAAAGTTAAGCACTTTTTTGACCACTAGGAACTCAATGATGAATTATAGAATGGTGCTTACCTTTATAAGTGAGGAAAAGACTCTTGATAACAAGCGATTGCAATACAGAGTAGTAAGTGCTCTTGTAACATGGAGCAGACCCAGAAAGATGGAGTCTGGCTCAAGTAGCATTCTCTAAAGTACACTTCTAAGAAATAAAACTGTCTTTATTTATAATGAGATGTATTGGGAAGTCTTAATTCACACTACACTGAAGGCAAGAATGTGGTCACAGGTCCCAGGATCGAGCCATCACGAAGGACCTGAAAACGGCCTGTGACCACTGGGCTGGAGAAAGCAGTATTGCAGACCAGAGGCTTCTTTTCCACATGTATCTGCTGTATCTTAGGTTCTTTGGTACTAGAATGTCCATTTCCTGCTTTAAGGCCATTATAATTAAGTACTGGTGTTTTCTTACTCACTGAAAGCACAGCTTTAGAGTTATAATTGAAAAACTGGCTGTGTATCAGAAATGTTGCATCTGTCCTATTTTCTCTGCAAATTTTAGGTTATATGCCTTACCTGTTAACCTGGGAAAGGCTGTGGAGTGCTGGTACTCTCTGCCTGTCACATGGCTTCTGTGCATTCTTCGTTGACAGGTGGCATGCAGGGCGTGGTCTGGAGTGGGGAGTGGGGCTGAGACATCCAACACAGTGTCAGACCTCAGCATACGAGCTCCTCCTCCCAGAGTTTAAACCCGGGAGAAGTGCTGGGGGAAGCAAGGTGAGCAGCAGCAGTCAATATCTGTGATCACAAGTCATCCTGCTTCTTTTCTTTCTGATCTATCCTCAGAATCCCTACTACTTATCTTCTATGTACCCTTCCCTCCCCTCTGTGCTTGCCTGGGGCAGCCTCACACGATCCAGGCACAGGGCTTGGTGTCCAGTCCTCTAGCAATATGCCCTAGAAGTTCCTGTAACTGGCCCAGGCTCTTTGATAAGCACGACCTTCCTCACTGGGGCCCTTTCCTAGGTCCCACTATGAAGAGCCTGGACCCAGGGTTAGGGAGACTGGAGCCTACTCACCTGTCCTGGGTGGATCAGACCAGGGGTTTCTTCACACTGCTGGAAGCAGACTCATTACGGCTACTATTGGGACAGCACTGTGTACCAGGTCTGGGGTCTGAGGGGTCAGATATTGTAGTAAATAGAAAATAAATGAAGAGATCAAGATTGCAGATCCAGGACTGGTCAGCAAGGGGTGGGTAAGAGGACCACCAGCAGGAGGTCCTTCTAACGACCTCCATCCTGACAGCCATCAGAAGGAAGTGCCTCTGTGCTCTTCCTCCCAAGGTACAGTGAGGCAGGATGGGAGACTCTCCATGGGAGAGAGTGGGCCTGGATCTGTGGACCCTGGGCTCCTGACTTCAGCCTCTCTCAGGAGCCCACTGGGAGCCATTACAGATATCTGCATGTTTGCAACTACTTTAAGGCTCTCAGCTGGACATGGAAACATGGCCCTTCCCTTCGTTTCCCACAGAACAGCTCAGGGCAAGCTGGAATAATCGCACAACACTTGCAGAAGGCCCAGCAATGCCCCAGCAGGTGACCAGAGGCTCAGCCGGCTTCTCAGACTTGCAGCCCTGCCCCACCCTCACCAGGCAGAGGGACACGGTGGCAAAGGGGACTGCCTGCGTTTCAGTTCCTCTGTTCTCCCGCCACCCTTCTGGGGAGGAAGCGTGCCTGGTTTGGCCACCATGTGGAGGGAGCCTCGTGGCTAATGGGCCACTCCGAGCTGTCAGAGGATCTACTGGCTGAGGACATCTCCGGAATGGCCTTTGGAGGTGCCGGCCATGGGACACCATCATGGTGACTTCTTCCTGGTTGTCTGGCATGCTGCCCCACCTGGTAGTTGTAAAGTCCTGATATTGTTGACTGTGGGGGTGAGGCACACAGCAGGTGCTCAGAGTTCAGTCCAACCTAAGCTCTGCACATCAGTGGATTTATGTGAGGCTGGCTGGAGGCTCCTGGAGGTGGGGTTGACTTCTGGCCTGTTTGTTCTCCTAGACCCTGTACCCTCTCTCCATTGATATCTTTTCCTCCCCACCGGCCTCGCTGGCTAACATTCCCTGTGCACCCAGTGCTCCATGTATTGAAGAAGGAAAAATAACAGCATTGTCTAGATTTGGGGCTCTTTTATATTTAAAAAATATATGGAGTTGAATTCACATTACATACAGTCGGATATTTTAACATGAACAAATTCAGTGGCATTGCATGCACTCACGGTGTGAGCTTTTAATCATATCAGTAACTTAAAATTGTTGATCCAGGTCCCTGGCCACTTGTTATGGATTTGACATATGTTGTGTCATTTAGTCCTGTCACCAACTCTAAAACAGGAGCCATCACCCCTCTTTCACTGATGCAGAAATTAGGTCATAGCCTTTTCCAGAAATACATGGCTGCAAAGTCTTAGAGTATAAACTTAAACCCAATCCACTGACTCTGAAGGTTTGGTTAAATAAGTTTTTTTTTCTACTCTACTATGTTGCTTTTTGGAATAAGAAATCAAATTCTCTGCAGTTTTCCCACGTGAGAGAGGGCAGCATGCTGGTTGAGGAGAAAAGGACCAAGTAACTTCTTGTCTCTGACCTTCCGCTGCACCAACCTCCCTGGCTTGAGGATGGAGTCCAGGCAGTGCCTCCGAGGGCTGAGCACCTTTGGGATTTAATGCACTCACCTGGCCTCAGAATTCTTAGCAGTAGAGCACTCAAGGGAGCAAACATCCAACTATCTGAGTCAGCCCAAGAGAGAGAACTGCTCCCCACACTGACCTTCTGGGCCAGCCTCTCTTTATGTGGAAAAGGACAAGGACAAGGGCTTTGCTCAGTGCCATGGTGCCTGTTACAGACCTTGGTGCACTGGGCTCTCTGTCCAGCCCTCTGTTGGCTATGATAAGCTGCAGAATAGAGGTCACTGGGTCATAGCTGGCCACTGCTTTGGGGCAGAGACACTATCTCCATCCAGTCCCCAGGAGGCTTTTAACGGGTTGCTTCCCCCTGTGAAATGTCCCCTTGACCAGCATGCAGCTCACATTTGCTGTGCCACCTAACAGTGACAGCTCACACAGCCAGATCTCCACTCTGGCAACAGACAAAGCTGCTGATGCGGATGGCAGATGGCTGCGGGAGTGGTGGGGGAGTTGGCTGCATAGAGGAACAGTGTGATCAGGGTCACATGAGATAAGAAGAGGAGGCAGGGAGGAAAGGAGAGGGTCTTAAGTGTCTGACAATGGAAAGCCAACCCCACCTGGAACCTGGCAGCCCGGAGAGCAGCATGGGGGTGGGGAAAGAGAGGCTCCATAATGGGATTAGTGGGACCCAGTGTATGATAAAGGAACATTTGAGCACACCTGCCCAGCAGAGCTGAGAGAGCACTTGGAGTGTCATGCTGGGGGGTGGGCCAGTTGTCTCTGTCCACAAAAACCCTAGGTGTTTTCTTTTTCGTTCCACTCCCCCTGCCCCACTTCTAGGCGGGAAGAGGTTTGGGGAGGCTCTGCTGTACTGGGACTGGTGGCTTGCACTTGTTAGGGTAATAGCTAATCCCTTCAGCCCATGGCTTTTGTGGCTAATGTAATGCTACATTTCCAGTTATTTTGGGGAGAGTGTGAGTGACCCAGGGTCCAGTCACATATGTGTTCCCCTGGGTTGAGGTTGTGCTCCAAGCCAAAACCCCCTGAGGCAGCTGCCAGTGCCTACCACACTGAGAAGCCAAGCCAAGAGGCTGGAGGGGATTGGGGGCAATGGGTGAGTGTCTGTTTCAAACCTGGTTAGTCACTAAATTTGCTTCAATGACTCCTGCAAAAATTGAGGAAACACAAATCTATAAGTAGGAGAATCTTCTGGAAGCCTGCTCATGAATTCTATGCAAAGATGTCACAGTCTAGTTTAACTTTGTAGAATAATGGTAAGATGATAGTCATAGGATAACATAAACACCATTAACAACCCTAGTGAGCTTTTTTTTGGTCAAGGTTTCACAGCACATGAGGCTAGGATTTATCTGTTGACTGTCGAGCCCAGACTCGAGCAATACACAATGCACCAAATTCCAGAAAAGATTTTGTGTGAAGTTGATATGAAACCTGTTTGCCAAATTTAATAGCAGTAGTATTAAAGTAATGATTATTTAAAGACCAAGTTTAATTTAGTAGTACTATATTTCTGCTTCCTAGGCTGGGTGCGGTGGCTCACACCTGTAATCTCAGCACTTTGGGGGACCAAGGAGGGTGGATTGCCTGAGGTCAGGAGCTCAAGACCAGCCTGGCCAACATGGTGAAACCCTGTCTGTACTAAAAAATACAAAAAATTAGCCGGGTGTGGTGGCAGGTGCCTATAATCTCAGCTACTTGGGAGACTGAGGCAGGAGAATTGCTTGAGGCCAGGAGGCAGAGGTAGAAATGAGCTGAGAACATACCGCACTCTAGCCTGGGCAATAAGAGTGAAACTCCGTCTGAAAAATAATAAATAAATAAATAAACAAATAAATAAATTTCTGCTTCCTCACATCTATGGTGCGTATGATACTCTCTGAACTGCAGAGTAAGATACATGTTGTGAAAGACTTTTATGCTGCTTCTGGGTGCAGGATGTAACATAGAAGATATAATTTAGACCCACAATGTTAACATTTAGGAAACAACCCTACTGCTGAGAGCAAAACTTGGACCAGTGCCCAATAGAAAGTGGTGAGTCCTCCCTATGAGTGATGGCTGCACCATTCTGACAGCCAGCAGCCCAGGGGCCAGTGGCCCAGACCATGGGGTGTGCCCATCACCAGGCAAGTCCCCCTAAGGGATTCAGAGATGGGGTGGAGGTGCTGGAATACACACAGGGAGGGAGGGGAGAACAGAAGTCCTGGGGTTTAAAAATGAGCTTAGATCCTAGTCAACCATTCAAACCCAATCACTGGGCTGGGGTGGAATTCATAATGATGAGTGCACAGGCACAAAACCACATCTGGTGGGACCATCTGGTCTCATCTGGCCAGTTCCTGGGAGGAAGGGGAGGGAGAGTGGAGAGCTGTACAGTTCACCCGAGTGGCAACCTCTCTCTCTGTGGAGGATCTCACCTTTTTGATGTGCATTTCTGCTTCAAATCAAGAGTGAAATTTGATTGAGTGAACAGAAGAATTTGTTCAGATTTTCATTTTATAACATGATCCCTTTGCCTTGCCGACCTCCTGTGCTTCCTGCCCAACTCTATCTGTCTTTCTCTCTCTTTCTGCCTCTATTATCTCTATCTCTGTTGCTGCCTTTTCTTCTAGCTCCATCCCTATCTCTAACTCTAAGCTATGGAGATTTTTATTGGACAATGTAGCTCTTATAGATTATACCCCAGTCTTAGACTAAGCAGCTCTTCTTGCTTCTGGAAAAGAAGCGTTTAGGGATTTTAAAGTATTGGACTTTACAATACACTCACACATGTTTTGGCTTAAATTTTCTGCTAGTTCTGCCAATTCCTTTATGAGCGTTTTATTATTTCTTTTCTGGAGTCAGTAGAGAAACAAATAAACAAATGGCAGATGCTTTCCCAAGAGTTAAACCCATCCACCTGGAATGCTGTACCTGCTGACACTCTGCCTGCTGGGGGAGGGATATGGGATGCAGATTGAAAAAGAAAGCAAATGCAACCGAAATGGCAGAAAGACTTTGCAGAGTCTCAGGGGATATTGCAGGAAGGGCCCCTGGCATGTGGTAGACACATAATTTGATAAGAAAACGGGGGCTCTAAGGCCAGAGAGGGAAACTCGTTCACTCAAAGTCAAACACTTTGTATAGGTGGTTGAACCATAAATTGTGTCTTCTGATTTCTCATCTAGGAGTTCTTCTTCCACATTATCTGGTTTGTTTTTCAAACCCGGGGTGGACATAGTGTATGGGAAGAGTAGCTAATGGTTTATATAGCTTAAGGGATGTTGGGAGAGTTACCATGCCAAATCACTTTTTTTTTTTTTTTGATACTGAGTCTCGCCCTGTCGCCCAGGCTGGAGTGCAGTGGCACGATCTCGGCTCGCTGCAAGCTCCGCCTCCCGGGTTCACGCCATTCTCCTGCCTCAGCCTCCTGAGTAGCTGGGACTACAGGTGCCCGCCACTACGCCTGGCTAATTTTTTCTATTTTTTAGTAGAGATGGGGTTTCACCGTGTTAGCCAGGATGGTCTTGATCTCCTGACCTCGCGATCTGCCCGCCTTGGCCTCCCAAAGTTCTGGGATTACAGGCGAGAGCCACTGAGCCCAGCCTTTTTTCTTTTTTTTTTTTGAGACAGAGTTTTGCTCTTGTTGCCTGGCCTGGAGTGCAATGGTGTGATCTCAGCTCACCACAACCTCTGCCTCCTTCCAGGTTCAAGTGATTCTCCTGCCTCAGCCTCCCGCGTAGCTGGGATTACAGGCATGCGCCACCACGCCTGGCTAATTTTGTATTTCTAGCAGAGATGGGGTTTCTCCATGTTGGTCAGGCTGGACTCGAACCTCCGACCTCAGGTGATCCACCAGCCTCAGCCTCCCAAAGTGCTGGGATTACAGGCGTGAGCCACCGTGCCCGGCTGTATCATTTGTTTATTCACTTGTTCATTTATTCATTCATTCACTCAACAAAACCTCACTGTTAACACCCTCTATGTGCTAGATACTGGGGATGCAAAGGTGAATGGGGTATAATGTCAATCTTTAGGATGGGCTCTGGCTGTAATGGAACAAGTAGAGATGTAATTGGCCAAGGAGAACAGAGAGAGAGAGAGACAGCCTATGGTAGATGTGGAAGAAATCCTAAGGTTTATAGAGAAGAGGCAACTCACACTTTCAGTGATTTGGAGGTGATTTTTACAAGAGTTCGTGAGGTTTGCTGGATAGGAAAGCTGTGGAAGAGAAGAGAGTGCCTGGCTAAAAGTTCAGACATTTCTCGAGATGGTTTGTGGAGACAGGAAGAGATTCCCTGGGGCTGGAGCAATGGAAAGTCAGGGGGCTTGACAGCAATAAGGCAAGAAATGCACATAGATATTGTGATGCTTGAAGGTTCACAGTTGGATTTTTATTCTTTTGGCTTGGAGCTGTTTCGTGTGTTAAAATACATCAAGAATGTGGTATGCACACATTTACATCTCTGGAATAATGAATCAATGGGATCCTATTTTGAAGCAATATTTGATGGGTTTAGGGGTTAAGTGGAACTGAAGTATCGTGGGTGGTGTCCTCCTGAAAGTAGACACAGACAGAGAGCTAGGTGTACAGAAGGCATACTGGGGAGGAACCTCAGTGCCTGGAGGAGAGGAGGAAGTGAAACTGGGCAAAAAGAGCCACCAGGCAGCTCTTCGGACCTCACTGCCAGCCCGTCTGCTAGCCCATCTCAGCTGCCTCTGAGGGTGGGGAGGGTCAGGCCATGGGCCCCTGACTATCTCAGTCCTGGGCCAGTGGCTGCTCAGGAAGCGTGTGCTTGAATACAGAGGGGAAGTTGAGAAGATCAGCAGAGGAGGCTGCCAGGCGGCCATGGTCCTGCAGCTAGCTGGGCCACAAGTCCTTCTCTTCATGGGTCTGAGTAGCGCATCTCTGTGGATGACTCCTGTGGGATGCAGCAGGCTGAAGACGTTGCAGA
The DNA here is from genome assembly GCF_000001405.40 of Homo sapiens. Classification (NCBI taxonomy): domain Eukaryota; kingdom Metazoa; phylum Chordata; class Mammalia; order Primates; family Hominidae; genus Homo; species Homo sapiens. The sequence goes on along the minus strand of NC_000007.14, from coordinate 47,186,231 downwards.
AAAGAAGGAGGAAGGTAAACGGGATTCTGCACATTGTCACCTCCATGTTCAGACATTGCCTCTGATGAAATACCTTACTCATCTCCCCCTCAAAATTCTTTGAGAGTTCTGTGTCCATGACAAGCTCTCAGAGAGCCTAGTCGTTCTACGAGTGATGTCTGTGCTTCAGGGGCACCTTCCAGAAATGAACCATACAGTAGATGCCCAGTGCACACAGGCTGACAAGGAAGCTGTCAGGCAAGGCCCTGAGAAGGGAAGGGGCTGATGGCAGAAGTTGATCCGTGGCCTCCTGAAACCCGGAGTCATGAGGAGAATCAGACTCGGAGTGAGGAGCTGATGGTGACAGAGAGCAAGGAACAGTGGGTTCCAGCAGAGCACCGGCTTCTGAATGTCATCCTGCAGGCCCTGAGATGGGCAGTTCTGTCCATAAAAAAGAGGAATTTTATGTGTGCCTCATAATGCAACAGAAGAGGAATAAAATGTGCATTTTTTAAAAGTTGAGGTAAGTGTGTCTTGATGGGATTCTCTTGTGTGTCTTGATGGAATGTCCTTCCACCAGTAATAGCCCAGGACCTTCCAAAGCCCACTTTCAGTGGAGTCCACTCCGGGAGCCGTTACCCTCCTCCAGGAGCCTGTGGCCTTGCCTCTTGGATCCCCCAGACCCCAGAGCTCCTCTCATCCAGGCCCAGGCCACTGGCTTTTAATCTGTAGGCTTTGTGTCTTGGGCTTCCTTCCTTTCCTGAAACAAGTGTCCTCCCAGAGCCTGGCCCAGAGGAGCAAATCATTGTCAACAAAATGCTCAGTGGCCGGCCATAGGAGCTGACTTCCATGAATCACAGCAGATAATTTAAAAATATCCTGGCAGTTAAGTTTGATATGTCGAGCTCAGGAGACTCTCTGAAAGGTTACCCAAGTTTCTCCAACTTTCATGCCAGAAAACATTCTGAGTGCCAAGAATATGAACTCGAATAGAGCAACACAAGTACTAAGTAAAAATGGCAAATGGGGCTAAAAGGTAAAATAATCTCTGTGTAACAGAGCAAGATTGGGATTAGAGATCTGTATGCAGGTATAATTTCCATCCCTGTCCTTTAGTCTTTATTCTTAATTTCCTTCTTTTAGAAGGGGAAAATTAGTCATTGAGTCTTACGGATCTACTTATAGTGTGTTATGCTTATGTCAGGAATGTCGTAACATGAAGGACTCATTACTTTTGTATTTTTAATTCCCTAAATTGTGAAATGTCTTCTAAAGAGTAAAGACTATATAAACATATTGTACATTTTAAAGAATATTAATAATAATAATTAACGCAAATAATTCCTATAGAATTCCCCACACAATACCCTTAAATATCTCTGCACACCTTTCCCCAGGTGTTCTAGATGCCTCCTCCTCTCCCACCCCAGAGGACCCCTGCTTGGGATTTCATGTTAATCACATTCCTTTGCTTTATAGTCTAATCTCAGACATCCACTCTTCAAAACAATGCATTGCTTAGTTGCTTAGTGGAGCCTACTGTGAAATTTATGTACATGGAATTACAATGTGTCCACCATTCTGAAACTGACTTTTTATTCAGGCAATAGTATGTGTTTGAAACATTGTAACTTGTTGATGTAACTGTAGTTTATTAATTTCTCTGGTTTGGTCTTATGATTTTTCTTAAGCCTGCAGATGTGGTGAGTTCATTTACTGGTATTGCTCTATGATATTTCATGTGCGAAGAAGATACCACAACCTGTTTATTAATTGTACTCCCGAGGGAGTGCTGGCTGTTGCCTTCCCTCCTTGGTTTCCAGTGGGCAGAGAGCCATTCTGCACAGCTGGCCGTCTCCCAAGCACATGGGCACTTGTCTCTTTTGGGTGGAATGACTGTGTTGTAGAGTCTGTATATGCTCTGTTCTGTTAAATTTTGTCAAATTGATTTTCCAGGTGGTTGGGCCACGTTACCTTCCAGTTGGAAGTGTAGGGGGGTTTCCACTGCTCCACATCCTCACCAATGCTTGGTTTCTTATTTTTTATATTTTGCCAGTTTGATGGTTCAAAGGGGCACTGGATCGTGGTTCTAGTTTACATTTCTCTGGTACTGACGAGCCCCTTGGGGATAACTGGAGAGACGCTGAGTGACAGCGGTGGTCAGAACTGGATTCTGTAGGACGGGGTGGGGAGGAGTAGAAGGCTGCAGTGGCGGGGGGTGGGGCAGACGTGGGTCTGGCGCACATTCTTTCTGCTTTTTTCTCATTTGTATTGGTTCCAAGTTCAGTCTCAGAAGAATCACATCAATTCTGACTTGTAATTCTAGAGATCTCTATTTTCCAGAAATTTTCTATGAGAATCTTTGAAGCTTGAGGGCTGTGATTTTTCTCCAGGATGAAGGTTAAACCCTGTAAATGTGCAGAACGTTCTCCTAACAACCCATTCCAGTAAATGGTGCATGACAGGTGTGTAGGGCACTGTGGGTGAGGCTGAAGCATCACCCCAGATGCAGGGGTACATTCCTAGGAGCACAGACATGTGAACATGCTTCACCCTCCACATCTGACCCTGGGACTCACCCACTTCTCTCTACTCCCACTGCTCCCCTGGTCAGATGGCCCATTAGAAGGCTCAGGGAATGGTACCTTACTTTCATATAAAGCTGCCTTTACTGAATTTGCATATATTAATGATAGTATTCCAGCTTGACTGAAGCTGGGTGTGAGGTTTGTGTCTCATGGAATTGTTCTGGGAACTTCCCAGAAGGCATGTGAACTCTCTGACAACATTATAGGTACTCAATAAAGAGTAGCTAGTATCAATTTGCCATGTCTAATTGAACAAATACTATGACTAATTAACATGCTAAATGCAGGAGGTATGGTGATAAATAAAACAGTGCCTTGTCCCCTGAAGCTTACATTCTACTAGGGGAGACAGCTGCACACGTGAAACATATGAAGACATAAGGCAGTTTCAGATAGTGGCCCTTCCAACAGGGAGAGCCAGGTGGCAGAGTGAAAAGGAGAGGAGACAGAGCATTCCAGACAGAGGCAGAAATACCTGCAAATGCTCCCTGGTTATGAGCTCTGTGTGTTCTGGCAACAAGAGAAGTCAGGCAACTGCAGTGATGGTGAAGGTTAAAGGTCATAGAGATGTGAGGCTCCACCAATCCCAGGTGTGGGCCAAGGCACAGAGAGGGGAATGCTCTCTGTTTGTGTCTTATATCAGCATTTTGTGATAGGGTTCAAAGTTATACTCTCTGAGGGCTCCCACTTCCAGATCTAACAATACGGTAGATGCTGGGGAGGCTTAGGGTCTTCCTTGCTCCAACCCAGCCTGGGCAGGAAGAAACTTTTGATGCCTGCCATGGGGCAACATTAGCAGCCTCAGCTCACTCCAGCTCTTGTCCGGTATCTCTACTTGCATCCCATCAGTGGGACCCCAAACAGCTCTGGGGACCCCAGGGTGCAGGAACGATGCCCATCATCATGCTGGGCACCATGCTGTGCTATGGAGACCCTGTTGTCACAGAAGTAAACCATTGCCCAGTGGAGGAGGCCTACCCCTTTCCTCTTCCTGTACCATCACTCAGTGTCTGTGGTCCCCACCCCTGGCCTGGGGTTCCAGTGAGTCGTGGGTAATACTGGGCACACATTTATGAGTGTTTCTTACATGTGAATGCCATATGTGCCCCAGTGGAAAAAAAAATAAGGACTCATTTAAGTTTTTTATTATTTGGATCTTTTCCTGACACCTGAATGATGAGCATTGGAATGTTCTCACCAAATTTGTGTTATATAAGGACTACTTCTTGAATGTAAGATTTCAAAGGATGCTGAATTAGAACTTTGGCAATAGCAAAATACTTTTTTCCAAACCATCCCAAACTCTCCATGGATGGTGGCTTGTTTCCAATTTGGAATGGCTTCAGTTGAAGATGTTTTTTGCATTGGTCTTTGTGTTCACAGTCCCTGGTGAAGGGGCTGATAGGCTTAAAAGCAGCATTTGGGGAGAGAGAGAGACACACACAGAAGGAGAGAGGTAGGAGGGAGAGAGGCAGAGCGAGCAAGAGAGAGCTGTACTGTGTTCTTTCTCAGAAAGTACCTGGCAGGCTGGAAGCAGCTCATGTGCCAATATTTGAAAACTATAAATAGAGTCCTTTGGGATTGGCTTACATGAATTGGTAGGAATGCCAAGCTTGGGAAGCTGCTGGGGCATGGTGGGGGGAGAGCAGGGAACAGTGTGCTATTCCTAGGACAGGTAACGCCTCTCTTTAGTGTAGTGGGGAGGGCCCTAGGCGGACTGCAGAGAGGAGGAGCTGAGGTACAGGTGCACTGTCAGGTCAGACATGTGAGCAAGTTGGTGAGAAAATTCATTTGTTCAGCTTCATACTTGGGAAGCAGCTGTAGCATTCAGGGTGGGAATTCTCAGTCCTGCTGCAGCTGCAGCACTCAGGGAAGGACTCTGGGGCCGGGCTGGGACAGGGCTGAGCAGGGAGCTGGATTGAGGGAAGTTTGAAATCACGGATCTAGCTAACTCTTCTAATTTGATGATGGGGAGACTGAGGCTTGGCCCTTTGTTCTTTTTCCTGCACCACTGCCAATCTTTCATGGGGTAAAGACCAATTTTAATGCAGTTCACTGAGATTCTTCTGCCCATCTGTGGAGGAGGTTGGTTGGGGGGCCTGGACACAGGAAGACTGCCGTCCTCAGCTCCCCTAAAAGCCACTGCAGCACGGGATGCCTGGACTGGCTTCTCTCCAGCTTCATCTCAGAAGATAAAATGTCAAACTCAGAGCTATCCCACGCTTGTCAAAATGCGTCGCAAAGAAAACTCACGGAGACAAGCACCTAGGCATTTGCTAGTGTTCAATACTGTTCATTTGGTCCCAGCCTTAAGCCACATCATCAGAGTGCTCTGGGGACCACATGGCTTTCTTTTATTGCAGTACTTTTCCTGAATGCTCCTAAAATGTAATGTACATTGCAGGGACATTCTAAGACAGAGCCCTGTAAAATGCATGACTTTGCTCGCCATGAGGACATCGGTGAGGCTGTCCTTGACTACGCTACATCATGATCTCTGTATAAAGACCTCAGGGAGAAACCTCTGACCTCTCTTTGACTTGCTGTGTTTCTCCTTGGGCAGCCAGCTAACCTTTATACTGCAGACTCAGGAAATGGTGCCACTGATTCCGTGTCCCTTGATGCACTGGTTATACAATCTCACAGCCCAATATGCCCCCTCTTCTCTGCAAGTGCATGGTTATACCTACTTGTGGTCTTCATCCTTTTTTTTCCTTCCTGGCCATTGTGAGTCTGTCCATCTATGTGAGAGCTCTGGGTTCATCCTGAGCCATCCTGGTGAGGACGGAGAGTGTTTGGAGCTTAGGTCCCACCACCAACCTTCTTCCCTTTCTTTCTCTCTTTTTCTTCCTTGCGACCCTTCTAGCATCTCACTTCCTTCCTTGCCTAAGAATCTCATCCTCTAACTGCCTCTGACTCACTCTGGGATGATCAAGCATCTTTGGGATCTAATAGTCCAAGGTCCCAGTCCCAGTTCTATTGCTTATTACTTGGGTAACTCTGTATTTGTGGTTTAGCCTCGCTGAGCCTTAACTTTCTGCCAAATGAGGTAGACATAACCCTACTGAGGGCTAACACAGGGGAAAGCCGTAACCATGGCTGATCCATTATGGTTGCATCAGAAAAGCCAATTTCCTTGTCAATCAATGCCAAAAGCACTCCCTTCTGCATTAATCAGACCCCATCTGCCCTGCAATTTGTTTCTTAGAATTCAGAACAAAACAAAACGAAGCACAGAAGCCTCTGGCCATCCCCTTCATCCAGCAGATGGCAGTCTCTGATCAGGAATCTCTTGGCCTAGCTGCCATGGGAAACTGCTGCCCTATAGAGGATTTGTCCAAGAAAACCCAAATAAAGAAATATTATATATTATTTTCTACGAAGAACTTGTGTAATGAAGAGGAAACACTTTCTCCCAAGCAACTGATGTGGATTTCTCTTAGGTTTCTGCAAAATGCAGGTGATAACCCTTGAGGTCGCACGCTTTGTTTTCCGGGTGCATTGCCAGGTTACAGGGCACACCTATGCTCTAAGAGATCCACGACAGCTAGGAGATGGCTTTCCCTTGTTCTTCCTGATTTTCATCTTGGTATTTTCTTAGAAAAACAACAAAAAAAAGGCGCTGTGTCCTTGGTTACTGTGACAGCTGTGACTGGGATCGTCAGGTGGGAAAGGGGTCAGGTTACTTTCCACAGAAAAAACAGAAAACATCTGGTGCTGACATGCTGATGAATCTTCCTTCAGCTGCTATGGAAAATCTGGGACTGGGGTGGGGGTGTGGAGGCATTCTGCTGGCTCATGCAGAGGGGGAAGCTGAGAGGAACTGGGCTCATCTGCAGGTAGCAGGGCCTGGCCCCCTCCTCTCCTCACCCTCCTCCCCTTCTCTTTCTCCTTCTGCACTCACACATGCATATTCTATCTTTCACTTTTTCTATCTGGATGCAGGGGTAGCCAGCCAAGTGGATTCCTTGTCCTGGTGGAGTTTATAACTAATATCAACAGGGAAATAGGATTTTGAGGCATAGAATGCTCAGTTACATCATCTGTTTCCCCCACAGTTGGAGTTGACATGCTCTGCGGTCTATGCAGAGTGAGGGACACCCTTCAGACAGTGGCTTGCAGGGCGGCTGTGGCACATGCCCAGCAGAAGGAAATGTAGCCTACTGCTTACATCCCAAGCTGCAAGGGGCTTGTCCAGCTTCTCACTGAGAGATGGGTTCCTGGTGTGTGTGTGTGTGTGTGTGTGTGTGTGTGTGTGTGTGTGTGTGTGTGTGTAATAGGGATTCCTCAAACCCCAGAAAGAGATGCAGAAGCTCTGTAGGCCTCCACCCCCAACACACACTCAAGAGATAGCAAATATCCTTTGCAGACAGTAAGACACCTCATCTTGGGCCCTAGCCATTCGTGCCAATTCTACTCCGTTTACTAAAATGGTCTAAAGTCAAGCAACGCACTAACTTGCCAGCATTTACTCCTCACTCACTCATCCATTCTCTTTTTTGTGTGTTTCTTATACAGCATGTGGGAAACACGTTTCGGGGTGGTCTTCAACCAACAATCCCAAGCATCTCTAGTTCATCTTCAAGACATGCAGATATTCTCTTCCTTGCCTTTTGCTTCTCCCCCAAGGATGCAGCCACTGAGTTACTGCACTGGCCCTGCCCATTACCTTCTATCCCTCGGGTGAGCCTTGGGGCTTCTTGCCCTTCCAGCCACCATTGTCATGCTTCACATCCTCTGTCTTCTCTGTCTCTCACATGCTTGTTCTTTGTTACGTGCTGTTGAAATGACTTTCCTACCAAGATTAAAGTCTTCCTCACTGCAGGAATAACTATAAACTGTAATCTCAGAGCAGAGAGGCCTGATGCTGGAGACAGCCAGCCCCCAGCAGGGAATGGCAGAACTCAGGACCTGTGCTTTGGTTCAACCTTTGCTTTCACCACACCAGGCTGTCCTGCAGAGGGAAGACCATGGGGCTGTCCTTCCAGTCAGAGTCCTTTCTCATGTTTCTTCTCTGTCACTAATCGGTAAGTCTAAATTGACAAAACACATAGGCTTTTCTCCTCCAAAACAAAGCCCTGCAGAGAAAGGTTTAATGAGAACAAGGAAATGAGAAGAGAGTCCCTTTTCTTTTCACTTTATCAGGGTCCTGTGAGCTCTGACTTTGCCACTCCCTGAATTCATTAGGGTCCTCTCATTCTGCAGCTTGGGGTGAGCCCCAGACAAGTCTAATGGTAAACTGTATGTGTCAATTCCATTCCCATGGTGTGTCCAGGTTACCCTTTTTTTCTGAGTGTGTCTGTGAGGGTGTTTCTGAATGAGATTGGCATGTGAATTTGCGGATTCAGGACAGTAAATTGCCCTCCTCAATATTGCTGGGTATCATCTAATCCATTGAGGGCCCAAGGAGAACAAAATGTGGAAAAAAGAGGAATTCTCCCTCCATTTTTTCTGCCTCATTGCTGAGCTGGGACATCTCATCTGCTCCTGCGCTTGAACTGGGATTTCCATCATCAGCTCACCTGGTTCTCAGGCCTTGGTACTCAGACTGAGTGATTCCATTGGCTTTTCTGGGTCTCCAGCTTGCAGATGGCAGATATGGGACTTCTCAGCCTTCATGTATTAGTCAGTTTTCATGCTGCTGATGAAGACATACCTGAGACTGGGCAATTTACGAAAGAAAGAGATTTAATGGACTTACAGTTCCGCATGGCTGGGGAGGCCTCACAATCATGAGGGAAGGGAAAGGCATGTTTCACATGGCAGCAGACAAGAGAAGAGAGCTTGTGCAGGGAAACTACCCTTTTTAAAACCATCAGATTTTGTGAGACTTATTCACTATCACAAGAACAGCACAGGAAAACCTGCCCCCATGATTCAATTACTTCTCACAGGGTCCCTCTGACACATGGGAATTGAAGATGAGATTTGGGTAGGGATACAACCAAACCATATCATTCTGCTCCTGGCCCCTCCAAAATCTCATGTCCTCACATTTCAAAACCAATCATGCCTTCCCAACAGTCCCCCAAAGTCTTAACTCATTTCAGCATTAACTCAGAAGTCCATAGTCCAAAGTCTCACCTGAGATGAGGCAAATCTCTTCCCCCTATGAGCCAGTGAAATCAAAAGCAAGTTAGTTACTTCCTAGATACAATGGGGGTACAGACACTGGGTAAATACAGCTATTCCAAATGGGAGAAATTGGCCAAAACAAAGGGGCTACAGGCCCAATGCAAGTCTGAAATCCAGTGGAGCAGTCAAATCTTAAGGGTCCAAAATGATCTCCTTTGACTCCATGTCTCATATTCAGGTCATGCTGATGCAAGAGGTGGGCTCCCACAGCCTTGGGCAGCTCTGTCCCTGTGGCTTTGCAGGGTACAGCCTCCCTCCCGGCTGCTTTCATGGGCTGGTGTTGAGTGTCTGTGGCTTTTCTAGGTGCACGGTGCAAGCTCTCAGTGAATATACCATTCTGGGGTCTGGAGAATTGTGGCCCTCTTCTCACAGCTCCATTAGGCAGTGCCTCAGTAGGGAGTCTGTGTGGGGGCTCTGACCCCACATTTCCCTTCTACACTGCCCTAGCAGAAGTTCTCCATGAGAGCCCCACCCTTGCAGCAAAGTTCTGCCTGGGCATCCAGGCGTTTCCATACATCCTCTGAAATCTAGGTGGAGGTTCCCAAACCTCAATTCTTGACTTCTATGCACCCATAGGCTCAACACCACGTGGAAGCTGCCAAGACCTGGGGCTTCCATCCTCTGAAGCAACAGCCCAATCTGTACCTTGGCCCCTTTTAGTCACAGCTGAAGCGGCTGGGATGCAGGGCACCAAATCCCTAGACTGCACACAGCCAAGGAACCCTGGGCCCAGCCTATGAAATAATTTTTTCCTCCTAAACCTCCAGGCCTGTGATGGGAGGGGCTGCTGCAAAGGTCTCTGACATGCCCTGGAGACATTTTCCCCATTGTCTTGGTGATTAACATTCGGCTCCTTGTTACTTATGCAAATTTCTGCAGCCAGCTTGAATTTCTCCTCAGAAAATGAGATTTTCTTTTTTATTGCATTGTCAGGCTGCAAATTTTCCAAACGTTTATGCTCTGTTTCCCTTTTTAAAGTGAATACCTTTAACATTCACTCAAGACACGACTTGAGTGTTTTGCTGCTTAGAAATCTCTTCCACCAGATACCCTAAATCATCTCTCTCAAGTTCAAAGCTTCATAAATCTCTAGGAGGGGAGCAAAATGCCACCAGTCTCTTTGCTAAAACATAACAAGAGTCACCTTGACTTCGGCTCCCAACAAGTCCTCATCTCTGTCTGAGACCACCTCATCCTGGTTTTCATTTTCTGTATCATTATCAGCATTTTGGTCAAAGCCATTCAACAAGTCTCTAGGGAGTTCCAAACTTTCCCACATTTTCCTGTCTTCTTCTGAGCCCTCCACATGGTTCCAACCTCTGCCTGTTACCCAGTTTCAAAGTTGCTTCCACATTTCCCAGTATCTTTTCAGTAGTGCCCCACTCTACTGGTACCAATTTACTGTATTAATCTATTTTCATGCTGCTGATAAAGACATACTTGAGACTGGCAACTTACAAAAGAAAGAGGTTTAATGAACTTAAAGTTCCGCATGGCTGGGGATGCCTCACAAACATGGTGGAAGGTGAAAGGCACATCTCACATGGCAGCAGACAAGAGAAGAGAGCTTGTACAGGGAAACTCCCCTTTTTAAAACCATTAGATCTTGTTAGACTTACTCACTATCACAAGAACAGCACGGGAAAGACCTACCCCCCGATTCAATTACCTCCCACCAGGTCCCTTGTACAACACATGGGAATTCAAGATGAGATTTGGGTGAGGACACAGCCAAACCATATCACTCCATAACTGCATGAGCTAGTCCCTTATGAAACTTTTCTGTATATATGCATTCCCTTGGTTCTGCTTCTCTGGAGAACCGCAACTGATACAACAAGAGAGTCAGATTGAGACAAAGGCTGAGGCTGTGTCCTCACAAAGTTCCAGCTGACTAGACCCGACTGTCCATGATCCTTCCCTCCAGGACCTGGAAGTTTGCACAGTTGGCACACAGAGCTGGGCTTCTCACCTGGGCTCCCTGGGATGCTGCTCTGGGAAAGTTGCTTCCTCTGGCAGACCCCAGGTAAAATGAATAGAATGACTCTTATTTTGCAAAGTTGAGAATGGATTAAAATGGCGTGACTAAGCCTGGTACAGAGATGCTCCCATACCAATACATCATGCAGCTTCCTTCTTAGACTTTTTGCAGCACAAACCAGTGGAACATATCACCTGCCAGCAGGATGAGTGAAAGGTGTTGAAGAGGAAGGGACTTTCAGAGACAGAGTCAAAAGTATTGGTTTCTGGATTTTCTGATACATTGCAGAATGTGTCAGGGGCTTGTGATTCTGACAATTGCACAGTTTAGGTTAAACTTTTCAAGTTTCCTTTTTTGATGTTTAATTTTGTGATGCCTACTTTCAATTCTTTGGCCCATATGACTTTTTAAAAGTTATTTCTTCCAGGCATTCACTATATGTTATGGTTGAATTGTGTTCCCTGCAAAGGGACCTAATCCACAGTACCTGGGAATGGGACTTTATTTGTAAACAGGATCTTTGCAGATGATCGAGTTAAGATGAGGTTATTTGGATGTGCCCTATTCCAATAAGACTGCATCCTTCTAAAAAGAGGAAGAAGATGTGAAGAGACAGGCAGAATATGACCATATGCAGAACAAGGAGAGAGGGCAGGAATGAATCCTTTGCTGGCATCTTAAGAGGGACGGTGGCCCTGCCTCGATTTCAGACTTGTAGCCTCCAGAACTGTGAGACAATAAATTGTGGTCTTTTGTTATGGAAGCCCTAGCAAATGAATATACCCTATTATTTCTGACTGGCCATCTCTGTGTAGAATGGGAAGCTGGCTTCAGGGAAGGCCTACCCTGGGGTAGGGTGGGGAAGATGACCTGTTGTCTGGCTGGGATGTTGGAGCTGACTCCAGTTCCAGGTTTCATAGCTAACCTATCCTCTGCCTTATAGGGGCATGAATTTCAGTGTGTGTAGGATATGGTTCAGGAAGGAGGCAATTATGTCATGTATTTTTATAATATGTGTTTGTTACAGCTCAGTTTCACTCAAATACTTAAAGGCTGTGAAAACCGTTCCATTTTATTTCTTCTGATCCTTAGGGACACTCCCTTGCTGCTGCCTTCCATCTCTATTCTCTGTCTTCTGTCTCTTTTCCTCTCTGTCTCCAACACTGATCACCTATAGGGTGCAAAGATGCTTCCAGTTGCTTGCCTCCATCCTTGAGAAGTCCACAGTGTGTGAAGAATACAGATGCTTGAACATAAACATGGCTCAAGGTGGTCAGTGCTAGGAGGATGCTTCCTGTAAAGGAGATTTGGGTGCACAGAGACAGCATGGCCTAAATCTTCTAGGAACATTTAGGAAGCCTCCAAAACTTGAGTGAGATTTTGGAGTCTGCCAAGAGGGAGCTGTAATGGAGAACATTGAAAAAAGCACTAGAAAAACACTAGCATCATGGTTAAATACCTGGGACGTGGAAGAGGTTGATGCGGTTTGTACACCATCAGGGGATGCTAAAGTTTCCCAGGTTATCAAGTATTCCTTTAGAAGATAACTTTAAATGGTTTTATGAATCCATTTTGATTATCTCACAGTTTTAAACTGTCCTTTTTCATGGGCATTTAAGTATTCCTACTTATTTCTATTATAAATACCTTAGCTATGTAGGCATAATTACAGCTAAGTTTCCATGCATATTTGCATTTATGCTTTAAGTGTGATCCCAAAAAGTCAATAAAAATTATTTTATACCTTTTAGGTCATCTCACTTAAGAGGGAAGAGATGAACAAGGACACCTCCAGAGGAGAGATACCAAAACCAGGTCCGACCATCACACCTGCCAGGGGTTTGTGTCTAGGATAAGCCCATGCCCTCCATGTGCCAACAGGGGAGGCAGATGGACAGGAGGATTCCTCGTGCAGGCAGATAGCCTACCTGTCCAGCATTGGCGCTGAACACTGTTATCACTTCTGGAGTGAAGCAAAACCCTTCGGATTTTTAGCTGTGAGAGAGACTAGAAGTTTAAAGCAAGGCAAGAGCAAAGCACATTGTCTCACTGCCCTGCATTCTAAAGGAGACCCATCTAATCATAAGGGGGAAGAATGTCCTTGTTAGCCCAATCTCTGGCATGAGGTCTTCAGTCTCAGAAGCTGGACACAGGCCCCAGACTAAACCTACCCCCTGAAGTGGAGGCCATTCATATAGACACAGAGGCCACTGACAGTTGCTGTACTTGACTTGGGGGTTCTGTGTCAATGGCTAAAAATTAGTTAATTATTATCTACCCCCTGGATTGGAGGCCATTCATAGACACAGAGGCCACTGATAGTTGCTGTACTTGACTTGGGGGTTCTGTGTCAATGGCTAAAAATTAGTTAATTATTACCTACCCCCTGGAGTGGAGGCCATTCATATAGACACAGAGGCCACTGACAGTTGCTGTGCTTGACTTGGGGGTTCTGTGTCAATGGCTAAAAATTAGTTAATTATTACCTACCCCCTGGATTGGAGGCCATTCGTAGACACAGAGGCCACTGATAGTTGCTGTACTTGACTTGGGGGTTCTGTGTCAATGGCTAAAAATTAGTTAATTATTACCTACCCCCTGGAGTGGAGGCCATTCATATAGACACAGAGGCCACTGACAGTTGCTGTGCTTGACTTGGGGGTCCTGCGTCAATGGCTAAAAATCAGTTAATTATTTATTGAAACGGCACCATGGTTGCTCTCTCGCATCCAGTTATGACTCCACACCTGTACCATGCTCACTGGAGCTGCAAAGTGATATGGCTGCGAGAGAAATGTCGGCTGCTGTTTGTGTCATTCTCACAATGCCACAGTTGACATGCCCAGACTACTCCAAAGACTCGGAGTAGACACTTTGGGCACAGACACTATGTTCAACTTTTGCACAGCAGGCATTTATAGTCTGATAGTCAAAGAGAAAAACACTTGCATTTCAGATTATGCCCTGATTACTTGGCATAGGATGGATACTTATAGGATGGATACTTACATAGTTTCCTCTATAAAATAGCTTTCCATTTCATATTTGTCATAAGGATTAAAGTTAGGGAAAACATTTTGCCAAATTATCCTCACAAAATAGAAGGAAATCTACTTGCCACATGCTAATCTTCTTTTATATGTCAATGTATTGGTGCCCTCAGTGTTTTTTAGCATATTTCCTGGGTTGTGCGGCCATTACCATAATCAATTTTACCACATTTTTGTCATCCTATAAAGAAATCCTGTACCTCTTAGCAGTTCCTCTGCTTTTCACTCATTCTCCTCGACTCACTCACCCCCTACCCCTTAGCAACCACCAGTGTACTTTCTGTCTTCATAGATTTGCCTGTTCTGCACATTTCATGTAAATGGAATCATACAGAGTTCTTTGTGATGACTTCTTTTACTTGGCCTAGTGTTTTCAAGGTTTATCCACATTGTACCCTGTGTCAGAATTTCCTTCCTTCTCATTGTCAAGTAATATTCTATTGTATGAATATATCACATTTTGTGTATTCATCTTTGATGTTTGATGGACATTTGGTTATTTCTGCTTTTTGGCTATTATCTGATGCTATCAACATTTATGTACAAGTTTTCGGTGCACATATGTTTCATTTCTCTTGGATCTATACTTAGGAGTGGAATTACTGAGTCACATGACAACTCTATGTTCAGCCTTTTGAGGAACAGCCAGACTGTTTTCTAAAGTGGCTGCACCATTTGACATTCTCACCAGTAGTGTATAAGGTTTCTACTTTCTCCACTTACTTGCCAACATTTGCTGGTCATTTTGATTACAGCCATCCTAAAGGATATGAAGTGGTAGCTCATTTGGTTTTTATTTTTATTTCCCTGATAGCTAATAATGTTGAACACCTTTTTATATGCTTATTGGTTTTATATGCATATTTTCTTTGGAGAAATTCGATTCTGATTTTTTGCCCATTTTTATTTTTGTATTTTTGATTTTACTTTTTATCTTATTTTTTTGAGATGAGGTTTCAATCTGTCACCCAGGCTGGAGTGCAGTGGTGCCATCTTGGCTCCCTGCAACCTCTACCTCCTAGGCTCCAAGTGATCCTTTCACCTCAGCTTCCTGAGTACTAGGACTACACCATTCTCGGCTAATTTTTTATGTTTTGTAGAGATGGGCTTTTGCCACATTGCCTAGGCTGGTCTCAAACTCCTAACACCAAGTGACTCACCTGTTTTGGCCTCCCAAAGTGCTGGGATTACAGGTGTGAGCCACTGTGCCCAGCCTAGATTTTTTGCCCATTTTTAAATGAGATTATTTGTCTTATTTCTTTTTCTTTTCTTTTCTTTTCTTTTTTTTTGAGAGGGAGTCTCGCTCTGTTGCCCAGGCTGGAGTGCAGTGGCATGATCTTGGCTCACTGCAAGCTCCACCTCCCAGGTTCACGCCATTCTCCTGCCTCAGCCTCCCGAGTAGCTGCGACTATAGGCACCCGCCACCACGCCCGGCTAATTTTTTGTATTTTTAGTAGAGATGGGGTTTCATTGTGTTAGCCAGGATGGTCTCGATCTCCTGACCTCGTGATCCACCTGCCTCGGCCTCCCAAAGTGCTGGGATTACAGGCATGAGCCACCGCGCCTGGCCTATTTGTCTTATTTCTATCTTAATCTTCATTTTATTTTTGAATATTTTATGAGATGTTGATCTCTGAATAACATAGTAATCTCTTTGCTAGCATTCATGAGAATAGCTGAAACATTAGATACGCACTCTCACAGCAAAATCAATTTAAGTAGTTTAATTAATAGAAGGTACCCTTCAACACATATGTCATGCATTGAGTCAGCCTGTAGGGTGTGCTGCTGTTTTTTGACCTCCTCAACATTCACTCTGCTCACAGGTAACAATCTGAAGACTGTGTTGATAATAAATTATTACAGGATCATTGGGTAGCAATTAGACTATGTTGATCCAGGTTAAACATGCCTATAGTTTTTACAAAAACAGTTTCACTTTTAGAAAATTTTCCTTCAGCTATACACATATATGTATTTGTAAAGACATCATTACAAGAATGATAACCACATTGCGCCACCATGCCACAAAACACTGGAGAAAGCCTAGAACTGCATAGCTAGCCTAAAGTGTAATAATTTAAAGACCATCCAAAGACTATGAACCATTGAAAGGAATAGAAAGATATGTATGTGCTGATATGGAATGGTCTCCAAATAAGTTAAAAATAACACAAGGCACAGAACAGTGGATAATGTAAAAACATGCGTAAAAATAGGGATATATATATATATATAATATATGAATACATATATATGTATTCATGCATTAAACACATGTATGCATTAAATATTTCTGGAAGAATACACAAGTGACTGCTCATAGGTCATCTCTAGGGGAAGGAGATTGGTTGTTGACTGTATATCCATCTATGTTTTTGCATTTTATCATGTGCATATACTAACTGTTCAGTAAAATGTTTTAAAAGTGTGTTTAAATGGTCAGTACAGGTACTTCTCAAGCTTTGAAAGTGTTGTAGAATTCCAACAAATTAATCAGATTTGGTTCCCTTCATGGGTAGAGGCACTGGTATATGGGTCCTATTCTTTGAACCCACAGGAAGGAAGTTAACAGACAAGCAAACAACAACAACAAAACCCTGGCCTCAGGTGCCACTTCCTGATGGTGAACTTCTCATGGACCATTTTCCTACTTCATCAGGCAGGCTGTCACCCACAACCACGGATGAAATTTTTATGGAGAAAGAGAATGTAACAAATTTTCTCTCAGTCAATATCCTTTCCTCTTCTCACTGTTCTTTTCCCTGTGATGGCTAGAAATTCTAATGTCCTTGTTTCTTTCCACAGTTAGACACCCAAAGGCTCTTTCCTCCAGCTGTAGTTTACCCTGGAACTGCAGTCTCCCTGTAAGCATATATTGTCTGCCCTATGACTCTCTTGTGACAGCCCTAAATCCATAATAAACATATTGCTTTATTTTATACTGTGCAAGAAATTGGATTGTGAAACCAGATTGTATTTACTATTTGTTTAGTTTCAAATGGATACAGCTATTCTTTTTACAATTGTGTTTTATCTGTACATTCAAGATTCATTTAAAATGCCCTCACCTCCTTCAGGATGTGGATAGAATTAGCCACACAATTTTAAGATACTGTAGATATGGAAAAATAAGATCTAATTCTAATTTCCGTGGTTTGAAATTGAGAGGTGGATAGGCGGGAATCTGGTGTATAGTAACCGTATGTTCATTTGCTGCATAAATGCCTATGGTGTGCTGGTCATTGTGCTTAGACCTGGACAGGCACAGAAAATCATGCCCGTGGGCACTCCCTGAAGACTAGATTTGGTAAGCAGTAAGCAATCATTATAGTTGAGGGAGGAACAATGTGCTATGGCAGACGTGGGGCACAAAGGAGGGGGCAACTGATAGGATTTGAATGTTTTATGATGGAAAATTACAAACATACATAAAAGTAGAAGAAAGAGTATGCCAAGCCCCTCTTGTAGCTCTCACCTAATGAAGCAATAATCCACATGACCGATCTTGCCTAGTGTCTACCCCACCCCCACGCACTCACAGCATTATTGTGAAGCAAACCCCAGCCTGCAGATCATTTTATCCATTCTCAATAGTATCTCTAACCAATACAGGCTCCTCTTAAAGTGCAATAAGAAATGCTTTATTACACCTAGGCTAACTGACAATTACCTAAGTTAACAAATGTTCAGTCAGTGTTGAAATATTTCTCGATATCTCATCAATGTTCTTGTTGGCTTGTCAGGTCTATCCCTTGCAGCTGATGGGTATATTTCTTACATCTTTCTAATTTTGTCCTTCCTTTTTCTCCCCCTTGTTACTTATTCATTGAAAAAACCAGATTATTTGTCCTACAGCAGTCTTTCCTGAATACAGAATCTTGCTAATTTTATTTCCGTGGTGAAGTTTGATATGCTGCTGTCTCCTGTCTGTTTCCTGTAACCTGTTAGTTCTACCGAGAGGCCTGGTCAGGTTAGCATGCTCAGTTGGTAAGAATTCTTGGGAATAGGTGTCATTATGCTCTCCCTTTTGTACCACACAGGGAGGAATGGAATTGTTTGCTAATGTTAAATTGGATCAGTGGTACAGATGAGGTCAATCTGATCTGCTCATTATAAAATTCCCCATCAGCTGTTTGCCTAAAAGATTTAACAGCCGCTAGCAACTATTGTCCTATCTACATCAGTAGGAATTGCAAGGCAGTTATATTTAAAATTATATTCTTCTTTTTGTACATCTTGGTTTGAATTTTTCAATTGAGGTACAGTTCTTAAGAAAGCAAGATTAAAGTGTGATTACTGTTATTTTTCAACCAGTTTTCGAGATCATGAGCTTGTGTTTCTTTACTTTCTCCAGCTCTGTGGGGTAACAGTGGAGTGTGCAAGTATGTGTGTTTGATAATGAATGCATGGGTTTTTGTATATTTGCTCTATTTTTGCAGTTATTACTTATCAGATTCTCAAATTGTCCCATCCTTGGCCAGTTGACTTCTTCTGCCATAGCCCCAGTAGCTGTGATAGTGCTCCTGCTACCTAGAGGGAAAACGCATTCAGACCCAGCCTTGGTTATTCCTCCCAGGGGGCCTGGCTGCTGTTAGCGGGCAAAGACATTTTGAGACCTGGTCTGGACATGGTGCAAACAACTGCTTCTGTGTGAGTTGGAGAAGTCTCCTGACAAATACACGTAAATACAAACAAAGCAGTAAGAAACAGGAGTGTGAATAGGAGAAGAGTAAAACAAAGTCAAAAGGGATAGGCAAACATCTGGGAAAAGAACTAGATTGGGATTTAGGAGACCTGTATTCTAGGTCTTCCTTCCCAGTGCTGAACCTCGGCTTCCCCACCAGGGAAATGTTGTGTGAGCCAGTGGGGAATGGACGCCTTGTATTCAAAACTTTCTGACCTTTGCCTCTAGCATTTTGAAAATAAACTTTATGTTTTAGAACAGTTTTACAGAAAAGATGTGAAGATAGTACAGAGAGCTCACATGTATCCCACACTTGGTCTTCTTCGTTATGGACACCTTAGTATGGCCCATCTCTTACAATTAATAAACCAATATTGTTGCATTATTAACTAGAGCCCATACTTTATTCAGATTTCCATAGTTGTTCTATTCCAGGGTATTATCCAGAATACCACATTACATTTAGTTATCTTGTTTCCATAGGCTGTGACAGTTCTTAGACGTTTTTGTTTTTGATAACTTTTTATTTATTTATGAACTTTTATTTCCTTTTCTCATCTAATTTGTGTAAACTAGGACTTAGTAAGTAAGATGTTAAATAGAAGTGGGAACAGTGGACACCCTTGCCTTGCTCCTGATTCCAGGGGGAAATTGTCTACTTTCCCACTGTTACATATAATACTAGCTTTAGGGTGTTTTTTGTAAAAATATTTTTAAATCAAGTTGAGAAAGTTCCCTTCTATTCCTTGATGAGAGTTTTTATCATGACTGGGAGTTGATTTTGTCCAGTGCTTTTTCTGTATCAATTGATAGGATCATATCATTTTTTATCTATGACCTGATAATGTGGTGGATCACGCTGACTGATTTTCAAATGTTAAGTAGCATTCCACACCTAAAAAAAAAAATCGCACTTGGTTGTGGGATGTAATTGTTTTTGTACATTATTGGATTCAATTCACTAATATTTTGAAGGTAATAGTTTAAAATATATTTGCATCTATGTACATGAAACATATGGGTCTATAGATTCCCTTCCTTAAGATGTCTTAACCTGGTTTTGGCATTAGGGTAATGCTAGCATCAGGTAATAAGTCAGGAAGTAATTTTTCTACTTCCACTTTCTAGGTGTGATTGTAGAGAATTGGTAGGATTATTTTCTCTAAATGTTTGATAATACTTACTCCTGAAATTATCTGGACCTGCTTTGCTTTGCTTTCTTTTGGAAGGTTATTAATTATTAAGTCAATTTCTTAAATAGATATGAGCCTATTTAAATGAATATTGTAAAATTTTGGTAGTTTGTATCTTTCAAGGAATTGGCCCATTTCATCTATGTTATCAAGTAACAAATAGGGTTATTTATAATATTCCTTTATTATTCTTTTAATACTCATGAGATCAATAATGATGACCTCTCATGGATTTCTGATACTGATAATTTGTGTTCTCCCTCTTCCTCTCTTTTGGTTAGGCTGGCTGGGATTTTATAAATTTTAATGATCTTTTCAAAGAACCAGCTTTGGGTTTCATTTATTTTCTCAATTGTTTTTCTGTTTTTAATTTGAATTACATCTGCTCTAAATGTTATTGTTTTCTTCTACTTGCTTTAGACTTACATTGTTCTTTCTTTAGTTTCTTAATGTGAAAGTTACTTATTATAGGGTTTTCTTATTTTATTTTTTCTTTTTTTTTTTGAGATGGAGTCTCACTCTTGTTGCCCAGGCTGGAGTGCAATGGCGCTATCTCGGCTCACAGCAACCTCCGCCTCCGGGGTTCAAGCGATTCTCCTGCCTCAGCTTCCCGAGTAGCTGGGATTACAGGCATGTGCCACCATGCCTGGCAAATTTGTATTTTTAGTAGAGACGGGGTTTCTCCATGTTGGTCAGGCTGGTCTCGAACTCACGATCTCAGGTGATCTGCCCACCTCGGCCTCCCACAGTGCTGGGATTACAGGCGTGAGCCACCGCACCTGGCTGGATTTTCTTATTTTCTTTTTTTTCCTTTTCTTTTTTATTTATTTATTTTTTATTATACTTTAAGTTCTAGGGTACATGTGCACAATGTGCAGGTTTGTTAGATATGTATACATGTGCCATGTGGGTGTGCTGTACCCATTAACTCGTCATTTACATTAGGTATATCTCCTAATGCTTTCCCTCCCCCCTCCCCCAACCCCACAACAGGCCCCAGTGTATGATGTTCCTCTTCCTGTGTCCAAGTGTTCTCATTGTCAATTCCCACCTGTGAGTGAGAACATGCGGTGTTTGGTTTTTTGTTCTTGCGATAGTTTGCTGAGAATGATGGTTTCCAGCTTCATCCATGTCCCTACAAAGGACATGAACTCATTTTTTTTTTATGGCTGCATGGTATTCCATGATGTGTATGTGCCACATTTTCTTAATCCAGTCTATCATTGATGGACATTTGGGTTGGTTCCAAGTCTTTGCTGTTGTGAATAGTGCCGCTATAAACATACGTGTGCATGTGCCTTTATAGCAGCGTGATTTATAATCCTTTGGGTATACACCCAATAATGGGATGGCTGGGTCAAATGGTATTTCTAGTTCTAGATCCTTGAGGAATCGCCACACTGTCTTCCACAATGGTTGAACTAGTTTACAGTCCCACCAACAGTGTAAAAGTGTTCCTATTTCTCCACATCTTAGAATGATCGACATTCTAACTGGTATGAGATTGTATCTCACTGTGGTTTTGATTTGCATTTCTCTGATGGCCAGTGATGATGAGCGTTTTTTCATGTGTCTGTTGGCTGCATAAATGTCTTCTTTTGAGAAGTGTCTGTTCATATCCTTTGCCCACTTTTTGATGGGGTTGTTTGTTTTATTCTTGTTAATTTGTTTGAGTTCATTGTAGATTCTGGATATTAGCCCTTTGTCAGATGAGTAGATTGCAAAAATTTTCTCCCATTCTGTAGGTTGCCTGTTCACTCTGATGGTAGTTTCTTTTGCTGTGCTGAAGCTCTTTAGTTTAATTAGATCCCTTTTGTCAATTTTGGTTTTTGTTGCCATTGCTTTTGGTGTTTTAGACATGAAGCCCTTGCCCATGCCTATGTCCTGAATGGTATTGGCTAGGTTTTCTTCTAGGGTTTTTATCGTTTCAGGTCTAACATTGAAGTCTTTAATCCATCTTGAATTAATTTTTGTATAAGGTGTAAGGAAGGGATCCAGTTTCAGCTTTCTACATATGGCTAGCCAGTTTCCCCAGCACCATTTATTAGATAGAGAATCCTTTCCCCATTTCTTGGTTTTGTCAGGTTTGTCAAAGATCAGATGGTTGTAGATGTGTGGTATTATTTCTGAGGGCTCTGTTCTGTTCCACTGGTCTATATCTCTGTTTTGGTACCAGTACAGTGCTGTTTTGGTTACTGTAGCCTTGTAGTATAGTTTGAAGTCAGGTAGCTTAATGCCTCCAGCTTTGTTCTTTTGGCTTAGGATTGTCTTGGCAATGCGGGCTCTTTTTTGATTCCATATGAACTTTAAGGTAGTTTTTTCCAATTCTGTGAAGAAAGTCATTGGTAGCTTGATGGAGGTGGCATTGAATCTATAAATTACCCTGGGCAGTATGGCCATTTTCACGATATTGATTCTTCCTATCCATGAGCATGGAATGTTCTTCCATTTGTTTGTATCCTCTTTTATTTCGTTGAGCAGTGGTTTGCAGTTCTCCTTGAAGAGGTCCTTCACATCCCTTGTAAGCTGGATTCCTAGGTATTTTATTCTCTTTGAAGCAATTGTGAATGGGAGTTCACTCATGATTTGGCTCTCTGTTTGTCTGTTATTGGTGTACAAGAATGCTTGTGACTTTTGCACATTGATTTTGTATCCTGAGACTTTGCTGAAGTTGCTTATCAGCTTAAGGAGATTTTGGGCTGAGACGATGGGGTTTTCTAAATATACAATCATGTCATCTGCAAACAGGGACAATTTGACTTCCTCTTTTCCTAACTGAGTACCCTTTATTTCTTTCTCCTGCCTGATTGCCCTGGCCAGAACTTCCAACACTATGTTGAATAAGAGTGGTGAGAGAGAGCATCCCTGTCTTGTGCCAGTTTTCAAAGGGAATGCTTCCAGCTTTTGCCCATTCAGTATGATATTGGCTGTGGGTTTGTCATAAATAGCTCTTATTATTTTGAGATACGTCCCATCAATACCTAATTTATTGAGAGTTTTTAGCATGAAGGGTTGTTGAATTTTGTCAAAGGCCTTTTCTGCATCTGTTGAGATAATCATGTGGTTTTTGTCTTTGATTCTGTTTATATGCTGGATTACGTTTATTGACTTGCATATGTTGAACCAGCCTTGCATCCCAGGGATGAAGCCCACTTGATCATGGTGGGTAAGCTTTTTGATGTTTTGCTGGATTTGGTTTGCCAGTATTTTATTAAGGATTTTTGCATCGATGTTCATCAGGGATATTGGTCTAAAATTCTCTTTTTTTTGTTGTGTCTCTGCTGGGCTTTGGTATCAGGATGATGCTGGCCTCATAAAATGAGTTAGGGAGTATTCCCTCTTTTTCTATTGATTGGAATAATTTCAGAAGGAATGGTACCCATTCCTCCTTGTACCTCTGGTAGAATTCAGCTGTGAATCAGTCTGGTCCTGGACTTTTTTTGGTTGGTAGGCTATTAATTATTGCCTCAATTTCAGAAGCTGTTATTGATCTATTCAGGGATTCAATTTCTTCCTGGTTTAGTCTTGGGAGGGTGTATGTGTCGAGGAATTTATCCATTTCTTCTAGATTTTCTAGTTTATTTGCGTAGAGGTGTTTATAGTATTCTCTGATCATAGTTTGTATTTCTGTGGGATTGGTGGTGATATCCCCTTTATCATTTTTTATTGCGTCTATTTGATTCTTCTCTCTTTTCCTCTTTATTAGTCTTGCTAGTGGTCTATCAACTTTGTTGATCTCTTCAAAAAACCAGCTCCTGGATTCATTGATTTTTTGAAGGGTTTTTTGTGTCTCTATCTCCTTCAGTTCTTCTCTGATCTTAGTTATTTCTTGCCTTCTGCTAGCTTTTGAATGTGTTTGCTCTTGCTTCTCCAGTTCTTTTAATGGTGATGTTAGGGTGTCAATTTTAGATGTTTCTTGCTTTCTTTTGTGGGCATTTAGTGCCATAAATTTCCCTCTACACACTGCTTTAAATGGGTCCCAGAGATTCTGGTATGTTGTTTCTTTGTTCTCATTGGTTTCAAAGAACATCTTTATTTCTGCCTTCATTTCATTACGTACCCAGTAGTCATTCAGCAGCAGGTTGTCCAGTTTCCATGTAGTTGAGTGGTTTTGAGTGAGTTTCTTAATCCTGAGTTCTAGTTTCATTGCACTGTGGTCTGAGAGACAGTTTGTTATAATTTCTGTTCTTTTACATTTGCTGAGGAGTGCTTTACTTCCAACTGTGTGGTCAATTTTGGAATAAGTGCAATGTGATGCTGAGAAGAATGCATATTCTGTTGATTTGGGGTGGAGAGTTCTGTAGATGTCTATTAGGTCCATTTGGTGCAGAGCTGAGTTCAATTCCTGGATATCCTTGTTAACTTTCTGTCTCGCTGATCTGTCTAATGTTGACAGTGGGATGTTAAAATCTCCCATTATTATTGTGTGGGAGTCTAAGTCTCTTTGTAGATCTTTAAGGACTTGCTTTTTGAATCTGGGTGTTCCTGTATTGGGTGCATATATATTTAGGATAGTTAGCTCTTCTTGTTGAATTGATCCCTTTACCATTATGTAATGGCCTTCTTTGTCTCTTTGGATCTTTGTTGGTTTAAAGTCTGTTTTATCGGAGACTAGGATTGCAACCCCTGCCTTTTTTTTTTTTTTCCATTTGCTTCGTAGATTTTCCTCCATCCCTTTATTTTGAGCCTATGTGTGTCTCTGCACGTGAGATGGGTTTCCTGAATACAGCACACTGATGGGTCTTGACTCTTTATCCAATTTGCCAGTCTGTGTCTTTTAATTGGAGCATTTAGTCCATTTACATTTAAAGTTAATATTGTTATGTGTGAATTTGATCCTGTCATTATGATGTTAGCTGGTTATTTTGCTCGTTAGTTGATGCAGTTTCTTCCTAGCATCGATGGTCTTTACAATTTGGCATGTTTTTGCAGTGGCTGGTACCAGTTTTTCCTTTCCATGTTTAGTGCTTCCTTCAGGAACTCTTGTAGGGCAGGCCTGGTGGTGACAAAATCTCTCAGCATTTGCTTGTCTGTAAAGGATTTTATTTCTCCTTCACTTATGAAGCTTAGTTTGGCTGGATATGAAATTCTGGGTTGAAAATTCTTTTCTTTAAGAATGTTGAATACTGGCCCCCACTCTCTTCTGGCTTGTAGAGTTTCTGCTGAGAGATCCGCTGTTAGACTGATGGGTTTCCCTTTGTGGGTAACCTGACCTTTCTCTCTGGCTGCACTTAACATTTTTTCCTTCATTTCAACTTTGGTGAATCTGACAATTATGTGTCTTGGAGTTGCTCTTCTTGAGGAGTATCTTTGTGGCGTTCTCTGTATTTCCTGAATTTGAATGTTGGCCTGCCTTGCTAGATTGGGGAAGTTCTCCTGGGTAATATCCTGAAGAGTGTTTTCCAACTTGGTTCCATTCTCCCCGTCACTTTCAGGTACACCAATCAGACGTAGATTTGGTCTTTTCACATAGTCCCATATTTCTTGGAGGCTTTGTTCATTTCTTTTTATTCTTTATTCTCTAAACTTCTCTTCTTGCTTCATTTCATTCATTTGATCTTCATTCACTGATCCCCTTTCTTCCAGTTGATCGAATTGGCTACTGAAGCTTGTGCATTCATCACATAGTTCTCATGCCATAGTTTTCAGCTCCATCAGGTCATTTAAGGACTTCTCTACACTGGTTATTCTAGTTAGCCATTCGTCTAATCTTTTTTCAAGGTGTTAAGCTTCTTTGTGTTGGATTCGAACTTCCTCCTTTAGCTCGGAGAAGTTTGATCATCTGAAGCCTGCTTCTCTCAACTCATCAAAGTCATTCTCCATCCAGCTTTGTTCTGTTGCTGGCAAGGAGCTGTGTTCCTTTGGAGTGGGAGAGGTGCTCTGATTTTCAGAATTTTCACCTTTTCTGCTCTGTTTTTTCCCCATCTTTGTGGTTTTATCTACCTTTGGTCTTTGATGATGGTGACATACAGATGGGGTTGTGGTGTGGATGTCCTTTCTGTTTGTTAGTTTTCCTTCTAACAGTCAGGACCCTCAGCTGCAGGTGTGTTGGAGTTTGCTGGAGGTCCACTCCAAACCCTGTTTGCCTGGGTATCAGCAGCAGAACAGTGAATATTGCTGAACAGCAAATGTTACTGCCTGATTGTTCCTCTGGAAGCTTCATCTCAGAGGGGAACCCTGCTGTGTGAGGTGTCAGTCTGCCCCTACTGGGGGGTGCCTCCCAGTTAGGCTACTCAGGGGTCAGGGACCAACTTGAAGAGGCAGTCTGTCTGTTCTCAGATCTCAAACTCCATGCTGGGAGAACACTACTCTCTTCAAAGCTGTCAGACGGGGACATTTAAGTCTGCAGAGGTTTCTGCTGCCTTTTGTTTGGCTGTGCCCTGCCTCCAGAGGTGGAATCTACAGAGGAAGCAGGCCTCCTTGAGCTGTGGTGGGCTCTACCCACTTCGAGCTTCCTGGCCACTTTGTTTACCTACTCAAGCCTCAGCAATGGTGGGTGCCCCTCCCCCAGCCTCGCTGCCGCCTTGCAGTTTGATTTCAGACTGCTGTGCTAGCAATGAGCGAGGCTCCGTGAGCGTGGGACCCTCCGAGCCAGGTGTGGGATATAATCTCCTGGTGTGCCATTTGCTAAGACTGTTGGAAAAGCGCAGTATTAGGGTGGGAGTGACCCGATTTTCTAGGTGCCATCTGTCACCCCTTCCCTTGGCTAGGAAAGGGAATTCCCTGACCCCTTGGGCTTCCTGGGTGAGGCAATGCCTCGCCCTGCTTTGGCTTACACTTGGTGGGCTGCACCCACTGTCCTGCCCTCACTGTCCAATGAGCCCCAGTGAGATGAACCCAGTACCTCAGGTGGAAATGCAGAAATCACCCGTCTTCTGCGTCGCTCACTCTGGGAGCTGTAGATGGACCTGTTCCTCCTGGAGCCATCTTGGAACCACCTCCCGGTTTTCTTATTTTCTAACATACAAATTTAGTGCCATAAATTTCCCTCTAAGCATTACTTTGCTGTTTCCCAAACATTTTGATAAATTATATTTTCATTTGCAACTAGTTCAAAATATTTTTAATTTCCCTTGAGTTCTTTTGACCCTTGTGTTATTTAAAAGTATGCTGTTTTATATCCAAATATGTGAGTGTTTTGCAGCTATCTTTCTAGCTTAATTCATTGTTGCCTGGAAATATCCTTTGTATGATTTCTGTTCTTTTCAATTACCTAAATTGTGTTTTATGATCCATTATGTGGTTAATCATGGTAAATGTTCCATAACTTAAAAATAATGTGTTTTCTGTTGTTGGATGGAGTAGTCTAGAATGTCAGTTAGATCAAGATGATGGATAGTTCTTTGCCAGTAAATTGTGTCTTTACCAGCATTCTGCCTGCCTGACCTACTAATTACTGAATGAGGGGTGTTAAAGTCCACAACTGTATAGGTAGAGTTGTCCATTTCTCCTTTCATTTCCATCAGTTGTAATTTATGGATTTTGATGCCTTGTTTTTCAGTGGATAGATGTTTAGGATTTTTATGTCTTCTTGGAGAACTGACCTCTTTATCATCATGTAACACCGTTCTTTACCCATGAAAAATTTCTTGTCTGAAGTCTGATTTGTCTGAAACTAATATAGCCACTTGAAATTCATTTTGCTTAGAGTAAGCATGGTTTATTTTTCCTCTTGCCTTTTGCTTTTCACATTTCTGATTATATTTAATGTGTGGGGTTTTTTTTGTAAGCAATACAGAGTTAGGTTTGTTTTCAATCCACTCTGACAATCTCAGTCTTTTAATTGGTGTATTAAAATCATTCTCAATCAAGTGATTATTGGTACAGTATAGTTGGATTAATATCTGCCATGTTTGTTACTGTTTTCTATTTATTGTGGTTTTTAAAACCTCTCCTCTTTTTCTGCTTTCTCTGGTTTTAATTGCACATTTTCTATGACTCTATTTTATCTCCTCTACCAGCATATCAAGTACACTGAAATTTTTTGTTGTTGTTGCCCAAAAGTGTATAATACACATTTTTAACTAACCTAAGTCCCCCTTCAAATAACACCATACTGATTCAGGCACAGGTGTCTTGTAACAGAATTCTTCCAATTCCTCCCTCCTGTTCCTTATAACATTGTTGTCACACATTTCATTTTTTCCATATACTATAAGAATCCAGTACATTGTTACTATGATTAAACAAATAGTTATTATTTATTTATTTATTTATTTTATTTTACTTTGAGTTCTGGGATACATGTGCAGAATGTGCAGGTTTGTTATATAGGTATATGTGTGCCATGGTGGTTTGCTGCACCTATCAACCTGTCATCTAGGTTTTTAGCCCCGCATGCATTAGGTATTTGTTCTAATGCTCTGCCTCCCCTTGCCCCCCACCCCCAAACAGGCCCCGGTGTGTGATGTTCCCCTCCCTGTGGCCATGTGTTCTCATTGTTCCACTCCCACTTATGAATGAGAACATGCGGTAACAAACAGTTATTTTTCAGATCAATTAAGAATGAGAAAAATGAAGTATTTTGTTTTACCCTCACTTATTCCTTCTATGATGAACTTTCTTTCTTAGGCAGATTCTAGTTTCTGGCCTGTACCATTATCTCACTGCCTAAAGAACCTCTTTGAACACTTCTTGCAGGGCAGGTCTGCTTGCCGTGAATTATCTCAGTTCTGGTTTGTCTGAGAAAGTCTTAATTTATCTGTCCTTTTTGAAGGATAATTTCGCCAACCTAAAATCCTATAGGTTGGTATTTTTTTTCTTTTCAACATTTTATTTTATTTTATTTTGAGATGGAGTTTCACTCTTGTCACCCAGGCTAGAGTGCAATGGTGCGATCTCAGCTCACTGCAACCTCCACCTCCCGGGTTCAAGTGATTCTCCTGCCTTAGCCTCCCAAGTAGCTGGGACTACAAGCATGTGCCACCACACCAGGCTAATTTTTGTATTTTTAGTAGAGACAGGGTTTCACCACATTGGCCAGGCTGGTCTTGAACTCCTGACCTCAGGAGATCTTCATGCCTTGGCCTGCCAAAGTGCTGGGATTACAGGCGTGAGCCACTGTGCCCAGCCCTTTTCAACATTTTAAATATTTCACTTTGTCTTTTTTCTTTCATAGCTTCTAAAAAGTCTTCTGAAATTCTTACTTGTATTCCTCTATAAGTAAAACGTTCTGTGCCACCCCGAATTTTATTTCAAGATTTTCCTCTTTGTCTTTGATTTTCTAAAGTTTGAATATGGGATGATATTTACCTTGCTCATTGTTCTCTGAGTTTCCTAGATCAGTGGTTTGGTCCCTGTCATTAATTTTGGAAATTCTCAGCTATTGTTACTTTAAATTTTCTTCTGATCCATTTTCTTTTATCTTTCCTTCTGGTATTTCAATTATGCATATCTTATATCTGTAGAAATTGTCCTACAATTCTTGAATATTCTGGTTTTTTTTTTTTACTTTTTTTCTCTTTGCATTTCAGCTTAGGAAGTTTCTATTTGGCTGTCTTTAAAATCACTGATTCTTTTCTTTTAATTAAATAAGAAAAGGTTTATTGACAGACACTATCTGACATATAGTAACTGCTCAATGACTAGCTGCTAAATACTTTAATCATATTTTTAATCGCTATATATAGTATTCTGCCATATTAACTTACAACATTTACGTATCCATTACCAACACAAAAAATATTTTTCTTTTAAAAAATTTCTGCGATAAAAATAGTGATTTAATGAACAGCTTTGAGCCTCTTGGGCAAACAAAGGAGTTTTTCTAGGGCATATACATAGAAGTAGATTTGTTGAGTTATGTGCATACAGATTTCAATTAGACTAGACACTATTAAGTTCATTCCAGCATGGGATGCCAATTTCCACCCCAGCCTGTAGGATATCAAGACAGGTCTTGATTTTCTGCAGCCTCAACATTTTAAAAAATTGTGATTAGAAAAAAAACTACCACATAATGTAAAATTTCCACCTAGACCATTTTTAAGGGTACAAGTCGGTGTTGTTAATGATATTTACATTGTGCAACAAATATCCAGAACTTTTTCATCATTCCAAACTGAAATGCTGTACCCACTAAACAACAACATGCCTTTCCCCCTTTCCTCCAGTCCCTGGTGGCCACCGTTCTACTTTGTGCTTTTATTAATCTGAGTACTTTAGATACCTCATATAAATGAGATCATACACTAGTCCTCTTTTGGTGGCTAGAAGCATTTCTTTCTAGTTCTTTCTTCAAGTTTTCATCTCTGCTTCCATTAGTTATCTGTTACATATTGCCTCCTTTTTCTATGAGAGTTCTTAACATATTAATTATAGTTATTTTAAATATGCTGTCTGATAGTTTTTAAATCCGTATGATGACTAATATAAAGTATCAACTTCACTGGATTGAAGGATGCAAAGTATTGTTCCTGGGTGTGTCTATGAGGGTGTTGCCAAAGGAGATTAACATTTGAGTCAGTGGACTGGGAGAGGCAGACCCACCCTCAATCTGGGTGGGCGCCGTCTAATCAGATACCAGCGTGGCTAAAGCAGGCAGAAGAAGGTGGAAGGAGTGAACTTGCTGAGTCTTCCAGCCTTCATCTCTTTCCTGTGCTGGATGCTTCCTGCCTCCAAACATCTGACTCCAAGTTCCTCGGCTTTTGGACTCTTGGACTTACACTGTGGTTTGCCAGGGGCTCCTGGGCCTTCACCCACAGACTGAAGGCTGCACTGTCGGTTTCCTTGCTTTTGAGGTTTTGGGACTTGCACTGTCTTCCTTGCTCCTCAGCTTGCAGATGGCCTATTGCAGTACTTCACCTTGTGATCATGTGAGTCAATACTCCTTAATTAACTCCCCTTCATATATACATCTATTCTATTAGTTTTGTTCCTCTAGAGAACCCTGACGAATACACTCTGTATTACTTAAGCCTAGTTCTAATGTTTGCTTTGTCTCATAAGAAGTGTTTTTTCATGCCTTTATCATGCTTTGTCATTTTTGTTGTTGTTAGAAGGTAAATCAGAAGTGAGGTCAACAAGATGAATCCCACTGTTATGTTGCTAGAGCCCTTCTGGTGTGGGGTTAAGATATGCCCCTGGCATTTTAAATTTGGTAAAACCCTAGAAACTGAAGATAAAAAAGAGAAGACCAGCTCTGCATTGGTGAAGTCGAATGGAAAAATGAAGAAGCACCAGACAAGTGTCTGTATGGGGGATTGGGAGCCAAAATCTGCCCAGCACCTCCGGTCCTAATGCTGTGCTCTGCCCTTTGATTTTTCTAAAGCTCATGCTCATGAACTCAAATAGTAAAATAATTGTGAATTGAGAGAACTGCTTCTCCGATATCCTGATATTTTTTTAAAAGTGTCTGTTTATGTTGTAGATATGAATTTACATATATATAAATTTAGGTGTGCAAGAAATGTAACTTTATTTTTTGGTACCTGATCACAATTTCTATGTTGAGTTCCTTAATTTCTGAAACCTAATGCTTGATAACTCTGGATGACCTCACTCTCTCCTTTATTTCTCAGAGGATGCCCGAGGTTTAATGGCTTGTGATTTTTGCAGTGCTTCTCTGGGCTGGTAGCCACTGAGCCATCCTTAATTCTGCCTGTTATTTAGTTGTTGGCATGCATTTTCACAACTATGTTCTTCAGTGATCTCATCCTCAGTTTTAATTATCTCTGCATCTGACTAATCTTCTTTATAGTTTCATGCTATTTGGGGGAGATGGGAAACTGATGTTTTTGCAGCAATCTGGGCTATAGGGAATTGTTGGATGGAGGTTGTCCCAGACGGTTCTAGCCTGCTGCTCCCTTGCCGGGCTTGAGGCTGCACTGCTTCCTGGGGCTTCAACAAGAGGGACATGTGAAGGTCTACTATGCCCTCAGGTTCCCCAGGCCTGTCTAGAATGTTCTCTTCTCACACTAGACCTGCCTTGGAGTGGACCTGGAGCTCAGACCTCAAGTCAGAGATGCTGCTGAATAATCAAGCTTCCTGTCCTTCCGCAATTCTCTGTTCCTCCCATGATTTGGGGGATTTTTTTTTTTTCTATTCTGAAGGATGGGGAAAGTTATCACATACTTGTTGACTTTTGAGATTTAAAAACCAAGAACTGGCTCTTTTATGTTCAGTGTTCTACCATCAAAATCTTTTCTTGGCAATCACCTTCACTTGAATGTCAAAAGGGGGTAATAAGGAAATATCAGGAAGGAAATGTGCTTTGGTTAATATGAAAAACATTTTTCCTCCAGATTTTTCAAGTGGATTGCTACAGCTCTAAAATAGTGGCTGCTGTTTCGACCTATGGATAATTAGAACATTAAAATGCACAGTGTGACATACAATCATGAGAACGAAGGACACAGAAGATTCAAATAAGCCATGCATGAAGAATGTGACTTAGATTGAAATGATGTTTTTGAATTTTTTTTAATGGGTCACTATTTTTATTCCTGAGATGGGGTGAGTGTGTGTGGAAAGTTGTTGTAAGTGGAGGGCAACAGAAATTCTGAGAAACGGTGAAACAGCCATAAAAATGAAGGGGAAAGTTTAGACCAAGGGAAAATCACTTGCTCTGAATTGTAAGTAATGTGGACTAGCAACTATCAGGAAAATGGTTAAAATAATAGTGGATTCCATTTCTGTGTACCTGCAGAGGCTCAGGTGCTCGAGCTGGCTTTTCATATAATGATTACAAAAATAACACGTGCTACCACTTTCCTGTGTGCCAGCCATTGGCTGAATGCTTCACATGGGTTAATTAATTTATTTTCACAGCCTGAGAGAGGTTAAATAAGTAACCAAACAGCACAGGTAGCTGGTGCAGCTGGCTTTAGCCCCAGGTCTGCCTGGCTCCAAGGCCTGCAGTAGTGGCCTGTGAGCTGCATTCCTGGCTGTTGTCATGGTGATGCAGATGAGCTACCTTGTATGCGGGACCCGTGCACAGGAACAGAGCTACCTCCCATGTGGCGCGTGTTTACCTGTATGTGTGGTTTTAACATATCTGCAAAGAGCATATCTGGGTTTTCAAGCAGGAGAGACTGTAAAACTATGTTTAAACAGTATGGGGCTGAGTAAAGCATCCTGTGATATATGTTCTCCAGAGGAGAGCAAATTGGTTGGCTGTTATTTTTATACTTTGACCTTGTGAGTTTTATTTTTAATTAATAATTTGACAAAATCTGAATAAGGATTTCCAAATTTTTAAGGGGAAAATTCTTTCCATTCCTGTTGTAGATTTCACTGACCATTAGTCTTTTAACTGCCCTATTTCATCCTGTTTACAATGAGCTGTTACGTAACAGATCAAAATGGCAGCGTTCCAAGAACTTAACTGCTACTCAAATGTCAGTTGGGGTACGTAGTGTTTGAAATATTTTTCACTTGCTGTTAATAGCTGTTATGTGGTTCCTGTGTCCAAATACTAAGTGCATTTGCTCATAGATGTTCGCATATAAAGAATGAGATCTGGGGATGCTGAAGTCGATGTCATACTATCATTAACAAATTTATGTTTTCATAACTTTGCTACTAAGCTTAAAGATGTGTTCCCTTCTTTTTATTCTCAGAACATTATGAAGCTTTTTAAAAATGGGAAACACATCATAGCATGTGAGGCAAAATTATACCCAGAATCTAATAAAATTAAAAAAGAGAGAGTTTAGTAAAGTGGGAAAAATAATGGTTTAACATCGGGGTTCCTGGATTCAAGATCTGTCAATGCCCAGCCATGCGATCTTCATTTTGGACATTTTAATTCTCTCTCCAGTTAAAAAATGAAGTTCAACTAGACAACCTATAATCAAGCTCCTAGTTTTAAGACTTAAAATTGTCTATAAAGAAATACACTGGGAGAAAGTAGAAAACACTTGACTCCTGGGTTTGAAAACCAGGCCTCTTATCTCTGAGCTGGGTAGCTTTGGGTGAGGTATATACTTGACTGTCCTCAAAGTTCATTAATAAAGTGGCAGAGTAGAGTGGGCAGGGGTTGAGCACCCTTTAGATGCTAAAATTGTAAAAGTATATAACTCTTCTATGGATATTCCATTTCTTTTTCTCAGATATGGAATTTCTTATTATGGAATTTTTTGAGATATGGAATTTAATTATAATATTATTGTTCATTATTATTATTATTATTTATTGTTTATTATTATTTAATATTAAATATGTGTTTATATTTCTATAAACTCCTGTTCATTTTAAACTCTAGATCAACCACGTGAGTCTCTTACACAGGAATGACACTATTCCTTTTAGTAGTTCGCATAATTTTAAATACTTGAGTTCCTATAATTTCACACATTTTAACTCCATGTTTTAACTCATGCACACTCAAATGTATGTGTGAGCACATACATGCATGCTTGTGCATGTGTGTGTGTTTGGCAATGAAAGAAATTTGGACATTTTTGTGGTGTGGGTCAAAAACAATTTTTATTGCTATACTTAAAACCAGAATCTAGTAAAACTCTCGGCATCTAAAAATGGATCTCTTGTTTTCCCTATACGACCAATAAGTAAGACCGATGAAGAGTTCCTGCTCTCTCAGGATTAGTAAAGGTAATGTGATGCTAATTTTTAAGATGGTCCATATGCCATAACAGAGTGTCATCGTAAACAGGAGGAAATACGGCAGTTAAAAGACTAATGGTCAGTGAAATCTACAACAGGAACGGAAAGAATTTTCCCCTTACAAATTTAGAAATCCTTACTCAGATTTTGTCAAATGTTTTGACTAAATGTTTATAAGCTTTAAATAAATACTAAGTATAGAGGCATAATACTGAATATCTGAAATATCTTTCTGAATTTTTTTCTTTTTAATATATGGGTTCAAGGAAAATTTCTTAGTAAATAAAAGTTGGAATAAATACGTTTGTCATTTATTATATACAGGTAGTAGCTGCTGTATTTTTCATAATCACTGTTAGCAGTTGTGGTTAAGCCCCTAAAATCATGTTTTTCTCTCTGAAAGGGGTTTTTAGGAATCAGTCACCCACTTTGTCAGTTCTGCCTGGCCTGATCTCCACGCCTCATGTTCCTTTTTGGGGTGATCCTGTGAGAAGCCTGGTGCTGGCAGGTCTGGGAATTCAGGAGGGCCTTGGAGTGTGTTCCCTACACACTTCACTGTGCTCTTCCACTCTGATCTATATAAGAGAGCAATTTAATGTGAATCTATTTTGAATAAAATAATTAAAGCAAATGTGTTTTGAGAGAAGTTCATTCATGCCAGCTGGAAACCGATAATATAAACACAAATATTTAGTGTGTGGCTTTCACTGTTCTAGGAGCTGAAGGCAGAAAATAATAAAATCACTGACCATATAGAGCTTACTTCTTAATAAAAATGATGGCACACTAGACAACTAAATCTAGACTATTTTAGAACCTTAACCTTAGATTATTCATGTTGATTCATGTGTTCTTTCATTTCTTAACTCATTCAACAAATATTACAAAGGATAACATAGCTCAGGGTAGGAACATTTAATTGGTAGGCAAAAGACGTAGAATTCTGCCCTGAATCAAATCACTTACTGTGTGTATTAGTGATTGACACATTCCTCACAAGCCTACTGTGACAATCTGGGCTGGGCTTGTCAGGGAGGTTCTTCTGCTCTTGTGGCTCTCTCATGTATGCCTGGTGGCTGGCTGGGTATTGGCTTATTTAATATGGCCCCATTGTAGACAAATGGCTCTTCCTCCAGCAAGCTAGACCAGGTATGTTTCATGGAGTGGGGGATTGATTGCAAATATGGGTTCTTTTCTCCAGCCTTTCCTGCATCCTAATCGTTTGCAATGTGACTGTGGAGTCCCTTTAATCAAGAGATTGAAAGAATTTCCCCGTTTCCAAAGTCTGAACATAGGATGTGAGGAAGTGATGCTGTGCAACCCTTGAGCACTAGGCATTAAGAGGCTGTGCACGTGTTTGTGGTATCCCTTGCTTCTCTGCTTTGACCAGCTGTCTTTGCTGGGCCCAGACATGTGTGAGAGCCCAGCCCAGATCAGTAAAGCCACACATCCAATCTCTAGTCAACTCACAATTGATAATAGGGAGATTTGAAAATATGAAAAAGCAGAATATAAAATGGGATATATATTATAACAACCCTTTGTTTTTTACAAAAATTCTCTTGTATACAAGAGAATACACAAACATGGAAATAATTGCAGAAGAGTGATGGGTTTATGCACCTTTAAAAAAATAAATAATATTCTTAATTTTATCACAAACAACAAATGTAAAATCTTTCCTTATCGCCAAAACATGTGTGCATCAATTTGTTTGGAGTAAATACAATATTTTCCATAAATGCAATTGTATTTGGAATTCTATTTTATTATTTAAAAAATCTCACAACACCTAAGTGAACCCCGTGATCCCAGCTCAGACCAGTAGAACTGCTCAGTTGAGACCGTAACTGCCCAGCTGGCCCACAGGTGGCTAGTAAAATGAAATGCTTGTTGTTGTATGCTGCTAGGGTAATTCAGTTGTTTGTTACACATCTCTGTTGTACAATAATTAGCCATTACCTGTGTGGTTTTAGGTAAGTCATCAGCCTCTTGACTGGTGGTGCCAGCCCCTGGACTGCAGACAGCAGTGGAAGAGAGGCCCAGGAGAAGGGTCCTATGGCGCTCTCAGGGAAGGCTGTGTGGGTGCTCATGTGGGCCCCGTGTGTCCATGGAAGTCTATTTTAGTGATAGGGTGGATGGGAAGACATGGAGGAAATAAGATAAACTTGAGTGCAGCTCCCATAGCACCCATATTTGTCAATTGGTCACAGTCCATGTGTTTGAAGTTATTGCCCCTTTAAGTTCTCTCTGAATAACAGTGAGAAAGATGAGAGAGACAAAAATAAAAAAGGCAGAGAAAGAGAAAGAAGAGGAAGTTACATATAGGATGTGTAATTTGAAATAAACATTAACTGAAATAAACATGAACTTCTCAAATTTGGTTTCTGTTCCCCTAACGCCACCATACTGCCCACCACACCAGGTGTATGACAGCTGACACTATAGAGCAGCGGTTCCCAACCTTCCTGACACCAGGGATGGGGGTTGGTTTTGGGATGAAACTGTTCCACCTCAGATCATCAGGCATTAGTTAGATTCTCATAAGGAGGGCTCAGCCTAGATCCCTTGCATGTGCAGTTCACAATATGGTTTGCGCTCCTATGAGAATCTGATGCCGGTGCTGATCTGACAGGAGGCGGAGCTCTGGCAGTAATGCTCACTCACCTCTGCTCACCTCCTGTTCTGTGGACCGGTTCCTAACAGGCCATGGACCAATGCTGTGGCCTGGGGGTTGGGAACCCCTGCCATAGATCATTCCAGCCTCATTACACCTAGACTTAAAAGTCATACCATCAAGACAGATGCTTCATGATGACTCTGATTGAAGTTTTGATTGTACAGTAACAGCTAGTGCCACACGTATAGTGCTTAATCACATCTTCGTGTGGACATTACACAAATAGCTAGGGCAAAGACTTCAACATCTTTTCCCTCTTGACACTCTTCCTTGTAATCTGACCTGCAATAGTAGCACTGGCCTGAATTGAATCCTCTGGGCTTCGCGGATCTGATAAGCAACAGTTTCCTGGCTCTTATTTATACACTCTTCTTTCCCAGCCAGAGAGAATTCTCTGTTCCTTTCTTACAAAAAAAGTGCCCCCCCTTCTTAGCCTGGCTAGCCTCATTGCATTTCTGCCCTGTCAGTCTTTCATTTTCATTGGCAAAATGGGAAAAATGACATCTGCCTTTTCTGATATTATATGGTTATTGCAATGGTCAAATGAAGTGATTAAGGTCCAAATGGAGTTAGTGTTAAGCATCAGGAACTCTGCAGGATTCCAAGATGATTTGGTCATGGATTCTGTCCTAACAAAGAAGAAAAATGTAAATAATTTATAGATTCATCCTTAGTTTATCTTTATTTCCCCACCCCGTGGAAGTGGATTAATAAGAAAAATAGACTCTTTGTGGTGAATTCTTTTTAATAACTGCCCCTCAGGCTAGAAAAGAGAACTAGGATCAGTGACATTGGTGAGCAAATGTCTTCCTCTAGAAAAACCTTTGCTCTATCATCACACAAGTCTTACTATTTAAAAAGGGAAAAAAATCCTTCCATTAAAGAAAGAAGCATAAGTCAAAGGCCTCTCTCACAGACTTCAAACTGTTAAAGGTAACTAGAGGTGACTGACCAAATTAGGTCAGGCAATAAATAAGAAATATGTTTAATCTTATCAGGATTTTCCACTCCGTTTTCTGTTTTGTTTCATAGATGGAGGGTAGTTAAATATATCTCTACTTTGAGTTTGAAAATACGCTTTAGGAATTGTATCTTATCAGTAAGTGCTTTACAAACACCATTTATTATCTGATTTGAAATATTGCTAATCCATTTGAACAATCTCATTTATCAATGGTATGTCGAGGAAATTTTGTGCCATATATGAATATATATGTGTAAGATTTTTCTCAGTATTGTTAAAAACAGTAATAAGTTGAATTCAGCATAAATATCCAGCAACAGAGGATTTTTAAAATAAAATATGACACATCCAAACAATGAAATGCTGTGTAGCCACTAAATAATTTCTATGGAAATCTCTTTGGTTTATATTTTTGTATCTTTTCCCTATGTATCAATACTGGAACATAATGTTAAAAGTGCTTTTCTCCCATGATGGGATTTTAACTAATCTTAATGTATTTATTATACTACAGATAATATTTTCTGTAGTTTTAAAATTTAAAAAAAGTAACATAAAAATACAAATACCACTAAAGATAAGGAAAGAATTGTTCTTAATAACTGCAATCAAGAAAAGTCATACAAATGGCATTAATCTTTTCTACAGCTCCACTTACTTGCTAAATAAAATTTACTTATTTGTATTAATCTTTTCTGCAGCTCCACTTACTTGCTAATAAAGCAACCAAATAAAATAGTTGTTGCATGTAGTAGAAGCAGAGAAAAAGAAAGCTTTTATTCCAAATGGAGCCAAACTTGGCCTAGCCCAGTCTGCATTTGCATACTTGCTTCACACATAGCCTTGCTTCACACATAGCCTTGCTTCACAAAAGTCCTCTTGGCATTGTAAATATCATGGTTCTCTTTTCAAGGACACTCTGTGTGAGAAGTACTTTCTTGGCTCTGGACACTAAATAATTATTAACTGACATGTTGCACTTAATAGTTTGTGGTCTCAGCTCTTGTTTATATAAAACGTTTGACCACAGCTCTAAAACACCTCACCATGTAGGTGGGGAACTTGTCATAGGAACTCAGATGGTAGGACCCGTTGACTGGTTACTGCTAGCCCTTGGCAGCTTTGTCCTCACTTGCTGCCACCCCCCCTCCCCGCCAGGGCCCTGCAACAGACACTAG
This sequence comes from Homo sapiens, assembly GCF_000001405.40. NCBI lineage: Eukaryota > Metazoa > Chordata > Mammalia > Primates > Hominidae > Homo > Homo sapiens. Next base: position 47,147,231 of record NC_000007.14, on the reverse strand, counting down.
GTGCTCCTATTTAGAGTTGGTCATGGGTAAGGAAAAGATAGATTTGGCCACAGTCTCTCAATACATAGAGACACTTTATGTAGAAAAATCTCTTGAACCTATTAGGAGTACTGCATGAGCAAAAAGTGACTCATGACCAGATATTTCTGAGGATGGCAAAGGGGCAAGTGAGAGAAGCTGGATTAAGTTATTCCCCAGTGAAGAATATTACTTGTGTTAACAAAGCGTAAATTTTCTGACACGTGACTTGCAAAGGAAAATGCTATTGATTAGCTGAAGAACTCCTGAAGATTGTAGCAAAACTTTAATAGTGTAATAATCTTTGAAGATTTTTTGAAAGAACACATACAGAACAAGAGAAAGGAAGTTCTCCCAAGTTTGACTCAGGTACATCATGTGGTGCTACCATTCACTCCTGTATATGGTGGTATCTATATTTGCTTTGGTCTCCCTACATTGAACACATTTTGTGGCAATTTGCTTTTATCTCTATTTATACGAAACTTCTGAAAGAATTCCCTGCATGTGCTGCCTCTGCTGATTTCCTCCTGAATTCTCAACAAAACTGAGGCCGATCTCTATACCCTATCACATAACCACGGGACTGAAAATGCTCCCTCAAAGGTAACTAATGACTTTCTGATTATTCCGCTTCTTTTCATTCTTTCTCATATTCAACTTTCGCGTATCGACTTACAATTATGATCATACTTTTCTTCATGAAACTCTCTTTACTTTGGTGTACAAAACTCTGGTTTGTTTTTCAGTTCTTCTCCTCTTCCCTTTTCCCCGTCCTTCTTTTCAACATACCCTTTAAATAGTACTGTCCTTAGATTTCTGACTCTAGCTTCTTCCCTTTCCATATTGTATATCTCTCCGGGTTAGCTCAGCCTCTCTCTTCACTTCAACTTCCATCTTCATCTCATAAGTGACAAGTATACACCTGTCACCCAAGCTTTCTTGTGACACCAGGTGAAAACTTTCATTTGCCTGCATGACATTTCTACCAGGACATTCCATCACAGCTCAGAATAGATCTGTCACCCTCCCTAGAAATGTATTGCTTTGCTCACAGTCACTATCTCAGCCAATGGCAGCCCCACCCTGAGGCATCCCTCCTGCTGAAAACATCCCACAGCCATCTCTCTTACAACCCCATCTTTTCACTAACTCTGGTTCATTTTACTTCTGATATGCTCCTGGTTTTATCTGCTTCTTTGCTCATTACCAAGCCCTATTTCTAACCATTACCTGTTTTCATCTGGATTACTATTAAAGCCTTTGGTTTCATCTTTCTGCCTACCCTGTACTCCCTCCTCAAATGAGAAGTGCAATTGCTCCAATATATTTCCCACACAAGGCCCAATCATGTCACTCTTCCCACACACTTTTCTGGTTCCCTGTTACCTGTAATATATAGCATAAACTCTAGCTGGGCCCTCCTTCAGAGCTCTTCCTGCTGGTGCCCTACCCCACTCCCCACCCCTCCTGTGTTGCTCCTTCACTTGTGTGCAACTTTGTCACCCCATCCCATTGCTTGTGTTCTTCCCTGTACTAAAAATGCCATTTCCTTTTTCCTCCTTTTCCTACTTCTTCTAATCCAATTCAACCCTTCTTGACCTAAAGCAGTCAACTGGGGACCAAAGAAATACTGGTACTGAGGGAATGCAGGCTGAGTGTATTTAATATGCTGATTCAGACATTTGACAATTCCTGGAACTGCAAACTACTTTCTTAAGAAAAACTATCTCATGATATTTGTTAGCTGTTCCTGTGGGGGAAAGCAAGGAACACCACTGAGTAACATGAAAACGGAGGGAAAATGATAGAGAATGGCAAAACCAATGTTCCTTAATGTGACCATGTGAAATGGAATATCTTTTTGTTATACAATGCATCTTTGAGCACAGCCATGGGGATTGCTGTTGTCAATATAATTCTAAATAGAAAATAATCAGAGCCAGTTTTCCTAAGAGTTATTTTCTAAGGAATTTCCCTTACTGCAATCCAGGTTTAAAAATAACTCATAGAAACAGACAAAGGGGAAAAGGGAGAAGTTTATCATCTGTAAACAAATGTAAAAACCAACAAATTTGTAAGAACAAGTCAACTAAACCTAAATGCAAAATAGTATGCTAAATTTGAGAGAGATGCATATAGAGAGTAAGAGGAAAATGGAAGCAGATATTCTGAGGGTCAGATTGCTTTTGGCCAATTGCTAAAGAAATATACCATTTCAGCCCACTTGGACCCAGTTTTGCTCTCCAAAAACTAGAAGATCTCTAAGTATTATTTCAGCTTTAACATACAATGAGTATTAACTTAATTCAATGCAGTGTGTCTCTAGTAACTGATGCACTCAGGACTAATATCTGCCTGAGATTCAGAGACAAATGAATCTTGGGTCTTTTACCTTCAAGTAACCACCCTGTAGCGAGGGAGAATGGCACATACATATTATATTCCCTCATAGAGGGTAGATTGTGGTGGGTGATATACCAGGCACACACAAACCCAGAAAAGAGCCAGCTGAGATGGCAGAGCAAGGATGAGAAATGAGCCATTCTCAGAGGACATCTCTTTGTACACCCACATCAGTCTAGTGACTGAGTCTCTAGAGGTGAGATTTGGGGCTCTCCTGGTCCCTGTGGCATGCAGTGTTTTTTAAATCAATGACTTCAATACATGCATATCAAGATGCCGTAGTAAACACAATGGAAGTGTATAAGCTTGTAGTAAATATGATGGAAATATATTAGCTTGCTAGGTACTTAACAAAGTACCATGGCCTGGGTGACTGCCGCAACAGAAATTTATTCTCTTTCAGTTTTGGAGGCTGAAAGCTCCAAGATCAAGGTGCTGGCGGGGTTGGTTCCTTGTAAAGCCTCTGTTCTTGGTTTGTAGATGGCCATCTTCTAGTTTTCACATTTTCTCTCTATGCGTATGTGGCTAAGTCTCTTATTTTAATAAACATACTAGTCATATTGGATTAAGGCAAAGCCTAATGATCTCATTTAACTTGATTACCTCTTCGAAGACCCTATATCCATATAAGATCCTATTCTGAGGTACTGGTCGTTATAAATTTAATGTATGCATTTTTTGGTGAGGAGCACAATTTAACCCATAGCATCTAGTATAAGAAAAAATAGACTCATGTTTTGTTCATAATAAAGGGAACCACTACCTTGCGAATAGTGAGGTGGAGTAATTAAGCGCACCTGGATACAAATGCCAGCCCTCTAAGTATTAGCTATGTGTCCCGTGTTGCTGCTGAGATTGAAGACCTTCAGTTTATTATCTGTAATATGGGAGTAATAATTCTAACACCAGACATTTATGAATTCTAAATCTAACATCTCAGAAATCAGTAGGAACAAAATAGTAGTATATACAGAATAACATTTAACTTCATCAGGAGCACAGAGTAACCCCTTGTTTGTTATCTTGGAGGCACAAAGTTGAGAACCATTAAGTCAGATATGATAGAGTTAATTAAGAAGAAATGGAATAATAGAAACATTTTTCTTGATTTAATGATTGGTAATTGAAACCTTGTCAGTACTTAATTTTCCTCTATCTTTAATGGATAATTCATGTAAAAGAGTTATTTACCACTGGTAATGACTCAACACATACCAGTGGGAAAAAAACACTGAATTCTTTTTACTTGTCTCAGCATTGTGTGTTTGACTCATTCCCAAGGACATAAACAGATTTAATTTGGAAAAAAAGAAGGATTTTTTAAAACCCTAGGGACTGTGATAACTTGCACATTTATTTATTTCATTTGGCTTTGCATTGCCTCCTTAAGTGAGCGTTCTACTCCTGTGTGTAATAGGTAGGTGCTTTCAACTCTAATTCTTACCACTGGCTATTTTGACTGAAATTTTCATGGAGACATTACGATTCAATTTTTTGAAATACTTATTGACAAATTTTTCTGTTCATGTCATTCCAAATTTTATTTGCCTTCTCCACTCCCATTCTGTGGCAAAATACATATACTTAAAAGAACATCTAATTTGAATATGTTCTGAAACAAATCATAAAAGCTAAGATGCACAATGCACGTTGTGGATAGAACCCAGGCACTGGAGTCAGGTGGATATTTTTCTAACAATCATGGCCAACACTTGTCCATTTTTGCCCCTATGTATCAGGCATGTCTAAAGGATGGATCTTATTATCTTAGTTTTATGTGAGGAAACTAATGGTCTAACAGGTTATTTGTGCCAGTTCACCAGCTGGGAGATGATGCAAGCAAGGTTTAAACCCAGTTTGCTAAATCTAAGATTGATGTCCTTTAAACTCCATTAAGGCTGACATCCACTTAGTAGATTAGAAGTAACTGTGTGAGGGGCTTAGAAGCTTCTGGAAGGAAGAAGAAGCTTCGAAACGAGCACAGCCCTGCAGAAAGTAGCGCTGATCTTTGGAGAGAAGACGATTATGAGTGCAGAACTATCTGCCAGACCAGCCGTATGACACTCGACGACTCTGAGTGCTGTGGAGTGCAGGGTGGAGCAACATGAGAAAAACCTATAATAAGAACACTTGAACTTAAAAAATGTGTAGTGCATTTGAGGCAAAAAGAATATTTTTGTGACAACACTAACCAGACAGTGTTTCAGAGGGTGGGAGGAGTCCCCCTTATCACTATCCACCATGCAGTTTGGACGCTGAGGGCTTTGCTCCTGTGGCACTGTTGGTTGCCTTTCTAATTTTCTCACTACTCTTTGCTAAAGAACTTTCATTTTGTGAGAGACAGGAACACGCCCAGCCCCCAGGCAATGCATCATGATTGATTTGGACTCATTATGACTAGAAATGACAGCCTCATTCCTCTTTGTCAGATTCTTAATTTTAGAGCTTTCTTGATGCTCAACAAGATCTTTTGGTTCTTCTCATTCCAAGCACCTGGTTCATGACTGGTACATCTGTGTCATACTTTTATCAAAACAAGATATTGTTCTTCACGCTATTAAGCAATCTTTCCTTAAATTTCTGCCTGTCTCATCATGATCACTGCTTATTATCTCCTTAATTTTCTTTTTCTGTATCTTTGTTATATTTTACGTTTTCCATGTCATTTTGTTTCATACATATATCTTTATCTTATATTTAGTAATATATATTTTATGTATATATTTGAAATAGTATCTAGTAGAATATATATCTAATAAAATATATTCTGCCATGGGATTTGTTTGAATCCAATGAGATTCTGTAACCTTTTATACATAGAACTTACAGCAATTATTTGACATAGTGGATAAAATCAATCACATTTTTGGGAAATAACTTTCTTGCAAAGGACAACAAACAAAATGCGTTAAATATATATTTTAGATCTTATTAAAAATCCAAGATCAAAAATTGTTTGATGTATTGAATTTTGTTTTGGGGCAGGGCAAAGTAATGGAGTGTATGTTTGCCTCTTGCCTGAAACAAAACAAATTAGCAAAACATATAAAACAATATGTTTTAATTAAGACACTGAATATCAGGCAGTAAAGGACCATCATCTCTGAGAGACAGGAATAGAACAAGGTGAGCCCTATAATTTCTCTAGCTTACTGCCTTGAGAGGGTTTCCAGTATCAGGGGCAGGAAGAGGGAACCCAGACAGCCTGGTGGAGTTCTGAGTTGAAGAGATGAAGCTGAGAGTCAATGGTAACAAAGTGGCTAGAATTTGCTCAACTTGGTTCTTGAGAGAAGAAAGGGCACACAGAAAGAACTCTGGCAACCTGCAGATGGCATACAATGTGTTCACATAAATCCCTGATTGCAGAAAACTACCCAAGGCCAAGGAGAGAAGCATCTGGAAGGATGAAAAGCAAAAGTACCCAATACTCACACTTGGCTGCAAAGAATGTCTATTCCATCAGACAGCCTGGAAAGGCGTGAGATTCATTAAGAATTAGGTAGAGTACACAGGAAGGCTTTGCCTCAATAGAGGGAAATATTTAGCCCTAAATTGGGCACTATTCTGGTCACAACTAATGAATATTAAACCCCAGAGTTTCAAACTGTTTCCACATGATTTAACTGATCAAAGCTCAAGAATATGTATAGGAATACAGAAATATCCAGTTCCCAACAAAGCAAAATTCACAGTATATGAAATTCAATAAAAATTACAAGGCATGCAAATAAGCAAGAAAATATGACCTGTAGCGAGGAAATAAACAGAGCCTCAGAGAACTGTGGGACAACTGCAAGTAGCCAAATATACGTGTGATTGAAGTGCCTCAAGGAGAGGACAGAGGGGAGGAGCTTAAAAATATTGAATAGTCAAGAATTTTCCAAGTTTGATAGAAACTATAAATCCACACATTTAAGAAGCTAAATAACTTTAAGTATAAGAAAAATGAAGAAAACAAAACTAAGGTATATCATAACCAATTTGCTCAAAACCAGTGATAAAGGAAAAATAATACACACGATGCACCTTTTTCACTAGCTGCTAGTAAAAGCTAGGAAAAACATCTTGGAAAAAAGGTGCATTATGTTCAGACCAGCAGTGATAAGGATGACAGCAGATTTCTTATTGGAAACCATGTAAGTAAGAAGACAGCACGGTAACATTTTTAAAGTACAACAACAACAAAAGTCCAACATGCCAAGTGAGAATCCTATACTTGGTGAAAATATGTCAAAAATGAAGCTAACTAAAGACTTTTTCAGACATAGAAAAGCAGAAAGTATCTATTGCCAGCAGACACATAAGAAATGTTAAAGAAAATCCTTCAGGCAGGAGGAATATTCTACCAGATGGAAATACGGATCTATGAAATTAATAAAAAACTATTGAAATTGGAATTACATGAATAAATACATGGAATTTTCCACTTATTACTTAAGTCTCTTTGAAATATGATTGACAGTTTTCCAGAAGTAAAATTGCTGAATTATATAGTGATTCTATTTATAGAATTCTATTTTTTTGAGGTACCTCCATACTATTTTCCAAAATGGCTGTACTAATTTATATTTCCATGAATAGTGTGCAAGTTTCCCTTTTCTCTACATCCTCACCACCTCTTGTTAACTTTCATCTTTTTTATATTAGCCATTCTATGGGGTGATTTTTCACTGTGGTTTTAATTTGCATTTCCCTGGTGATTAGAGATGTTGAGCTTCTTTCATAAATCTTTTGGCCATTTGTATCTTTTCTTTTGAGAAGAGTCTGTTTAGATCCTTTGTCTGTTCTTTAAAAAGGTGTTCTATTTTCTTGCTATCGAGTTGTTTGAGTTTCTCATATATGTTGGATATTAGTCCCTTGTTAGATGTATGATTTACAAATATTTTCTCCCAGTCCATGGGTTGTCTCTTCAATCTGTTTTTTCTTTTGCTGTGAAAAAGCTTTTTAGTTTTATGCAATCTGATTTCTCTGTTTTGGCTTTTGTTGTCTGTGCTTTTGCAATACTTTCCAAGAAATTATTGCCAATACCATTGTTGTGGAGATTTTCCCCTATGTTTTCTTCTAGTAGTTTTAGAGTTTCCAGTGTTATGTTTAAGTCTTTTATCCATTTTGAGTTGATTTTTGTATATGGTGTGAGATAAGAGTCCAATTTTGTTCTTCCACATGTGAATACTCAGTTTTCCCAACATAATTTGTTAAAACACTGTTCTTTCTCCATTATGTGCTCTTTGTACACTTGTAAAAAATCAATTGATTGTAAATACTTCTGGTCTTTCTATTCTATTCTATTGGTTGATGTGTCTGTTTTTATGCAGTACTATGCTGTTTTGATTACAATAGGTTTATATTTTGAAATCAGGGAATGTGATGCCTCTAGTTTTATTGTTTTTGCTCAAGATTGCTTTGGCTATTTGAGTTCCATATCAGTTTTAGAATATTTTTCATTTCTGTAAAAATAACATTGAAATTTTGATAGGAATTGTGTTAAATATGTAGCTTGCTGTGGACAGTATGCACATTTTCACAATATTAATGTTTTCAACTCATGAACATGGAATATGTTTTCATGTATTTGTGTCTTCTTCAATTCTTTCATAAATGTTTTATAATTTTTTTTATACAGTGAAAGCATCTTCTTAAGTTTACTCCTAAATATTTTATTTATTCTTTGATGCTATTGTGAGATAGGTATCTTAATTTTTTTCAGATAGTTTGTTCAGTGTATAAAGATATAACCAAAGGAATTGAAATTGGTGTGTCCAAGAGATATCTGCATGCCCATGTTCATTTCAGCATTACTCACAATAGCCAAGATATAAAAGCAACCTAAGTGTTTGTTAATGAACGAATGTATAAAGAAAATGTGGCATTTATACCCAATGGAATACTCTATAGTATTAAAAAAGGAGGAGATTCTGTCATTCGCAGCAACATTGATGAAAGTGAAGAACACTATGCTAAGTCAAATAAGACAGGCACAAAAAGACAAATATGATCTCACTTACATGTGGAATCTAAAAAAGTTTATCTGATAGAAACAGAACAGAAGGATGGTTAGCGGACGCTAGAGGAGGAGGAGGGATGAGGAAAGGGAAGATGTTAATCAAAGAGTACAAGCTCAGTTAGACTGGAAGAATAAGTTTTAGTGATCTATTGTGTTACATGGTGACCCCAATTAATAATAATATATTTTGTATTTCAAAGTAGCTAAAAGAATTAATTTTTAACACTCTCACACCAAAAAATGATGTTGATGAGGCGATGAATATGTCAATTAGCTTGATTGAATCTTTCTACAGTGTATACATAGATAAAAATATCACATTGTACTCCATAAATATACATAATTATTATTTGTCAATTAAAAAGAAATAGTTAAAATATAATTGCCTAAACAGAAATAGTAGCAATTTAGTGAGGGATTCATAGCATTTTAAAATAAAATGTTTGACATTAGAAACACACAGGTTGGGAGTGGAGAATAGTATATTGCTGGAAGGTTATATACTATACACGAAGTGGTATAATATGTGATCGCAGACTGTAGTAAGTTAAAGATGTATACCACAAACCTTAAAGAAACCACTAAAATATAAAACAAAGATCTTTAGCTAATAATCCAGTAAAGAAGATAAAATAAAATCATAAAAGCATTCAATTAACTCCAAAGAACGCAAAACAAGAAAGGGGATAATAAATGATGAGAGTGAGACACTAGACTGAAGCCTAACCATTGGTAATATTACACTGAATGTAAATTGTGCAAGCCTCAATTAAAACATGGAGATTTTTGGGTTATATGTGAAAAGCAAAACTTAACCTTATGTTGCATAGAGAAAACATGCTTGAAATATAAAGATACAAACAAGTTAAAGTAACACTAATTAAGAGAAAACTGAAATGGCTAAATAGATTTCAGAGCAAAGAACATTGCCAGGAACAAAGAAGGCCATTTTTAATGATGAAAGAGTGGATTTGTCAAGAGAATACAGCACGTTTAAATTGACAAAAAATGCTTCAAAAGGCAAAACTTATTAAAGATGAAATAGACATATCCACAATCATACTTGCATATTTCAATATACCCTTTCAGTACCTGATGAAGCAAATAGACAGAAAATAAGTGAGGATAGAGAGAATTTAACAATTAACCATCAATCAACTTGACCTATTTGACATTTATAGACATTTTACCATAAAACAATGTAATACACATTTTTCCAAAACACATAACATGTTTTCAAAGATAGGCCATATTCTGGGCTGTGACATAAGTCTTCATAACTTTGAAATAATTCATCACTTAAAGTATATTTTTATGACTAAAATAGAATAAATGTGCAAATCTATAAAGAAAAGATCTCCGGAAAACCTTTAAGTATTTGGAATGAAAAACACATCGCTAAATAATTCATAGGTGAAAGCTGAAATTGAAAAGGAAAGCGGAGTGTATTTTCAATTAAACAAAAATGAAAAATCAATATATCAAAATTTGGAGAGTGCTGCTAAAGCAGTACTTAATAGAAAATTTGTAACACTAAGCACCTTTATAAGCAAAAAGAATGTATCTCAAATCATTGCTCTTAATTTTCATTTTAGAAAACTGGAAAAAGAAGAACAAATGGTATTAAACTAAATAGAAGAAAAGAAAAAGTAAGGATAAGGATAGATATCAATAAAATAGAAAACAGGAAAACAATAGAGATGATCAATGCAAAAAATATTGTTCTATGAGAAGATCAATACATTTATAAATATGCAGCCAGTCTGATGAAGAAAGTAATAAAGAAGACATAAAATAAAAATATGAGGAATAAGAGTGGCAGCATCACATGAAGTCTAAAGATATAACAAGCATAACAAAGGAATACTATCAACAACTTTATGCAGATATACTCAACAGCTTTGATGAAATGAACAAATCCCTTGAAAGACACAAACTATTGAGTTTACTCAAGAAGAAACAGATACTCTAAAAAGCCATGTCTATTAAATACATTAAATTTATAATTAAAAACCTTCTCACAAATACTACTCCAGGTCCATATGGCTTTACTGGTGAACTGTACCAAAATTTAAGGAAGAAAAAATAACAAATTTATGTAAACTCTTCCAGAATATTAAAAAGAAAGGATGATGTCACAACTCATTTTATGTGTCCATCATTAACCTGATAACCAACAAAAACATTGCAGGAAAAAAACCTGCAAATCAATATCTCTCATGAATATAGATGCAAAAAATTTAATAAAAATGTTAGGAAATTGAATACAATGATATATAGTGTGTAAACTAAGTGGGATTTATCTAAGGACTGGAAGATTGGATTGACATTGGGAAATCAATATCATTTAGTATACTAGCACACTAAAAAAGGAAAACATAATTATCTTAACAGTCACTATAAAGGCCTTTTATGAAACACAGCATCTGTTCTTTACAATAGTTCTCATCAATACAAGTATAAAGGGAATCTTTCTCAACCTGATAAGGGGGATTTATAAACAACCTGCCACTAACATTATAGACTATAGATCAATAATCAAAAGATCAACAACAAGATAAATATCTCTTACCACTTCAACATGGTATTGAAAGATCTAGCCAGTGCAATAGGAAAGAAAAAGAAATAAAAGGTATTTATGCTGGAAAGGAAGAAAGGAAAGCATTCTTTATTCATAGATGATAAGTTCATTAATTTGAAAAAATTTAATGGCATGTATAAAAACATAAGAACTAATATAGCTTTATAGTTAAAGTAAAAAATTCAAAAATTATAAAATGTCTAATTTTTCTTTAAGGCATATAGGTAATTTAGAAAGTTCATCAGATATAATTGCAGAGAAGTCTCAATTCAAAAATAAAAAGGATTATACTTCCTGCATTCTCTCATCAAATCATAACTAAATAAGAATTTAACTCTAAGTATTAGTGAAAGATGCAGTTATATTTACAAATTTAAATAAAAACCATGCATCCTTCTAAAGCCCCTTGGATTAAACAATAAATCATATCAGAAATTTAAAAATACCTATAACTGAATAATATAGTTACTACATATCAAATATTTTAGGGAAAGCAAAAGTGGCATTTTGAGGTGATTTATATTCATAAATATTTATATATAAAAATAGAAATTGTAAAAATAAATAAGCAATTGATGAACTTAAGAAAAGAAAGAACAAAAAAACTAAAAATTTGAAGGAACAAGATAATAATAAAACAGTAAAATAATTAAAATAGAAACCAAGATTATAACAAAGAAGAAAGCTACAAGTTGATTATTTGAAAAGACTTGTAAAACAGAACACCTATGACAAGATAGACCAAGAGAAGAAAAGGAAAGAGGAAGGAACAGGAGCACAGAACTGTAGAACCTTAAGTGATTTCAAAGGTCATATAAGAAAAATTTTAACAATAAATGTATGCCACCAGTGTCAAAAACTTAGAGGCAATGGAAGAAGTTCTAAAATAATATAACTTAGCAAAATTTATTTGAGAAGTATCAAAGACTTGAATATTTATATAACTAAGAATATGAAGCAATAACCTTTCCATAAATCAGACCATATGGCCTGTGAAGCTTTCAAGGTAGAGATCACTTTTATACAGATTTTTATAGACAACTGGAAAAGATGGAAAACTTACCTAATCCTTTGATCCCAATGAATCCTAGTATCAAAGCCAGACAAAAATATTATGAGAAATGGTCACACAGAATCATTTTTCTCTTAAATTTTATAATTTTGTGTGTGCATATACTTATATAAATCTATATGGATATTTCCACCAATTTTTGTAAAAAGGTAATACTCATGATCAAATTGTATTTTGTCTAATATTCATTGAAAAATTCATTTATAAATGTAATTCATTCCATTTATAGATTTAAGAAGATAAACAATATGATAATTTGAATATATGGAAAAAAGTTTTTTTATATGACTCTCCATGAATTAATAATCAAAGGTAGGATTTTCATCAAAATTAAATCTTAGTAATTTAGAAATGTAAGGAAACTTTCTTAACCAGGTAGAGGATATTAAAAAAAAGCACACATATTTCTAAATGAGGAAATTTTAGAAAGCTTCCCTTTGAATTTTAGAATGAGTTAAGGATGCCTAATATCACAAATTTTATTCAACATTGTGTTGGAACTTCTAGTCAGTGCAACCATGTGAGTAAAATGCTTTAGAGATTGGAAAGGAGGAACAAGGAATGTTATTTGCATATGATATACATTTATATAGAAACCTCTAAATTATCTAATTACAAAACATTATCAAACATAATAGTTGTATTGAGCAAATTGGCTGTGTATAAAACAACTATAAAAGACAGATTTTTATATTTGTAGTGAACAATTAAAAACAATGAAGAGAAGTCATCATTTACAATAGGTTCATAAAATATCAAATATTCAGGAAAAAACTAACAATATGTGTAAGATAGCTAATGATATATTTAAACTATTTCTAAATTTATGTATAGATTAGAAAGCTATCAGAGTCAGTATTCTTCTATCAAATTGATAGGATTCTAAATTTTGTACAGAAGAATAAAGGACCAAGATTACAGTGGCCAGTTGTGAAGGAAAACACTACATGAGGACTTGAACTTCCAGAAACCAGAACTTACCAAGTATTTTGCAGCAATTTAGATGGTTTGGTAAAGGTGTAGGTATAGACAAACTAATAATGGAAAAAGAGTCCCAAAATATGATAGACATTGCAAATATTAGTAGATAAAAGAGTAAGAGCTCAATAAATAAACTTGGAAAATATGTTATTCATAAAAAAATTAAAATTGGAGCTCTACCTCACTTTATATATTAATACAAAAGTTAACTCTAGTAAAATAAGGATTCGATTGTTGAATCTAAAGTTATAGACTGTACTTCTGGGAAAATGGAGTAGACACCATTTTTCTATTGGAACTTAACAATTCTAGACATTATATATAAAACAAACATAAGAAGATTCTGAAAGATGGAGAGAAGAGACAGACTGGCTGGGGACCACGAGCCCCAAAGAACAGCCTGCTGGTGAGTTCCCTGGGTTCTCTTTTTGCCCCTCATATGACCCAGACTGGGTGTTGAAGAAGCCAGGAACCCAGAATGCCAACCATCACAGACAAAAGGCCTCAAGAAAATCCTGACCCCTTTAGTCAAAGGATCAGGAAAGGCAATAACTGCTTGACTGCAGCTGAACATCACAGGAAAAACTATGGCACCGTCCCCTCCTCCACCGACAAAGGCTGGGAGGATCCTAGACTTTCTCCGTCAAGAGGCTGTGCTGGGGCCTTTCAACACCTGCTCCCCGGGGATGGTATCTGAAAAGGCTATATAAGGAGCCAGTATTTCACCCTCCTGGCCAGTAGCCACACTCCTCCTTGGCGTTGGTGGAGGCTACATGGGGCCTGGGCTTCCCCATCAACCCATCAGGATTGAGGGACCCTTCTCTACTCACAGGGTGGTATCTGATGAGGCTGAATAGAGGCTCAGGACTTAAACTTTTGCCCAGTGGTAACCAGACCATTCCTACTGTATTCCAATGAAGACCATAAGGGGAGCAGGAACTTCCAACCCTGCCCGGCAATAAGAAGGAGCCCCCTGCTTGGCTCAGGTGTCAATGGAGCTCCACCTGGCAGTAATGAGGTAGCAATTCCCTCTACTTCTGCTGCAGCTGTGTTGGAGGAAGCCTGCCAAAAAGAAGGTTTCAGTAAGATCCAGACTCTCATGCCATAACAAGAAAATATTTAGGTTTCAACAAAAAAATCACTGGTCATTTAAAAAACCAGGAAGATCTCAACCTGGAGAATAAAATACAATGAATATGACAAAAATGAGGTGACAAGGATGTTAGAATGATCTGACCCAGATTTTGAAGTAGCTGTGGTAAATATTCTTCAATGTGCTATCATGAACAGTCTTGAAACAAATTTAAAAAGGCTCTCCCCAAACAAAAAAGTATTAAAGAAATAGAGACATAAAGATAAACCAAAATGGGCATACAATTACTTAAAAAAGCAGTTCAGTGGATAAGAAAGTGGATTGAATAATACAGAAATTATTCAATCTGAACAACAGAGAGAGAAGACACTGAAAACATTGAGCCAAGCCTCAGGGACTGGTGACTCACTCTAACAAAAGACATGGCATTTGTATCATCAGAGCCCTGGAAAGAGAGAACAAAGAGGATGGTTAGAAAAAGTACTGAAAAAGTAACAGCGAAACATTTCTGAAATTTTGCAAAAGGACATATACTTACAGATTCAATAATCTGAGTACACCTCAAACAGGATAACCCTAAGGAAATCCTCTCCAAGACCCATCATAACTAAATTTCTGAAAATTAAAGACAAAGAAAAAATTTTGAAAATCAGCGAGAAATGACACATTACCTACAGGTGAAACACAACTCAAAGGCAAGCAGATTTTTTAAAATCATAAATCAAGGAAGTCAGGAAAAAAGCGACACAGTATTCTTCAGTTGCTGAAGGAAGAGAATTGTCAATTTATACCCAGTGAAAATACACTTTAGGTATAAAGAGGAAATCAAGACATTCTCTGATGAGGAAATCTAAGAGACTTTGTTGCCAACAGACCTGCCCTAAAGCAATGGCTAAATGAAGTTCTCTAAACAGAAAGAAAATGATTTAATAAAAGGACTCTTGGGACATTAGAGTGGATGAAAGCATATAAGAAAGAGCAAGAGGGTCAATATAATGGACTTTTTCTCTCCTTTTGAGTTTTCAAAATTGTTTACGACAGCTAAAGCAAACATCTCACCACAGTCTGATGTGGTCCTCAATGCATGTAGAGGAAATATTTCAGTTAATTATAATTGGGGCAGGGTAAAGGATCATAATGGTACGTGTTCCAAACTTCACTACAAGTGCTAAAATGTTGATACCAGCAGACTAGTTACCAAGCACTGGTGAGGATGTGTTAGAAACTGGGTCCTATAGTATATTGTTGGTGCAAATTTAAAATCCTACAGCCATTCTGGAAAATAATTTGACAGTTTCTTTAAAACATGTATAGGCCAGGCACGGTGGCTCACACCTGTAATCCCAGCACTTTGGGAGGCTGAGGCGGGTGGATCACGAGTTCAGGAGATCAAGACCATCCTGGCCAACATGGTGAAACCCCATCTCTACTAAAAATATAAAAATTAGCTGGGTGTACTGGTGCGTGCTTGTAATCCCAATTACTTGGGAGGCTGAGGCAGGAGAATCACTTGAACCAGGGAGTTGGAGGTTGCAGTGAGCCAAGATCGCGCCACTGCACTACAGCCTGGTGACAGAGCAAGACTCAGTCTCAAAATAAACAACAACAACAACAACAACAACAAAAAAACCCCAAAAAACCAACATGTATATGCCCTTACCATTCAACCTAGAATTCACATTCTGGTACATTTATCCTAGAAAAATGAAATCTTATGTCCATACAAAAACCTGTCCATGAATGTTCATTGCAGCTGTATTTGTGATAGCTCAAACCTGAAAACAACCAATACATCCTATGATAGATCAATAGTTAAAGAAACTGTGTACATTAGTAGCATAGCATACTATTTTGAAATAAAAAGCAGCAAATCATTGATACATACAGTTAGGATGGAACTAAAGGGCACTATGCTGAGAGTAAAAAAGGTTGATCTTAAAATATCATACACTGTATGACTGCATTTATGTAACATTTTTAAAGTGACAGGATGAGAAACAAGAATAAATTAGCATTTGCCAGAAATTAGGGATGCTTAGGTGGGGAAAGAGATGGGTGAGACGTGATGGGTATGGCCATAAAGAGGTGGCACAGAGACCTTGCTGGTGGTGGGCCAGCCTGCACCTTGAATGTTGTGGGGTTATGTGAACTTACACATGTCATAAAATGACACAGAACAGCATATTTATGCTATACTAATTCCAATTTCCTGGTTTTGATATTGTACTAGAGCTTTGGAAGAAGTAAACATTGGGAGAAATTGGATGAGAGGTACTGGGTGAGAGGACTTATCTATAAAGTTTGCAATTTCCTGTGAATTTATAGTCATTTCAAAATTAAAAGTTAAGAGAAGAAGTAAAGCTGTAAAAGTTTCACAAGAAAATATGGATATTTTAGTTCTTACGTAGCAAAAGTCATTTTAAACAAAATACCTAAATATAGGCTATATAATACTTAATAAAATTGACTGTACTGAAAATGAAAACTTTCATGAACCACTCCCAAAACATGAAGACTGCTGGGTATGGCATTACCTGCCTGTAATCCCAGCTATAATGGGGACTGAGGCAGGAGGAACGCTTGAGCCCAGGAGTTCAAGGCCAGCCTGGGCAACATAGTGAGACCCTGTCTCAAAATAAGATTTTTTAAAATTAAAAAACATGAAAAGACCCTCTAAAAGCTGGGAGAAGATATTCTTAACAAACACATAACTAATGAAAAGTCAGTATTGAAAATAAATTTTAAAAATTCTGAGCATCACTAGAGAAAGTACAAACCACACACAAAAAAGCCATTAGTATTCAACACATGGAAGAGAAAGTACCAATTTCTAATAGATGTCTGAAAAAAATCAACATAACTGTTGATAAAGAAAATGCAAGTCAAACCCACAATGTGACCTATTTCACATTCATCTGACTGGCAAAGCTGGAAAGTGTCTCCTTATGAAGGATGGGGAGGACCTATTATTCACTGCTGTTAGGTTTGTACATCATAGAGACTTTCTAGAAAACAGGTTAATGTCACTTCCTAGGGCTGGACATCCACATATCCTACCACATAGGAATTCCATATCTACCCAAGAGAAAGCCTTGTACACAATACAGTGTATGAGAAAATTCATAGAGAAGTGTTGGGCATAACTCAAATGTTCTTCTAGAAGAATGAATGAATAAACTAGTATAGTCACACAAATGAATCTTAAAAAGGAGAAAGATAAATAAACTAAACTATATACAATATGGATGAATCATAGAAAGTTAAAAAGCTAAAATATTAAATATAAATTCTCTTGATAATATTTAAAAACTATGATAAATTAGGAATGTATACTACATAAATAATATGAAATATATAAATAAAATTAGTATAAAAATGACAAAAATTGATTAACATGGGGGTTGGAGTGATGGTTATTCTGATGGAAGTAGGTGGGGAAAGAGACAGAGAGAGAGACAGAGACAGAGACAGAGAAAATGTCTCTTTCAGACTGATAGGGGAAAGACTAGGGGATAAATGGGTGAGGATTGGTCAACATGAAATCAAACCGAAGCAGGATTTTATTTCTAGCCCAATAGAGTGTGTGTGTGTGTGTGTGTGTGTGTGTGTGTGTGTGTGTGTGTAAGTTTGTGAAATGCTAAATAAAAATGGACTCTGAAGTCAAATTCAGCATTTTATTTTATTTTATAACAGAGAGCCCGAAACAAAATAGAGGAGCTGTGCCGTGGAGTTGAACCAGTGTATTTTTCAGCTCTGTTCTAATTCAAGTTCATTAGTTACTTTAGTTTATGCCAGTCTGGATGGAATTCCAGCTTTGGGAACTCATACTGGAACATTTTTTTGACTTTTGATTTTCTGAAAATTGATTAAAATTTAAAAAGTTGAAAATATTTTTGAAGGCTTATAGTTCAATAATTTAAAAATTTAGAATTTCTAAAATATTATTGAATTCATAGTTGAAAATGAGGTTAGAGCTAGCCAGCCTTAATGACCTCATCACAGATAAAATGGAAAAAAATATGGTTGTAATAAAATGATAACACTCATATATTTTTGAGTGAAGAAAAAGTTAAAATGACAACAGCAATAGAATGATTGTGTTGGAGTTCAATTAAGACATTCCCACATATCTCATACTTTCTTTAGCCCTGACTAATGGATGTGAAATTGCTGGCACAGACACTATCCAGGATGTCCAGTAAGTCCTGTCATTTCTAGCAAGTAAACATAACAACATTGCAAACAAGCAACAAATCAAAGAAGATGGCTCTCTCTATTTATAAGCACTAAAATGTAACATTCCCCTTTGTAGATTTCTGGAAAGAGTTTGCAGACATAAAGCAAGCACTCATCAGTAAAGTTCTTATTTTAACCATATTATCTGCCCAGATGGAAATTTTATTTTGCTTGAATGGGCATGTGACAGTATCACTCTGAAATGATGGTGCTGGTGCTGGCATATTGCATCTGGAAGAGATGTAATGAGTATTATTGTATTTCTTTGGAAATAGATCATTATGCAAAAATTATCTCTTGGAATAAAATTTCTTATGTTTGGTAATAGTCCAAGAGAGAAAGTTTTAAATTCCAAGCATGAATATTATCCCAATGTGAGTTATTAATTAGAAGGCAAGTTTTCCTCATAAGCATTCTGAGTTTAAATATGTTATTTACAAGTATAATAGGCAAATGAAACCATTTAAAAATTAACTGAATGTGTCTCTCCAATTCTATCCTAGCTTGATTCTCTCATGCTTATTTCACCCCCATGGGAGTCCACAGCAAGACCTTGCTCTTTGACATTTCATTTAGTTTCAAAAATCGGCTAAAAGGGAATCAAATCTATGTATTCATACATATGAATGACATGTTTCAGACCACCCAGTTTAGACTGTTATGTTCTTTCTCAACATTCATGACTCCAGTCAGGCTCATGTTGGATATGCCCAAGTTCAGTTTGATTGAAAGTAGCATGAATATAGAAGGAATAGAATTGCAGAAGGGGAGTGTTGAGTCTGGATTTCCTATTACAACTTGAAAAATGAAAATTTGATTGTCTAGGATGCTTCTGAAAACTTCCCACCAAAATATATCTAAATAGAACTGGAGTGTGAATTGGTAACATGAAGTGCAGATGTTTACTCCAAGTGCAAAATCTCCTTGAAGACCTTATTTTGAAATTCAGCTTTTACACTCTATAATATATGCTTGGTTGAATGTAAAAACATTGTTATAGCACAAATACCAGTTAAAACCATTGCAGTCTCATCCAAATCATTTATAACAATCAACATTCAAGACTTGAGCACCAGAACAGGAGAGAGGACGAGCTCCTGGGTTGAACTATGCTTAAGAAAGAGAGTAAAGACTCGTGAAAGGCAATCAGAGAGATAAGGGGCAAAATTGAGAATGGTTTACCAGAAGACAAGAGAAGAGACCAGTCAACAATATCAGATAAGTCAGAGAAAGTGAGGAAGGCATGGACATGAGCTGACATGAGGCCACTGAACTTGATGATGGAGATATCATTAGGGCTTGTAGAGACAGACAGCTGTTTCTGAAGAATGATTCGGGAGAGAGAAATGTCAATGGGTTATAGAAGAGGTGGAGACTAGTTGGCCCCTTTCTAGTGAGGGTTGAAGATGCGAAGGAGGCAAACAGGAGAGAAAGGAGAGAGAGCCAATTATTTGCATTTTTATATTTGTAGCAAACAATTAGAAAAGGTGAAGATAAATCATCATTGATAATAGTCTAGTATCATATCAAATACCAGGAAAACGTCTAGCAAAAATATGCAGGATATTTACCAATATATTGATCTCTCCCTAGATTCATGTATCAGTATTCTCAGTGTTCTTTATTTAAATTGATAAGATGATTCTAAAATTTATATAGAAGATATATTCATAAAGAATAATAAAATGATGAGGACAAGGAAGGCAAGAAATTTTTTGGTTACTTTTAGTTTCTCCATAGAGAAAAAGACCATGTCACCTCCTGGGAAGGTGGGGAGGGAAGTGCCTGTCTTTTTCCACCTGCAGTAATAACCCACCTCCCTTACTGATATGTGTCGAGGACATCTTGAGACATCGTCCAACTCCTCAGGCATTTTCTCCATTGAATATAGTCACCATAAGACAGTGCACCAAAATAGATGAGGGTATAGTCATGGGAGCTTGTTTTCTTGAGAAGGTGAGTCAGGAAGCTCCCAGGACAGAAGACCTCCCGGGGAGATGTCCCAGTACAATCCAGGGTCAATAGTCTCAACTACTCGGGAATCACCATCTGATGTGGCCAAATGAGGCTTTTAGATGAAAGGGTAGTCATAAGCATTGAGAAAAATGCATTAGAGCTCCATGTGAAAAACAAATCCTTTCTCTGGTGTGGTTTGGGTTTGGCAGCATAGTTATTAGAAATTCTGTCTGGGGCTTCTGTTCTTTCCTGCTCTAGGCCCTTCAGCATATGAAACCAGCATACCAGATGACCACGTATGATCCAGTGTTGTCAAAGGAGAAGCTGAGGAGGTGTTAGACTTCTTGGTTGCAAGTGGTGGCTGGGCTGCTACTGGACGTGCTGAGTGTGGTTCAACACCATCTGATGGTGTCATGATGATACGGGAGGACGGCAGGGAAGTGCTGGGAGGAGAAGGTCCCTGGTGAGGGCTCCAGCCCTGGGCCTGGGCCCAGGGACATAGGTAAGGACAGGCACTCCTGCCTTAGCGTCCAAATGTTGCATTTCCCAAGACCACCCTGGCCCGCCATGCCCCATCCTGTACCTGTGAAAACCCCGAGACCTTAGTGGGCACAGACACAAGCAGCTGGACATTGACAGGAACACACCGGCGGAAGAAGACACAAGCGGCTGGATGTCGAGAGGAACGTACCGGCGTAAGAGCACATTGACAGCCCCAGCAGACTGGCAGGCCATCAACTGGCAGAACGACACTAAGTTTGGCCAGGGTGGTCGGAGGAGAGCCTGGCCCTGAGTGGACCGACTCGAGGGGAAAACCACCTTCCCACTCCATCTCCCTTCTGGCTCCCCCATGGGCTGAGGGCTACTTCCACTGAATAAAACCTTGCACTCATTCTCCAAGCCCATGTGTGATCTAATTCTCCTGGTACACCAAGGCAAGAACCCCGGGATACAGAAAGCTCTCTGTCCTTGCGATAAGCCAGAGTGTCTAATTGAGCTGGTTAACACCAGCCGCCCACCGACGGCAAAACTAAAAGAGCACTCTGTAACACACGCCCACTGGGGCTTCAGGAGCTGTAAACATCCACCCCTAGACACTGCCGTGGGGTTGGAGCCCCACAACCTGCCGGTCTGCATGCTCCCCTCTAGAGGTTTGAGCAGCCGGGCACCGAAAAAGCGAGCCACACCCGCTGTCGCACGCCTTGCCAGGGGGACAAGGGAACTTTTCCTTTCAGTGAGGCCAAGATTTCTTTTGTTCTTTAGCCAATTAATTTGCTTAATATTAGATAATAATGCTATGTAAACCTGATAATGTTAGAATAATCTATTCGTACAGTTGAAAAATAACACAGGTAGGATAGATCTTTGTTGCTCATATGTCCATTGTGTTGCTCCGCTTGCAGTGCTGACTATTCCCTCTCAAGCTCTGATCGTGCTCAATCTCAGCACATTTGCCTCATTCTCATTTTTTGTCTTCTGGTAGATATGTTTTTGGCGAACCATATTTTACTCATCCCTTCGCCCTAATAACTAATATAAACCCTGTCCCAGACTGTGCTTAATAAATCTTGCTGAATGGCTGAATGAATGAATGAAATCCAAAGCTCAGTACTGAGAACCAGCGGCTGTAATTTAACAAGCTTCTGACTTAAAAAGACTCTCTTCTCTCTGTCCTGTTCAAAGTCATGGTTTTAAAACATCTATATTCTTTATACCTCTGTCCTCCCTCCAAAATCTTGCAGAGAGGAAGGTGGGAGGACAGATAATGGATATTTTCTTTGCTCTGTGAAATGGGTCAGACTCTCACTGGGCACACAGGCAATCCCAAGACCTTTCAATCACCCCATAACTATTACCAGGCATGGGAAATACCAGTGTGGACTTGCCACACACTCCACTTAATGTATGCATTCCATGAACACTTGCCATGAGCCCAGCTTCTTGCTCGGTTCAAGGAATACAAAGCTGAATAGTGGCGGCCTTCCCACTGAGACCTCCTCAAATCTCTCCTACAAAGCAACGACAGCTTTCTCATAAAGAACAGCAGAAACTGTGTGTATGGGAGTATGAGAGAGGGAGTCATAGGGGGAGAAAAAGTTTCTGATGGAGTTTTGATAGGTGGCAAGAAGAGGAAAAAAACTCCCTCCCCAAAATGCAGAGGCAAAGAGGAGCCTCATGCTAGGGGGTGGTTAGGGAGTAATTTTACAGTTTTTAAAGATAATTTTAGAAAGACTACCATGGCAAAGTGGCTAGGGCATAAAGCAGTGGGAAGAGAGTGGAGACAACTATACTTCCCCTGAAGGTGTGTGTGTGTGTGTGTGTGTGTGTGTCTGTGTATAAGGGTGGGAGCAATTCCTTGATTCTTTCAGTTCATTCACTTCTCAGCTAAAAAACTTCTGTTTCTAGTTTTGTATTTTTGTATCCTCAGGTGAGGTTTCTGCAAGTCAAACCCTTATGGCTGAATTTTATGTTTGAATACATTTTTCCATTGGGCACAGCTAGTAGCTGCATCTTGATGTCTACTTTCATTGAGAATCATAACTGTATTAGAAGAAGGAAGACATTTTTATTTTTGTAGCAAACAATTAGAAAAGGTGAAGATAATATATATATTTAAAGTGGATGTATTTATATATATTTAAAGTGGATACCATTTAAATATTTGGATACTTATATTTATATTTAAATAAGTGGATACCATTATATATATTTAAAGTGGATACCATCAGGCTCATACACGTAGGAGGCTCTCAATAAACTTGATGGTGGTTTAACCAAGTCTAAAGTTCTTGGTACACAACTGCACAAGTGAGACTCAGAACAGTGAAGTAGGTCCCCTAAATTGACTTAGTCAGCCAGTCCCAGTGCTAGCTAGTGTAAAAATCCAGGACATCCAAATCCAAGGCTTTCAATACCTCATGTCTTTATATTATTTATTTATTCATAGGTATTTATTAAACACCTTTTATGTGCCAGGCATTATGCTTATTCATAATTTTTTGGCATTGATCCAGGCCGCAATCAGAATGAAAGCACAATAAAAAGCCACAACTTAATTATCTTATTTTTCAGGGGCCTAGTCTTACATTCATTACATCCCCACATAATCTCCAAGAGAGATTTTTTTGCTGGCATTCTTCACCATCATTCAACTGTAGCAGTGTGAAGGCAGCTATTAGTGCACAGGTTTCTGTGGTTATTTGACATAAAATAAATGTCAGCTTTGTAATCTTAGTCCTTATGAAACAAGTGTTAACTAAATGGAGTGAGAACAACTCACATTTAAATTGCTTCTATTGTCCAATCCTTCAAAGGTAAAATGAACTCCTCCAAGTCACCATCAATGTTCTCATCAATAAGCAGACACTCCAACTGGGTATGCAGGGAAGATCTCTGGGTCTTTTAAAGACAAAATAACACACACTAATGAGTTAGAGAAACATATTGGTTTGTGACTCAAAAATGTGATTTGTTATCAGAAGAAATAACAACTAAAGCTGAGTTACTACCTATTCTGCAAACACGATTGCTCCCAGGAGTGACTTTCTGAAGTTCCAAGAATTAGAGGACTGCTTATCAAATTAAATAAAAATTAAATATGTTTACAATTTGTTTTCATGCATCCCAGAGTCTTTTTACTATTCTGTTGGCCTTTCTTTCTCTTCCCATGTCCATATAAGAGTTCGAAAACTCTACTGCAGATTTCAGCTAGCAATTGTATTTTAATCAAGTGTGAGAACAATTCTCTAACTTGCTACAGTTCAGAATCTTTTTCTACCAACCAAATGAAGAATGAGTTTGCTCAGGCTGTTACAGGGCATCATGAGTGGCCCCAAGTGATTCAAAGACCACCTTTGAATTGGTGTTGGTGTTTGGGCCTCTGGCTTCATCCCTTACCATGGGTGACCCTCAACCAGCCATTGGTGTGGCCAAGTCCTCAGCATCCTTGCTTCCGAATGGGAACGGATGCCTCTTGGGTTGTAGGAGAGTCTGTTAACTGTCAGCACTCTGAGTGAGCTGGGCCCTGCCATCACGTCTCTCCTCCCCACTGTGCCTGCCCCCCAGGGCCTCCACAATAGGCCCCTTGGTGCCTGCAGGGCCATCACTGAACTCAGCAGAGCACAGACACAGAGTTTATGCTTCATGAGGGATGCAGGAAGGTCAGTGGCACTGAGGAAAGTTAGGGTCACAAAATGTTTTAAATGGACTGCAGCCATAGCCAAGACCTGACCAGAAGGCTGTGGCCAGGCTTCTTGCTCCCGATGCAGCCCCTTCAGGTGAGGCAGAGGACGCAGTGGCTCAACACTGGGCCAGAGCCCAGAAACACAAGCCTTATTTTGGCTCTACTGGTCCCCATTGCATTTTTTTTCTCCTGTCCTCTGGCCTTCACAGCTGGGGTCACGAAGGCCCGAAGTGGCCATGGCGAGGTCGGTCCTGTGTTAATCCTGCCTTGCAGGAGTGGAGGGTTTCTCAACCTCAGCAGCAGGGACATTTGGGGCAGGGTAACTTTACTGTGGGAGGCTGCCCTGTGCATTGTAGGCTGTTAACAGCATCCCTGAGAAACACTCCCTGGATACCAGTAGCACTTCCCCAGTTGTGATGACCAAGAATGTCTCTGGTCATTGCCAGGTGTCTGCTGGGATTGGCCCTGGGTCAGAATCACGTTAGGCATGATGAACGTGACTAGTCCTGTACTGCCTCCTGTGCAAATCTGCTTTCGCACATTTGCCTGCTACTCCAGCCACATTAAACTTCCACTGGTCTCCAAATGCAGGGGCCATGGCACACCGCTGGCTCTTTACGCCTGCGTTTTCTTCCACAGGACTTTCCTATCTTCCTGGTCTGTTTGGAAAACTCATTCTGACTTGATAAGCCCCTCAAGGGTGTCTCCACAAACATTCCCCTGATCAGCTCAAACAGAATCAGTGGCTTCTTCCCTTGTATAATATTCCATTAGCCCACAGTGATCCATCATCCCGCAAGGGAAGCCTGCCATGGAGTTCCTGTCCCAATGGAAACAGAGGTCCTATGCCATTTCACTAGAGTGTGTTGTGTCCTATGAGAGGAGGGTTCCAGTGCTCCAGGACCCTAACAGTGAGGGTCTCTCTATGTCAGGGACCAGTGCAGGCCTCCTAAGGCAATGACAGCCCAGGGAGATGTGAAAGTGAACAGTGGTTGTTCAAAAGAACAGCAAGCATGGAAACACTGTGCTCTTGCAGCAGGGACTCATTTAAATCGTTCACATAGAAAATCCAAGTTTACTGAGCACCAAATATATTCCAGATTCCAAGTGCAGTGTGCATGGGAAGCAAGCCCTAACCTTGACCCTGAGGCGCTCATACGAAATGAGACCTGCCTATGCCTTGCTGTGTCCTTTGTCTGCCCTGGCTTGTTTCACTGCTTGGGGATGGGGGCTCCGGTCATAGCCATGCTGGCCATATGGAAACAGTGCCAAGGATGGTCTGTGTTTCTGGTTTCACTCACCAGAGGCTTGAGGGTCCCTTTAGCATGTGATTTTCATCTCTGGGAGGGAAATCTGGGCTGGCAAACAATTTAGAAGTCGTGGGGTTGAATAATACTGCTGAGAGAGAAGGAAGTAATGTCAAGAATAGATTCACAGGAGTTGGTATTCTTTTTGAGGCTCGTTCTTTCCCACCCCCTTCTACTTTCTGGCCACTGCTATGGACCAAATGTTTGTGTCCTTACAAAATTCACATTTGAAGCCGTACCCACCAATATGATGATATCAGGAGGTGAGGCTTATAGGAAGTAATTATTTCCTGAAGGTGGAGTCCTCATGAATGAGATTAGTGCCCTTATAAAAAGAGACACAAGAGACATGATCTCTCTCTCCATTGTGTGAGGGCTCAGTGAAAAGGTGGCCTTCTATAAACTGGGCAGGGAGCCCTCACTAGGAACCGAGTTATCCAATACCTTGATCTTGAACTTCCAGCCTCCCAAACTGTAAAGAATAAATTTCTGTCGTTGAAGTTACCCACTCTGTGATGTTTTGTTATAGCAACCTGAGCTGGCTAAGACACCCACTGGAATCACAGTTTAATTGAATATGGTAGTTGGATAAAATTTGTAAATCATAAAAATGTGCCACCTACTTGGTGTGTATTTTCACATGCTTTTTACAGAAATCCTGTAATGCAGAAAATTTCCCCTTTCAAGTGAAGAAATTGACAGCACAGTGATGAACTTTCTCTAGGGGTCACAGCCAAGAATTGGTGGACTCTGCATTCAAACCTTTTGCTTAGGGCTGCCCCCCCCTGCCTGAGTCCCAGCAGAGGTCAGAGACACCTGCAGGTGGCCTGAACAGGGGAGCAGGCTTGTCACAAGGGAGCAGCTTTGGGTTTAGCAGTTACGATGCAGCCACTGGGAACTTCTGCTCATCTGGCCTGACTGGTTGGCTGAAATGGCTCTATCCTTGATGAAAACCTGTTGGAAGGAAATAGGAATACAGAGGACATTGCCAAAGACCCCTAAATTTGCTGCTCCTCATCCCTTGCGTGGGAATGGACTGAACCTTGATATGTTGCAGTCTCACCCCTGGAGAGAAGAATTTCTCAACTCCTATGGGCCCAGGACTCCCAGGGAGAAGAGCATCTGGGCCTGATGTCTCTCATGGCAGGCACTCGTGTGCGAGTCTGTGGTTACACCCACCCACACCTTCCATGTCACCTGACAAAGGTGCGCTTTCTAGTAACTCATTGCAAAATTTATGGGAAAGGAAAAACATCTAGTCTGATGTGAGATGGATAAGTTGGTTTAATAAGTATGGGTTATGGAATCATAATAATGGGGAAAGAAAAAAGACAAAAATAAGATTAGGGCACCTGGAGTTTAAATGCAAGTAAGAATAAAAGCAAGATAATTAAAAAGTCATATGTTTTCTCAAAGCTTTGGTCTGTGTCCTGGTGTTTTCAAGGAAGCTGAAGGTACCCTGATCAGTCGGGGGCACACCAGGACAGAGCCAACACACAATGATTCTAGGAGAGACTGCTATGCCTCAGACTGCTTTCATAGCCAGACAGTGGCCCCTTGAGTGTGGGTTGAGTGTGGACTCAGTCTTCCTTTCTGCAGGGCTTGGGGGAAAACCAGGCCTAATATCCAACAAAGAACATTAACTCAGCTAGTGAAAAATGGAAGTGACCTCACCACATGCCGTATTATGAAAGTAGCTATTTTTTAAATAGCTCAACTGCACAAATGCCAAGGCTTGGATCCCTCTCTTAAAGTCTTATAGAGGCCTTGTAACCAACTCCTGGCTAATCTTGGCTGATAGTTGCTGCTTTCCATCTGCCGAGCTGTCAGGGGATTGTTTCCTTTGTTAAAACTCACAGGGTGAGGTGGAGAAGAACAACCGTTCATATTTCTGTACTTTGTGTGTGCTCCCTTCTCCCCCTGGAACATTCTCTGTTATTTGTCACTTGGCAAATTCTCATTCTTATGCACCACCATCTGCATCTCCAACTGAATCATCTCATCCTCAATGCACTTGCTCCCTTTTTATTCTATTAATACAATGTTTGGTGCAGCCCCATGGTCATTATCATTTGTGCTCTAATTCTGCATTCATGTACATCTTTACTAATAAAAATAGAGAACATCGATCCAGAACTTGCTATGTACCGGGCGCAGTGCTAAGCATATTGTTCGTATTATTTTACCTAATTCTTGCAACAATATTTTCAGGCAGCGCTATCCACATTGTCACCACTTGACAGAGGAGAAATTGACAGCTAGGTATGCACTTGCCAAGGGTCACACATATGGAAGGGTCAGAGCCAGAATTTAAACCCAAGCAGTCAATGATCTCACTTATATTTGAAATGGAAATAAATGGAACTCACAGACACAGATAGTAGAATGGTAGTTGCCAGGGGCTGGGGTTGGGGCTGGGGCTGGGGAGATGTTGGTCAAAGGGTACCAAGTTGCAGTTATAAGACGAATAAGTGCTGGGGAATCGAATGTACAGCATGGTGACTATGGTTAATAATAATGTATTGTATGCTTGAAATTTGCTAAGAGAGTAGATCTTAAGTGTTCCCACCAACCCCCACCCCACACAAAAGGCAACTGTGTGAGGTTATGGATATGTTAAGTAGCTTGGTCGTAGTGATCAATTCACAGTGTGTACATATATCAAATCATCACATATATGCCTTCAATATATACTGTTTCCTTCTGTCAATTGGATCTCAATTGGGCTGGGAAAAATAAAACAAACCCAGGCAGTCTGGCTCTAGAGGCGCGATGCTTTCCTGCCATCCTGCCTGCTCCCAGGACTCTGTGCTCCCAGAGCCCAAGGCGGGTTCAGGCCTTACCCGTCTTTGCATTCACACCCCCTCCCCTCTCTCATAAAGACCCTGGTCATCCATCCTTGGATTCACTCCTGCACCTCTTTCAAACATGGAGGGACATAGAGAATTATGTAGTTGAGAAGCACCTGGCCCCTGTGTGCTTTGATGTCCACGCAGTGATGACTTCTCATTTTATGGTGTGGGCCAAGAGAATCAATCCCAATCTTCTTTAAGTAGTTCCCCAGCCTCTTGTTTGCAGGACCAGCAAGAGAATGGGCCAGCAGGCCACTTTGTGTATCTTTCTGACGGGCTGTGTGTGAGATAGCTGGTCCTCACTAGCCTGAAAACCTGAGGGAGGAAGAGTGCTACATCCCAGCTGTGCCCCTGGTGCCCACCTTGTAGGAGAGCCCTAGGGAAGCTGCTTCCTGCTGGTATTGCACATCCACAGCCCATTACTGAGAGAAGAGATTGTAGCAGACTGAAGTTTGCCAATGTGAAATCACAGGGTGGGAAAGCAAGATGTCCGTCACTGATTAAATTTAAAATAACAACAACAATAGTAATAATAGTAAAAAGTGGCTGGATGCTTCTATGCTTTATGTGCTGTGCCTAGGGCCTGCCATAGATCATTTGCTCTTCATAGCAACTCTGGGCTATGTCATATTGCTCCCATTTATAGATGAGAAAACTGAGGTTTAGAGATTAAGTAACTTGTCATTGGTTAACAGGTTAGTGGGTGGTTGGTCTGATCTTAAATCTTATTTTTTAGAAAAATTGGAAAATATCTTCCTTCATGCTTTTAGTCCATTTGGGCTGCTAAAACAAATTACTATAAATGGGGTGGTTTATAAACAACAGAAATGTATTTCTTACAGCTCTGAAGACTGAGAAGTTCAAGATCAAGACACTAGCAGATTTAGCATCTGGCAAGGACTCCTAGCCTTCTCGCTGTGTTGTCCCATGGTGGAAGGGGTGAGGAAGCTCTCTGGGGTCTCTTTTATAAGGATGTTGACCCATTCATGAGGCTCCATCCTCACGACTTAATCACCCCCAGAGGCCCCACCTTCTAATGCCATCACCTGGGGAGTAAGGATGTTAATATATGAATTCTGGGGGGACACAGACATCCAGAACACAGTACATTCCTTCTATAAGTCCTGAGCCTGGGCCTGGCAGACGCTGAAGCATACATATCTGTCCTTGAGAGAGCTCCAGCCAAGGAGCACAGCAGGGTAAGGTTCCTGGAAGGCTGTTGTCAGTGGACAGGTACACAGGTTAGGACAGATCTGGGAGAGAGGAAGGGCCCAGGAGATACTGAAGTGATGCCTCCAGGTGTAAGGCCTGGGGGGGCCAGGTGGAGACAGGTGGCAGAGAGACTGGGAAGGAGGCAGAGCCAAAGCCTCTGTCTGGATGAGGCTTAAGAACGAACAGAGCAACGGGGCAAGAAGGACAGGCAGTGGCCACCCAAGAAGGACGGCAGAGTTCTGAATTTCATGAATGGGGCAGCCCTGAGATGAGAAGAGGCTGAAAGCAGAGGTTGGAAGTTGAGAATCAGGGCCTATTTATTTAGTTGGGACCACAGCACACTTTTACTGCTGTCTAGGTTGTTTTGCCTTTTAATGGAACCAGGCTTGAATAAACAGGTTTTGTGTACAAAAGAGTCTGGATAACTCTTCTTTAGTAAGCCAGAAGATCAGTCCTTGTGGGCTCCTTCACATGGGGCAGCAGTTGGCAGAAGGGTCCTTGCTCACAACTCTCCCCTCCCCGGAGATCACAGTTTCTGCCTCCTGGGCTATGTTCAACCTGCAGTGCACTCCTCACCCAATGGGAGGGACTAATCAATCTGTTTGGGCTGCGGATACTTCAAATTGTAATTTCTGCCCTGAGGCATGGGGGTTTCTAAAGTCTTAACGGAGGGGAATAAAGATCATTGTAGGTGAGACAATCCAGGGACATGTCCTGGGGATCTTGGCTGTGTCACCTGCACTGATACTGAATTCCCCTAGAATGCGGGCAGGAGCTGGGGAGGTGATCCCAATACCTCACTTAATGTGGGGTGGGTGATTTGGATTGACATAGGTGGCCAGGATGGATTGAGGGTGAACCACCACATGCCATGCGCTTCAAGGGACATATCATTTTTTTCATGCAGATGAAAAAGCAAAGCCATTTCACAGTTTACATTCTACTCAAATACAAAAAGAAAAATAAATAGATTTGCTGGCGATCAGGAGTTTAATTGGCTAGTGGGGTCACAATGTGTATAAACACTACAGTTGTTTTGTTCCTTTGGATTTTGGGTTACAAACTGCAGTTTGCTTATTTTAGGGACTTTTAGGGATTTTCCAAGGCCAAAGTTGTGTATGAGCCAATCATATGACAATTGTTCTCTCTTTATCATTCTTAAAAATCATTTAATAGAAAAGTAGAGAGCAGACTTAGGAATATAATAAAATTTGGCTCCTTTAAATTGAATACATATTTTCTGAACCTCAAATAGATAATTTCCAGAAAAGAATGGCTATAATAAGGCATTTATTGTTACAAAATTAGGTGGACCAAGAGGTTACTTATAATATTTATGAGAAGTAGCTCAGTCACGAATGGTTTCATGCCACTGGTAATATTAGGTAACTTTTTCAGTCCTGACCCAAGTATCAATCACTTCTCTGCTCCATCACCCTAGTCCCCACCAGCTCTGTGAGACAAGTGAGGGAGGGTTCTAGGTATCCCCAGTTTGCAGCAGAGGATATTGAGTTCTGATGAGGTGTTTTTCATGTGCACTCTATAAAACTGTGCCACTGCTTGGCATTGCGACGAACTCCATTCTCTTGAGCTCATAGTACGCTTAGTTAATGAGCTGAGAAGTGGAAAAGTGTGTTGAATCAGGACAGGATGATGCTGGGGAGCCGAACAGGGTGATGCAGCCCCGTGGCAGGTGTGTGGGGTGAGCCAGCCCACACCTGCCATGCCCTGATTCTTCATGTCTGTGTCCTTTCTCCAGAGCTACAGCTCACATTTGCAGTTGGCCTAAATAAAGTAACACAAGTTAGAATGCGTCAGGTCCATAGCTTTACCTGAAGGGAGCTTACAGGGAGTTCCAAGGCAGGGAAGCCTTGTTTCGTTCTCCAAACTCATTCTCACAGTTTTGTTGTCATAGGAGTTGATCTCTCAACCATGCACTTCCTGTGTGTGCAGACTCAACATTTCCTAAACTGAACTCTTTTGGAGATGGTGTTCACTTGAGCTTCCAGAATTATCTCCCAGAAACCCTATGTCCAGGGGCCAGCCAGTTGTCTCCTCTAGACTCCTAGACAGCTGCCCTGATCTTGCCAGCCCTAGATCATTCCTCATAGATGGATCAAGATGATGCCTTTGCCGTCTCTGCAACAGAAGCTCCTACTTCTCACTTCAGACAAAAGTCCTAGAGTCAGCTGGTGATCCTCAGCCTCTGGAGACATCAGTGGTTCTGACACTTTTCTACAGCAGTATCCCCACTGAGAGGTGAGCAGGCATAATGTGCCATTTTGGGTTTTTACCCTTAAGGTCTGGGCCTCACGCATTATGTTGCTCTGAAGCTCAGTGTTTTGAATTTTTAAAATCCCATGTTACTACAAAGCATATGCATGTTTGATTCAAAATGTAAATTTATTTCTATTTGCAATATTGGGAAACTAAGTAATTCAGATGGGTCCTCCTGGGCAAAATATAAGAAACACTTGGCCGGGCTCGGTGGCTCATGCCTGTAATCCCAGAACTTTGGGAAGCCAAGGCAGGCGGATCATGAGATCATGAGTTTGAGACCAGCCTGGCCAACATGGTGAAACCCCATCTCTACTATAAATACAAAAATTAGTTGGGCGTGTTGGCAGGCACCTGTAATCCCAGCTACTCGGAGGCTGAAGCAGGAGAATCATTTGAACCCGGGAGGTGGAGGTTGCAGTGAGCCGAGATCATGCCATTGCACTCCAGCCTGGGTGACAGGGCAAGACTCCATCTCAAAAAAACAAAAAACAAAAAACAACAAAACAAAACAAAACAAAACAAACAAACCAAATCAACCAACCAAACAAAAAAACACTTTATGAAAGGCACTGGAGGACTAATAAATCAGTGGAGAATAGAAAGCCAGCACCCAGGGAAGAAGTAGACAAGGAAGGTGAGCTGGAGTTAGGGATGTTTTTCCTCTTCAGTTTCTGTCAATTCTAGAAGGGCTGGAGGGTGGAGGTGGTGAAGAGCCTGACCATGGCTGGGCACTCCTCCAACCCCAAGCTTGGGGTGAGCTCTGAAAGTCTGGGCCTTAGGGGTGAGGGCAAACTCAAAATGGTCCAGTTATCCCTGGGACTGAAACTCGTCTTTGAATCATCTCAATCCTTGATTGAAGTAAAAGTGTCTGCAGGTTGCTAGCATGCTGGCCACCTGCCAGAAGTGGAGGCAAATAATATCTGAGAAAGGAGATTATTGTACAGTCTTTCATATACAATGATAGTCACTCAATCATAAACAACCAGGTATAAGCAGGCAGAAAACTATGAGATCTAAAAGAAAAAAAGACATCACAGAAAAGAGCAAAAGTCATACAGGGAACTTATGGAATGTTATCTTAATATATTGACTAAAAATAACTATGCTAATATGCTCAAGAAAATAAAAAACAAAACTGAGAACAGAATATTTGAAGAAAGTCCCAAGGGGACATTCTGTTATTTAACAAATCCAGAAGAAAAACTAACTCAAAGGATGAGCTTAGCAATACGTTAGATACAGTTTGAGCAAAAAAGGACTAAAAAGTAGAGAAAAGAACATGGGAGACATACTGGTTATGTGAAAAAGATCTAACATACTTGTAATGGGACTCACACAATGAAGGGAGAGAGAGATAGGAAAGATAAATAGGAGAGGGGAAGTGCCAGAGGGAGAGTGGGAGAGAAAGAATGCCTACAATAAATGTAAGAATCACAAGAGACTACTTTGCTTGCATCTATGCAAGTACAATTGGAAATTTTGGTGAAATTGATCATTTTTTGGAAAACGGAGTTTACCAAAATCAATTCCAACAGTAATGGAATGTTTAAACAGGCTCATCTCCACAGTAAACTACAGAAAATTATCAAGGAATATTTTGCCTAAAAACATCAGGCCTGGATAGTCTTTCAGGGGAATTCAACCAAACTTGTAGAAACCAGAAATGCTCAAAATCCCTGTGAAGAAAAATGGGAAACGCTCTTGAAAAATAGAAAACAGATTTGAAAAACAGACATCATTGTATTTTCCTGTGATGTGGAAATATCATAAAAATGTCACTCCCTGTTTCTTTATAAATTTAATGTAATCCCAACAAAAATACCAATAAGCTTTTGTCCCTGGACTTAGGCAAGTTGATACTAACATTTGTATTGAAAAATAAATACACTTGAATAACTAGGCAAGTACTGAAAGAGAAGAATTATAAGGGATTATTACTTCACCAAACATTACTACAAAGCCACAGAATGAAAATGTCATGACACTGGTGCATGCAGAGTGGCAGACTGGTGGGTAAGACTGAAAACTGTAGACACTGGTCCAATTACACATGGACATTCAGAATGTGACAATTGTGGCATGTCAAATTACTGGACAAAATTGAACCACTTCATTAATGGTGCTGGGCCAGTAGGACAGTCATTAGGAAACAGATAAAATTATATCCATTCTTCATTCTATACATATGAGATGAACTCCAAAAGTTTCAGAGATAATAATATGAGTGAAAAGATACAATAAAAGAAAATAATGTGTGAAAAACTTCAAAACCTCAGCATAGGGAAAGACTTTCTATCAATAACTTAACCCACAGGCAACAGAACAGTGAGGGTTTAATTAATTTGACTTCTTACAAAGAAAAATGTGTTCATGGCAAATGATATCAA
The DNA here is from genome assembly GCF_000001405.40 of Homo sapiens. NCBI lineage: Eukaryota > Metazoa > Chordata > Mammalia > Primates > Hominidae > Homo > Homo sapiens. The sequence continues at coordinate 47,112,663 of NC_000007.14, read as the reverse complement.
GAATACTCTTGAATCAATCTTTATAATATATATCACAGATAAGGAAACTAATATCCCTGATGTATAAAGGACATTTTAAAATTGTGAAAAAAATCTAAAAGTCCTATAAAATGGGCAAGATATATATATATATATATCACATCACAAGAGACTACTTTGCTTGCATCTATGCAAGTACAATTGGAAATTTTGGTGAATTTGATCATTTTTTGGAAAACAGAGTTTACCAAAATCAATTCCAACAGTAATGGAATGTTTAAACAGGCCTATCTCCACAGTAAACTAGAGAAAATTATCAAGGAATATTTTGCATAAAAACATCAGGCCTGGATAGTCTTGTATGTGTGTGTGTGTGTGTGTGTGTGTGTGTATATATACACATATATATTTATATGTATATATGTATATATAGATATACACATATCTCTATAGATATATAGATATACACATATCTCTATAGATATATAGATATACACATCTCTCTATAGATATATAGATATACACATCTCTCTATAGATATATAGATATACACATCTCTCTATAGATATATAGATATACACATCTCTCTATAGATATATAGATATACACATCTCTCTATAGATATATAGATATACACATCTCTCTATAGATATATAGATATACACATCTCTCTATAGATATATAGATATACACATCTCTCTATAGATATATAGATATACACATCTCTCTATAGATATATAGATATACACATCTCTCTATAGATATATAGATATACACATCTCTCTATAGATATATAGATATACACATCTCTCTATAGATATATAGATATACACATCTCTCTATAGATATATAGATATACACATCTCTCTATAGATATATAGATATACACATCTCTCTATAGATATATAGATATACATATCTCTATAGATATATAGATATACATATATATCTATAGATATATAGATATACATATATATCTATAGATATATAGATATACATATATATCTATAGATATATAGATATACATATATATCTATAGATATATAGATATACATATATATCTATAGATATATAGATATACATATATATCTATAGATATATAGATATACATATATATCTATAGATATATAGATCCATACATATACATACATACATATATATCTATAGTTATATAGATATACATATATATGTATATGTATATATACAGTTGATGTAAAACTAGATTTTTTAAAACATGAGAAGATGCTCAAACTTCATGCATATTAAGAGAAATGTACATTATAACAATACCAATGCACAACTGCACAGATAGGCAAGATTTCAAAAGCTTGACAATAAATTGTTAGCAAGTCTCTAGTGAAGTGGGTACTCTTATACTTTACTGGTGGAAAAGCTAAGTGAACAACGCTTATGGAGGGGGATTTGGCAATATGTAAAAAAGAAAAAATATGTATTTATCCTTTGATCCAGCACTCCGATTTCTAGAAATGCACCCTAAAAACATACCTTTAACAATACAAAAGTACATATGAACAGATTATTAAAAGCATTGCTTGTATTGCAAAATACTGGAAATTACCTAAATGTCCAAATATAGAAGAGTAGCTAAAAAATGGCACTTACACAAAAAGAAAAATACGCAGTTGGATAAGAGAATAAGAATGATCTCTATGAATGACTTCATAGTGTTTTCTGAGAGATACTGTTAATTAAAATAGGCAAAGTGTCAAAGACTACATATAGTATGCTACCTTTGTAAAGAAAGAGAGAGAAATTATAAAATATACGATATATTCCAATTTTAACAAAACACTGGAAGGATAAACCAGAAAACAAGACAATTGATTATTAAAAGATGTAGGATCAATGGTGTTGAAGGGCCAGAGTAGAGTTAATTTTCTAGGTATGTCATCGAGTTTTGAGTTTGGGAAATATGTTAATATTCCATATATTCCAAAAGTACATTAAATTGACAATTTTAAGAAAAAATAAAAATGAATGCAAATAGAAATAAATGAATGCAACTCTACTTCATAATCTCAGTAAAGGAGAAACATCAATTGCAAATAACTCAAAGATGGTAGTTTGATTACAAGACTGTATTCTTCAGAATAAAACCTTTAATCAAATCTTGCGCTCTCAGTAGTAGGTTTATGTTTTGCATGACGTGTTTATAGCAATTCTGAAACTATTTTAATGTAGATTAGAGCAAATGATTACAAGTGTTAATATTTTTGGGAGTCAGAGTTCTCATTATAAATTGCTCAAAATTGGCCAAGGGCAGATGGATATCATGCATCTTTGGATCAGGATACCCTGAGAAGATATGAAATATCTTATCTGTATTGTTCAAATTGTCAATCTTATGACAAGAAACTATTCTAGATTAAAGAAGACCAAAGACAAAAGATAAATGGGATATGGCATTGCAGACTGAATCCTGTGGTGGGGGAAAATATGCTATAAAGGATAATTGACAATATTAAAATATTAAATGTAGATTATTTAAAATTGTATATCTGTGATAAATTTCCTGAATTTGTAAACTTTATTTTAGCTATGTAAGAAAACATCCTCATTAAAAATATATACTGAGGTATTGAGTTGAGGGGCATAATGAATGCAAGTACCTTTAAATTGCTCATGAAAAAATATCTACAAAGACAAGGAAACAAATAATGATAAAACTAATGTGGCAAAAATGTTTAAAGTAAAAGGAATACAATATTTCTCTGTACTAGTATGCAACTTTTTAGTATGTATGTTTGAAATTTTTTTTTTTTTTTTTTTTTTTTTTGAGACGGAGTCTCGCTCTGTCGCCCAGGCTGGAGTGCAGTGGCGCGATCTCGGCTCACTGCAAGCTCCGCCTCCCGGGTTCACGCCATTCTCCTGCCTCAGCCTCCCAAGTAGCTGGGACTACAGGCGCCCGCCACTACGCCCGGCTAATTTTTTGTATTTTTAGTAGAGACGGGGTTTCACCGTTTTAGCCGGGATGGTCTCGATCTCCTGACCTCGTGATCCGCCCGCCTCGGCCTCCCAAAGTGCTGGGATTACAGGCGTGAGCCACCGCGCCCGGCCTGAAATTATTTTTAAAGTTAAAAAGTTACAGACAGGAAGTAAATTTCTCTTCAACAATGACATAGAAGTCAGGAGAGGTTGCTGTGAACGTGTTCATTTTTATGGCTGAATAGTATTCCATGGTCACTCATAAATGGGAGCTAAGCTATGAGGATGAAAAGGCATAGGAATGATACAATGGACTTTGGGGACTTGGGGGAAAGGGTGACTGGGGGGGTGTGGTGAGGGATAAAAGGCTACACATTGGGTACAGTGTATACTGCTTGGGTGATGGGAGCACCAGAATCTCACAAATCACCACTAAAAAGCTTACTCATGTAACCAAACACCATCTGTTCCCCAAAAAACCTATGGAAAAAAAAGATGTCAGGAGATGATAAATGTCCTTAAATTGTGCAAAGGTCTCTTGCACTATCTGGCAAGTGGTGAGGTACAAATTACTATGAGACTTTTACCAAGTCAAGAATACCTGCTACAATCTCTAGGGTAACCACTAAAAAGATAGAAAAGGATATCTAATTACAAAAATAGTAGAGGTGAAAATGGGATAAAAACCACTCCATCAATTCAAAATAAGGCAAGAAGAGAAACTGAAAGTAAGACAGAGTGGGTGGAAATAGTAATATAAAGCAAATAGTAAGATGGCAGATGTAAAATCAACCATATCAGTAAACACACTAATTATAAATACTCTAAATCTTTAAAATGCCTATCTATGCTTAGATGAAACCTAACTATATGCTGCTTTCTTCTAAGATTGCAAGTAAAAAAATGAAAAATGCTGCAGTCTTGTTGAATACTTGGAAATGGATTGTAGATTCAAATTAGGTAATTTGAGGCGATTTTCATAAAGAAAACATTGATAACTACCGATGTAGTTAATACGCCATACCCGTTTGATTCATTACAATAAAAGACAATTCTATATTAGAAAATCAGTGATTCACCATATTAACGTAATAAAGGAGGAATTATGTATTATCATTTTTATCAATGGAGAAAAAATTTTCATAAAATTCAATAATTGTTTATGATAAAAATCTTAGAAACTAGAGAAAAAATGAAACTTTATTTGATAAAAGAAGCTTACAAAAATTTTACAGCAACCATCAAAGTTACTGGTGAAATGTTCAAAGCTTTCCCTTGGGTACAGGGAGGGAGACAAGGCTGCCTTCTAGCACTGAACTTCTCAACATTTTACTGGGGCCTCTAACAACTGTAGTAAGGCAAGTAAAAGAAACGATAGGTGCATGGATTGAAAAGGAAGAAACAAAGCAATTCTTATTCTGAGATAACACAATTATGGACATAGAAACTCTAGAGGAATCTTCAGGTAAATTATGAGAATTAATAAGTGAACTTAGGAATATTTGCTTCACATCACTGGATAGAAGTCAATATAAGAAAATCAACTACAAAAAGACAAATTAAAATTTAGATAACCTACATAACACCATAAACATACCACTTTCCCAGGAAAAAAATCGGTGATATAAATGTCTCTACACAGAAAACTATAAAATGTGATTGCTATTAACTAATGCATACTAAACAAAATAGGGATGGTCTATATTTATGAATTGGATTATTTTAAAGATTGAAATATTGGAATATTTTGAAGTTATCCACAAGTTGATATGCAGATTCAATATCTCAGTAGGTCTTTTTGGGGTATAAACTGACAAAATGATTTTATAATTTGAATAGAAATACACAAGGCCTAGAGCTGTCAAGAGAATATTAAAAAGAGCCAGCGCATCAGGAGGACTTACTCCATAAACATGCAGATTTACAACATACAGTTGCAGTAGTTTCAGCAATGTTGCATTCCTGATATTACAGCAGAAAAGACAAAATGCACATACATAAGAATGTGTGTGTGTGTTTTGTTTTGCAGATGCTTTTTGTTGTTTATAACAAAAGTGAGCCTAAAGAACAGTGGAGAAAAACATGTTTTTCTTTTAAAAAACAAAAAACAAAGAACTAGATTCAATTTTATATCCACATTGAAAATAAGGAAACTCTCTTCTTACATTACATGAAAATAAATTCCAGGTGGACTGCAGGTCTATGTGAATGGTTAAAAATAAAGGCTTCTAGAAGGCAATATAGCAAAGTATCTTCATGTTCTTTGGGCAAGGAAAAATTTCTTGATAAATACATTTTGCTACGTATAAATGATAAAAATATAAAAATTGAGTACATTAAAATTAAGAATGTTTGTGTACCAAAAGACATCTATAAGTAAGTGAAGAGGTACAATAAATGGTTTATATTCAAAATATATAAAGTATATCTGCAAATTAATAAGGAAGACACATAAATAGAAAACTAGAGAATAGACAAGTACACATTTTATATAAGAGGATATTCAAATATTCAATAAGCACATGATATGAATCCTTTATAATTTATCAAAAAATTCATAATTAAAGTAAAATGTGGAATCCATTCACAAAACCAGAATACCAAAATAAAAAAGATGAAAAAAAAAACTAAGCATTGATGGAGATGTGGAGCAACTGGAACTCTCCTGTATGGCTGGTGGGAGTGTAAATTAGCAGGAACACACTGGAAAATTGCTTGGAAACATCTACTTAAATGGGGTATTTGTATACCCTACGGGCCAGAAGTTCCACTGCTAGGTATATAAGCACAGAGATGTGTGCATATGTTCAACAAAAGACATGGATGGAATGTTTACAGTCAAAAATTGGAAAGAAGCCATCTTCATATGGAGGATTAATAAGTAACTTCTGGTCTACTTGTAAGGTTGAACCACATGGTTGAACCTCATATGATGCTGAGGAAGGAAGCCAGACATCAAAAAAAACATATTGATTCATTTTGTAGAAAGCTCAGAAAGCAGTAAGGCAATGTGTGGTGCTAGAAGTCAGGAGGGTGGTTCTCTTTGGGAACATGGAGCTAATGACAGGGAGGGGCTGTGGAGAGGCCTTTTGGGGTGCTGCTGATAGTCTAGAAAGGCTATTGTTTTCTGTTACATGTTATATTTCAATAAAGAAGAAAAATATGCCTTTCTTCGAAATATTTAAATAAAATTAATAGGCTAAAAAGATAGGTCCGTATTTAGGGGCCTAAAAGTGGCAAGGGTCTTCATGTGGTCTGAAATTTCCCTGGGAACTTTCATATTCCTCTGGCCATTCCTTTGGTGACTCAGTCATGCAATTTTCACACAACACAGGGCAACTTGCTAACGTCTACCATCGGAGTGGTGGAGCTATGGGGCTGCCCAAAAGAGCCTGTGTCTGGTTCATGGAAGGCATGAAACACAGAGTTCATGGTTAGCGAACCATGAAGCATGATGGGAGATCAGGCCGTAGAGTTATAACAAACTGATGTCTACTAGAGAATCACGAGTTCATAGGGCATTTCTGGAATGAGGACCCTTCTTAGACTCCCTAGAATTCAATAAACCTGAAACAGTAGCCTCAGCAAAGAGATGTTGTGTATCAGGTGGCTTCAGCAGGAAATGAATTAGGGAGCCAAAGAGTAGACAAACCCGGCAGCAGTCACAATACCAGCTGTGTGAGCACTGCTCACCCTGTCAGCCACAGGGTGCAAAAACGTCCAGGGTCGTTGCAGGAGAGCTGGAGGGAGGGAGCTGATGGTCTGGCCACATCCTCCGTAGGAGATTCATGGCCTTAGAGAGCCACCACCTTTCCGCCTCTGCTCCAGCTTCAGCCACTCTGCACCCACCCACTATGCAGAAATGACACACTCATTATGTTCCCAGACTAGCAATGCTCACACATCTTTGTACACAATTGCCGGGGATGCTTCCTCATTCGGTTTATAAGACTCAGCAAATGTCTATTTCAATGCAAGCATCCCTCTCCTTCTCCTGGTAGAATGAGGCTCCTACATTCTCTAGGAAAGGAAGAACTAGCCAGTGAATGTTCTGGAGTCTAGAAATAAGTCTAGTTCATTTTTATTTGTTCTCGATGTAGGAGGTGTTCAATGCATGTGTTTGATAAAAGAATATGAATAAGAAAAGAAAATAGAGGCATATTCAAAGTTAAATGTTTCTTGTTAGAGTTATAATTTTTTAAATCATACATCACTATTCATGCATAAACATTACTTATAATTTTAAAGTCTCTGCCCAAATCATTAGCTTTTTTATCACAATGCAATTTCTAAAATAATTAAATGGGGAAATTTTATATTTTTATTTGAAATATTGAGCTGAATTCTTCATAAAAGACATTCGCAATTGTTTTCTTTTAGAGAAAAGTAGAAATGAACGTTTAAGTGCAGGATTTTAAAACAACTGAAAGGTTGGCACAGGCTAAAAATGATGTGGATTTATTTTACTTCAACAAAATTAGAGCAGGTAATTTAATAATTGCAAGGTTTTGTAACACAGATAGAAATTTAGCACCGTGAAATAAACTGTTCAGGTGAACGTGAGCTCCACAGCCTTAATTTGATATTGAAAGAGGATGTGTTCCATGAGGCTCCAAGACTGTACGCTGTACCTTAGGTCTCTGAGCTGAACTTCACATAAATGAATCTGAGGCCATGAGCAGTGGCTCATGCCTGTAATCCTAGCACTTTGGGAGGCCAAGGTGGGTGGATCACTTGAGACCAGGAGTTTGAGACCAGTCTGGGCAACATAGTGAGACGCTGTGTCTAAAAAAAAAAAAAAATTAGCAGGGCATGGTTGTGTGTGCCTGTACTCCCAGCTACTCAGAAGACTGAGGAGGGAGAATCACCTGAGCCCAGAAAATGGAGACTGCGGTGAGCCATGATCATGCCACTGCACTCCAGCCTGAGCCATAGAGTGAGACCCCGGCTCAAAAACAAAAACAAAAACAAAAACAAAAACAAAACAAAAGAATCTGAGTCTGTGTGTGCAATTGGAGGTGATATGTGGGAGTAGCCAGGAGATTCCAGAAAAGAAAATACTGATTTTTCTTAAAGATTTGTTTTGGTTTTAATTCAATTTTTAGAATATATTTTAAAGATAAAAATTTTTATTGGTTTTAAAAATGACTTATTATCAATAGTCTTGTCTATCAGGAGAAAGGGGAAAAATTAATCTATTTATAGCAAATTGTGTTAGGTTTTATAATTCTGTTATTCCAGAGGGTAAATGTGTATCAAAGGCATTGGAGTCATGAGGACCCAGGTTGATCTGCCATGTGCTCAGCATGATTTTTCACTCTGGGTCTCCATTGCTTCATCCTGACAGTGGAGCTGGCAGTGTTCACACGGCAGAGTGCTGGGGGAGGGAGGCAGAGCTCCTGACTGCTGCCGGTAGGCTCCCAGGGATCTAGGCTCCCTCCCTCCTCCAACCAGAGGTGTGAGCAAGAGGCAGAGTAAAGTCCTACAGCCCCTTTCCCTGGATGCGGGGTCTCGGCTGTGGGCAGATGTAGGAGAGGGTGGGCTTCCTTCTGCTGCCCTCTCCCCTTCCGCGTGGGGAGACAAGAGGGAGAAAGCACACCCTGATCCCCAGGGCACCCCGGTTAAGGAGCGACCTCTGACTGAGGCTGTCCACAGAGGTAGCAGCCGTGGCCTGTGGGTGTCATGGGCTCATCAATCTCATTGGCTGCTGCTCTTCCTCTAGGGGCGTGACCAAGATGAGGAAGATGGATACTCGCTCCACCCACCACACAACCCTGCAGGCAGGAGAGCAGAAACTCCTTCCACTGAGGGCTCTGTGGAGTGGTGTGGCCCATTGGTGAAGCTCGGGAGGCAACCTGCTTGTGTTTAGTCCTGGTCCTCCCTCATCAGAGGTATGACCCTGGTAAAGACCAGCCCTCCGGCATCTCAGCGATCCTGGCATCAGAGGTTGCTGGGGTTGTTTGGAGGCTGTGTGAGTGAATGCACGCAAGCCCGCAGCCCTGAGCCTCAGTCGTGGGCAGCGCGCAGTTCATGGGGAGCATGAGGATGAGGGAATCCCTGCCCTAACCCTCAGTATGGGCACAGGTGAGGTACTCAGTTCACGTCAGTAGCTATTGCTGTTATCAATACCTGTGCATTTTAATAGATGTAAAATGTGTGCTGAATTTTAAAATGGTAGGTGCACAATATTATTTTTATAATTGCTTCCGAATATTTAACAGGGTTAACACCTATTAAATATTTGACGAGAATGTATCTCACCAAAATTTGAATTAAATACCTATGTTTGGCTGGGCACGGTGGCTCGCACCTGTAATCCCAGCACTTTGGGAGGCCGAGGCAGGCAGATCACGAGGTCAGGAGATCAAGACCATCCTGGCTAACACGGTGAAGCCCCATCTGTACTAAAAATACAAAAAATTAGCCGGGCGTGGTGGTAGACGCCTGTAGTCCCAGCTACTCGGGAGGCTGAGGCAGGAGAATGGTGTGAACCCGGGAGGTGGATCTTGCAGTGAGCCGAGATTGGGTCACTGCACTCCAGCCTGGGTGACAGACAGAGTGAGACTCCATCTCAAAAAAAAAAGCCAAAAAAAAAAACCAAGAAAAACCCACACCTTTATTTATGTGTAGCAGAAATAGGTAATTTTTTTTTTTTTGAGATGGAGTCTCACTCTGTTGCCCACGCTGGAGTGCTATGGAGCAATCTCGGCTCACTGCAACCTCTGCCTCCCGGGTTCAAGCAATTGTCTTGCCTCAGCCTCCCAAGTAGATGGGTCTACAGGCATGTGCCACCACATCCGGCTAATTTTTGTATTTTTAGTGGAGATGGGATTTCACCATGTTGGCCAAGCTGGTCTCGAACACCTGACCTCAGGTGATCCACCCGCCTCAGCTTCCGAAAGTCCTGGGATTACAGGTATGAACCACTGTGCCCAGCCAGAAATAGGTAATTTTATTCATAAGAGACACACTTGTTAGGTCCTAAGGAGGCTCTGAGTTATTGGTGGTAGCTGAGTGACCTGTCTAGAGGCTGTGGACTGCAGGGTCCACACTCAAGGGGTGTCAGGCTTGGGGCACAGAGCTGAGCCTGGGCACAGAGACCATGAGCAAAAGAGGAGCCAGTGGCATCTGAGGTGGGTCTGGCCAGGCCACGGAGCTGCAGGAGATGAGATGGAAACCAAGTGCTGGAATGGAGCCAGGTGGGGTTTTTAAAATTTGCTTGTGTTTAATGCTGCTTGCTTCATTTCTACCAGGGAAAAGAGGAATTGCAAGCCGGTTATTTATCACTTTCTTCCTCTTTTTAAAAAATATGTAGCTTAAAAATTACTCTAGTAGTAACTCGTAAATAACTCATAAATAAGTACCTTTTGGTGAACCTTCTTCTAGTATCTCTGCTATGAATGTTTTGGAATAGTTATTTATATATCTATATAGTTTTATTCCACATTTATCTACAAATGTGAACTATATAGTTAGTTAAAATTATGTAAAACACATTTCTATATGTTTTATCACATATATAATCTATATTCTAATTTTCTACAAATACATGGTATTATTCATTTTTCACATTATTATAAAATATTTGCTAGAATATATTTTGCCTGCCATGTAACAGCGGCACATTGTTATATGGACTACAGTGGGTTGAACCTTTCCTCTTATGTGGAACATTTATGCTTTTTCAATCGTTCACTATTATGCATGTAAATGTTTTCTTTTTCTTTGCTCAGGAAGTATCCTAGGATAGAACCTTACCAACGCTGTGATGGGAATCAAGTTGTGAACGTTACGAAGGTTGTCACAGCTTGCAGATTCAAGCCTCTTCAGAATACAGGTGGGCTTGTCCCTGCTGCTGGCCACTGGCACTGCAGGCAAGGACCTGGCCTGGAGGGTCCCCAGCCCAGGCTTCGTGTAAGGGACAGGCCCAGGGAGGCTGGTGCCCTGCTGTGAATGTCACCACCACAGTCATATTCACTGTGATCAATAAGACATGAGCCCATGGCACGCAGTCCCGGCAGCCCTCCTGTGGTATGCCCCAACTCCACCGTGTGCCAGCTCACTACCTGCTTCCATGGGCTCTGCCTCACCTGGCCTGCATCTGTGTGAGCCAGGAGAGTCAGAACACCCGTTTGTGCTTCCTCCTCTCCTCAAGGACATGTTCATTGCAGCATTATTCACAATATCAAAGACATGGAATCAACCTAAATGCCCATCAGTGATAGACTGGATAAAGAAAATGTGGTACATATACACCATGGAATACTATGCAGCCATAAAAAAGAATGAGATCATGTCCTTTACAGGAACATGGATGGAGCTAGAGGCCTTCAAGGGCCTGCTGCCGACAGACCTGGTTCCTGGTGCTGGGAAGGTCCTTGCTAAGTGCTGCTTGTCCTCCTATGTGCTTGGGAGCCTAACACTGGCTCTAGGGCACATCCTTCCCTGGCTTGGGGCCCACCCCAACACTCTGAGTGCACCTGAGAGCTTAGATGCAGCCTCTGAGGTTGGGCCAGTGTGCTCCTCATACCCTCTCTTTTGTCATAGACCTGGGCCTGCATCAGATCTTCCTCCTCCCTGTCCTTAAATCAGGAGGTCCCAGGTGCTCAGGGCACATCTCCTGCTTCCACCACTGCAGGCCCTGCCCCATTCCCATCTCCAAGACCTACTGAGCTTCCTCAAAGCAGAGCCAGTTTCCACTGTAACATGAGGCGGTGCCCTGCAGAGGGCGCTCAGAAGTGGACTACCCTCTAGAGACACGCTGAATTGGCAGAAAGACAGGGAGATCGTTTCCTTGCAAAGTGAAACAAGGATTTTTATTTTGTCTTGGCTATACATAAAGTCAAAGCTGTTCTTGAATAAATAAGTGTTTTCCTGAGGTATATAGTCTTATAATCATCATTCTAAGTAATTTTATATTAGGTTCTTAAGTTGCTTTTACTACAGATTCTTCTACATTAACCATAATGTTGTGAGTAAACATCTTTGTGCATATACATTTTCCACATTTTGCTTGTCTTAGAATAGAGCCCCAGAAGATGGTTAAATTGTGTCATCCTTCAGAGTTATTGCCCAGTTGCTTTCAGGGTAGTTGGTGCCAATTTACCCTGCCATCCACTCTGCAATGTATGAAGTGCCACTTCCACCATACCCTTGTCAGCTGCGAGTATTCCATTTTTAGAGCGTTTTTTTAATTTAGTCAGTAAACTAAGTATAAATCATTGATTACTAAATTTAAAGAAAGGCTTTTATGAAACTAAAATTTTGAAGTCTAGTTATTGGCCACCTATCAAAGGAACCTGTTATGTACTTAAACATTTTCTACAAATAATCTTGAGATGTTATTTTTATTTCATACCCTTTAATCACTGCATCAAATTATATTGTGGTTGTCAGCATATTTGACACAAAACACGTTTTAAAATTTGGTGATTTGCTTATGGAGTTTTGAGGAAAAAAGCTACTTTAGCTTAAAATATAAATGGAAACGTGGCATGTCGAACTGTGATGAACAATAAATTTCCTATAAAACAGCTTGAAATAGTATCAAAAACCTGATCTCATTTTCAAGGCAACTGCATGGGCTTTCTGGAATTGATTTAGCAGTCTTTGAAATGTTTAGCCCTTACATTGAGAACGTACATAAATACCCACATCAGAAATGTCATGGCTAGAACAAAGAAATCAAGGTGCAAAAATAGTGCTCTTGGAGAAGTCCTTCAATGCAAGCATTACCACATTTGCTTCAATATTTATTTTTGCTCAAAAAAACCTCTTTTGAGGGAGATCTGGGGAACTCAGACCGCACTGCGGTTGGCAGTTGTTTGCTGCATTTCACAGGGCTATGTTTTAGGAAAAATTCTGTGTTGTGCCTTCTCCTGGAAATTAGCACTCCTATGAAAACAGAGCAATTCTTCTCCTTTATTTTATCTTGTACATATTTTTGCTTCCTGAACCCATGGGCTCCTCTTTTTCAAACATTTATTTTAAGTTCAGGAGTGCAAGTGCAGGTTTACATGGGTAAACGTGTGTCATGGGAGTTTGTTGTACAGTTTATTTCAACACCCTGGTATTAAGCCTAATACCCATTAGTTATTTTTCCTGATCTTTTCGCTGCTCCCACCCCCAACCTCCAAAAGGCCCCAGTGTGTGTTGTTCCCCTCTGTGTGTCCACGTGTTCTCATCATTTAGCTCCCACTTAAAAGTGAGAACATATGGTATATATTTTTCTGTTTCTGTGTTAGTTTGCTAAAGACAACGGCCTCCGGCTCCATCCATGTTCCTGCAAGGGACATTATCTCATTCTTTTTTACAGCTGCATAGTATTCCATGGTGTATATGCTACATTTTTTTTATCCAGTCTATCACTGATGGGATTTAGGTTGATTCCGTGTCTTTGCTATTGTGAATAGTGCTGCAATGAACATATCCGTGCATGTATCTTTATAATAGAATGATTTATATTCCTTTGGGTATATGTCCAGTAATGGGATTGCTGGGTCAAATGGTATTTCTCTCTTTAGGTCTTTGTGGAATCACCACACTGTCTTCCACAATGGTTGAACTAATTTACACTCCCACGAACAGAGTATAAGTGTTTCTTTTTCTCCATAACCTTGTCAGTGTCTGTTATTTTTTGACTTTTTAAATAATAGCCATTCTGACTGGTGTGAGATGTTGTCTCATTGTGGTTTTGATTTGCATTTCCCTAACGATCAGTGATATTGAGTTTTTCTTCTTATGATTGTTTGTCATATGTATGTCTTTTGAAAAGTGTCTGTTCATGTCCTTTGCCCACTTTTTAAAAATGAAGTTGTTCGTTTTTGCTTGTAAATTTGTTAAGTTCCTTATAGATGGTAAATATTAGATCTTTGTTGGATGCATAGTTTCCAAGAATTTTCTCCCATTTTGTAGGTTGTCTGTTTACTTTGTCGATAGTTTATTTTGCTGTGCAGAAGCTTTTTAGTTTAATTAGATCCCACTTGTCAATTTTTGCTTTTGTTGCAATTGCTTTTGGGATCTTCATCATGAACTCTTTGATTGTGCCTGTGTCCTGAATGGTATTACCTAGGTTGTCTTCCGGAGTTTGTTTGTTTGTATTTTGAGACAGGGTCTTGCTCTGTTGCCCAAGCTGAGTGCTGTGGCATGATCATGGCTCACTGCAGCCACAACTTCCTGGGCTCAAGAAATTCTCCTGCCTCAGCCTTCTGAGTAACTGGGAATTACAGGTGTACATCACCACACCAGGCTAATTTTTGATTATTTGTAGAGACAAGGTCTCACTCTGTTGCCCAGACTGATCTCAAACTCCTGGGCTCAAGTGATCTTCCTGCCTTGGTCTTCCAAAGTGTTGGGATTACAGCCCGGCCTCTTCCAGAGTTTTTATAGTCTTAGATAACTAGTTTTTGACAGAAGGTGTGTGACAGGGAAAAGCACGACAATGAGCAGTGGGTGACCTTTGCCCCGTGACCTTGGCAGGACTGCCCTCACCTCTCACCTCATGGGCTCTAGGACCATCCCTCATCCCCTCTGAGGATGGATGCAGGCTCTCATCCATCAGTGTCTCCTGTGCAATAAAAAGTGTGAATGCCCCACTCCTAGAACAGAAGGAAGGGGCTGGGCAAGGCTCAGGGGATGGTGCTGACACCTCGTGAGTCACTACATCTCTCAGACCCTCAGCTTCTGTGTTTGAAAGTGTGGGGATTGGGCAGGTGCGGTGGCTCACACCTGTAATCCCAGGATTTGGGGAGGCTGAGGAGGGTGGATCACCTGAGGTTGGGAGTTCAAGACCAGCCTGACCAACATGGAGAAACCCTTGTCTCTACTAAAAATACAAAATTAGCTGGGTATGTAATTTTGTATTTACAAATACAATACCAGAGGGTATGGTGGCACATGCCTGTAATCCCAGCTACTTGGGAGGCTGAGAAAGGAGAATCACTTGAACCCGGGAGGAGTAGGTTTTAATTTGCTCATTTATCCCACAAGCAATGACAAATCTTCTGTTTTGTAAAAGGCATTCTGATCATATATGCTGGCACATGACTTACTAAGATGTAGTTCTTTTTCCAAAAAGCTTATGGTCCTATGTGGGGAGGAGCCAAACACATTTTGGCAGAACATGGCAAGTTCTATAAGAAATGCATAAATATATTTGAGCAGTGTTGGGAGGAAAAGCATCTGATTCTGCCACAAATGTTTCAGAGCTTCCACCCTGAAGTATTTGCATCTGAAGCGAGTTGCAAAACATGGATAGAATGGTCAACAAGTTGGAGATATTACAATAGGCTAGTGTGTCCTCTTTTTGGACATTTAGGCTTTGTGTAGATTTTTGCTATTATAAATGATGCATATTGCATCTATCTATATCTGTATAATCTATATTTATATTTGTATCTATAAATAGGGAACGGTATAGACAAAAACAGAAACCTTAAAAATATGGAATACTCTGGCTACTCCCAGGGTTGGAGGTGTGGAATATGAGGCTGAGTAGCAGGCAGAGGGTAAAGCCCTTAGAATACTGGAGACCTGGGGTCCTCCCACTTTGTTGCATGTTAGAATAACCTGGTCACTTTTATACCCACACCCTCAGCTGCCAGGTCACACCCACACTAATTCAATCAGAATCTCCAAGTGGGACTGAGATGTAAATACTTTCTGTAATTCAGCTAGTGATTCCAAGGTGCACCTAAGCTGGAGAACCAGTGCCAGACACAGGGAGACATTAGGGATTTTAATCTGGCAGACAGACTCTCTGGTGTGTATTTTACAAGGATCTCTTTGCAGCAGAGAAAGGAACTAAATTAAAGAGAGTCTAGAAGTAAGAATCATGGCTGCAGGAGTCAGTGAATAGGTGTGGCCATATGGGTTTCAAGTGTTGGAAACTAAGAAGGCGCCATTAACAGAAATTGGTGAGGAATTTCATGAAGGTGAGAAGGAAGCCCAGGGGGCACAAGGTGGGTTCTAACCTTGTGGTTAGACATACTTTGAAATTTCCCTTTTTTTTTTTCTTTTGAGACAGAGTCTCACTCTGTCACCCAGTCTGGAGTACAGTGGCATGATCTTGGCTCACTGCAGCCTCCGCCTCCTGGGTTCACATGATTCTACTGCCTCAGCCTCCTGAGTAGTTGGGATTATAGGTGCCCGCCACCACGTCCAGCTAATTTTGTATTTTTAGTAGAGACAGAGTTTCACCATGTAGGCCAGGCTGGTCTCAACCTCCTGACCTCAAGTGATCCACTCGCCTCGGCTTCCCAAAGTGCTGGGATTACAGGCGTGAGGCACCATGCCTGGCTGAAATTTCTCCTTTTGCGTCCTTTTGGAGAGAGAGAGAGAAAGAGAGAGAGAGAGAGAGAGAGAGAGAGTGTGTGTGTGTGTGTGTGTGTGTGTGTGTGCCTAATATGGAAGCCTGCTGGTGAGAGCCATATCCATTTTAAACTGTTGAGTTCTCTATTTAGCTGTTAAATTCCATATGCCTGCCAAGATCCATATGATAACCAGCCCCTCCAGCATCTGCTTTTCTTTTTTATTAAGGCCCCAAGGAGCATACACAATTCCTGGTGTAAGTCAGCATTTTGCCAGAGTGCCAGAAAGGATTCTCACATTCCACAGAGAGAGACTCCACCAGAAATTTGCTCACTTCCCCTTTATTCTTGACTCACAAACCCCAACACTCCATGTTTTCTGCCTCTTGCACTACCATGTGGTCCTCACCACCCCACAGGGCTCTGGGCAACAGAGATGGACCACTTAAATCGTGTTTTTACAGTAACTCCCCATAGGACTCCTTTGCTTTTACTTCCTGCAAACTCTCTTTCCTGATCACTTGACATTTTTAGAAATTTGGGATGATGATCTAAACGCAGAAATGTTGTCAAAATTTAAGATTTTGTTCTTAGTTGCTTTAATTTTCCTTTACAGAATGTTTCCTCTTCCTAACATAGTGTGTGTGTGTGTGTGTGTATATATATATATATTTTAACATGAATTATTGTAATTCCTATTTACTTGTGTAATCCCGTACATTATATCCTTAAAGGACCTTAGGTATTATTGACTCTTTTATCTTAGGGGTGAAGAGACCTGGGCCTGGAGCAGTTGTGGCTTGCCCAGGTGCCCACATTTTTACCAGGTAAAAGAGGTTCTTAACACCCAGGTCTTCTGACCACAATCTCGTGCTTTGCACAATCCCAGCAGCTCTGTGTTCAATTTGAGGGTACGCATCCTCTATGTTCTGTGAAGCAGTTTGCTCATTGGAAGATCCAACATTTGGCCACTGAATTTCTGGGTAGTCAAGAATTTCCCTTTATACTTGCTGGAGATGGTGGCAAGGCCATGTCACCTAGTGTGAATACAGGCAGGGCTTAGGTGCCCCCACCAATGTTGGTGCCCTATAAACCCATGCACTTGACATCTTCAGCCTTCAGGCTTCTGAGGCCCCATGGTTACCTTTTGGGGTGTCTTGAAGTAAGGGGGGGAAGACCTGTGACTGCTTCAAAAGGAATCATGGTTTTTCTCTGAAAAAATGAAGCCTACTTGGTCACCAAAGAAAGAACTGGAGGCAGCAGAAACCAGAGAAGAGAGGTAGTCAGTATTGTTCACAATAGAAAGTGGTTATCTATGCTTAGCACCCAGGATTTGACCAGCAAACCATGTGTGCATGTGTGCTTGTGCCTGTGTGTATGCCTGTGTGCCTGGTTTAAGAGAAATTCTGAAGCCCTAAGGGAGAAATAACTTTTGCTATTCTGATGAATTATCTAATTCACTAATTAGTTAATTAGGGATGCTTTGAAATGAAACTGCCCCAGGTCATTTTTCACGTAAGTCTGAGTCTATTTTAGACTTTCTTTGAAGTGTGCTAGTTTGTGGTGCCTCATGGCCACCAGGCATAGTGACATTTTCTTTCGTAGACTTAAATGGTAGAGGGTGTATGAAATAATGTGCTGAAAAGTGCTCGAGTTAGTTGTTTCTTACGTAGATACACTGGATAAACGGCAGGAAGACTCCTGATTGTAAGTATCATTTGCCGGATGCTACCCAGGTGTGCAAATGTGTATACATATACACAGTTCACACAAACACACAGAGACACTCACACAAATATACATACTCTTTCGCATATACATACACATTCATACATGCACACTCGTTCACACACATTCACATTCACAAATTTGCTCTCACACACACATACATATACAAATCTAACACACACATACTTACACATACACTCACACACATTCACAAGTATAAACTCACACACTCTCACACAAACTCAAACACTTACACATACCAACACACACATTTGCTCAGAACATACATATGCACAGTCATATGCATGCTCACACATGCACACAATGCACTCACAAAAATACTTACATGTATACATATTGCGCACTTGTGCACACTCACACATATGTGCATGACATGCACACATACTCACACACTTTTATACACACTCAGTACACTCCTATATACTCACACAACACACACAATCATAAAAGCTTACTCATACACATTCTCGCACATTCTCTCTCTCTCATACACACACACACACACACACACATAACACGGTCACTGTCAGAAGTCAGGACACACACACACAAGACACAGTCACTGTCAAAAGTCAGGCGGAGACCAGGCATCCCATTTCCACTGTTATGAGTTTTTCAAATACATGTGTTTTTTTTTTTTTGTATTTTGTCAGCTCAGCTCTTTTAGAAGTAATAATCAAGCGACAGTTTTCATCAGATGTTTCTATTTTAAACTCTATCTTTCCAAGGACCTTCCAGTCATATGTTTGCAATAAAACAGAAAAGTGATTTCATGGGGAAAGAGAACTCTGAAAATTCAAAATGAACCAAAGTTGAATATATCATGGACATCACTGAGAGATGGTTGGACAGAAAGTTTCAGTGTCTATCTTGGGGAGAGGAGCCAGAGCCCTGTTCTTTGAATTTCTAAGCCAAGATCTGTGAACCTTTACCAGCTGCGTGACTGGGAGCAAGTCCCTTAATTTCACCAAATCTCCACTTACTCATTTGTAACATGGATTTCATAGTACTTGCCATCTTCATTTTTAGGAATGTTGTAGGAGTCAAGGGTATAATGCATGTCCAGGGAGTTTGTCAACAGCAAATTGCTACTGTTGAGAGGAGAGAGGAGATCTCAAGCTGAATTATTCAAGAGCAAATCTCCATGCCTACAGTTAAAAATGTGTAGCCTCTCATCACTCAATTTATCATCACATATTTAATGTACTTATAGTTCTGGAATTGTTACATAAACAATCTTCTGAGCGGTGCCTTAGGTATGCTCACTGTAAAGCTTAGAACATTCCAGAATCCCCAGTGAGTGTCCACTTGCGTTTTTAAAATTTTATTGTTTAATTGACAAATAATAGTTGTACATGTTCATGGGTTACAGAGTGATGTTTTGATACATACAATGTATAGTGATCAGGTCAGAGTACTTAGTATACTCATCATCTGAAACATTTATTATTTCTTTGTTTTGGAAACTTTCAATATCCTCCTTTTAGCTCTTTGTAACACTATAAAATACTATTATTAACTATAGTCATCCTACAGTGCTATAGAGCACTAGAACTTATTCCACCTACCTAGCTGCAATTTTGTGTCTGTCACCAAATATCTCCCTATCCCTCCTTTCCTCCTACCCTTCCCAGCTTCTAGTATCCTGTGTTCTTTTTTTTACTTCTATAAGATCATTTTTTTTTTAGCTTCCACATATGAATGAGAATGAGAATATATGGTGTTTAAATTTCTGTTCCTGGCTTTTTTCACTTAGCATAATGCCTTCCAGTTCCATATCGTTATTGCTGTGAATAACAGTAATTCTTTTTTATAGCTGAATAGTATTCCCTTGTGATATATACCATATTTTAAAAATCAATTTATCTGTTGTTGGACACAAAAGTTGATTCCATATCTTGGCTATTGCAAATAGTGCTGCAGTAAATGTGGGGGTGCAGATGTCTCTTTGATACCATGATTTCCTTTCCTTTGGATAAAAAATTACCAGTGGTGGGATTGCTGGATTATATGGTGGTTCTATTTGTAGTTTTTTGAGGACTCTCCATGTGGTTCTCTATTATGGCTGTACTAATTTACATTGCCACCAATAGTGTGTAAGAGTTCTGTTTTGTCTGCATCCTCACCAGCATTTGCTAGTTTTTGTATTTTTGATAATGGTCATGCTAACTGGAATGAGATGATACCTCATTGTGGTTTTGATTTGCATTTTTCTAATGATTAGTAATGTTAAGCCTTTTTTCATATATTTCTTGGCCATTTGTATGTCTTCTTTTGATAAATATCTCTTCAAGATCATTTTCCCAGTTTAAAATTAGATTTTTTTTTTTTTTTTTTTTTGCCATTGAGGTGTTTGAGTTCCTTGTATACCTTGGCTATTAATCCTCAGTTGAATAAGTAGTTTGCAAATATTTTCTCCCATTTTGTAGGTTGTATTTTCACTCTGTTGATTATTTCCTTGCTGGACAGAAGCTTTTTAGTTTGAAATAAACTCATCTGTTTATTTTTGTTTTTGTTGCTTGTGCTTTTGAGGTCTTATTCGTATAATTTCCTAGACCAATGTCCTGAAGTATTTTCCTATGTTTTCTTCTAGTAGGTTTATTGTTTCAGGTCTTGCATTTATGTCTTCCATTTTTAGCTGATTTTTGTATATGGAGAGAGGTGGGGGTCTAATGTCATTCTGCATATGAATATCCAGTTTTCCCAGCACAAACTCATTCATAGAGCTCATGAGCCATGTAGGACATTCATCAGTGTGCTCTTGACTGAGTGCAGACGTTCAGGGGGTCAACCAAATGGATTGTTTAGAAACAGGTGGCTCATGGTGAACCTGCTGTGATGCTGTGTTCACTCCTCAGTTGCCTCTCAGAGAAGTGGGTGCATCAGGAGCTCTGGCTAACTCCCCCAAACCCAACAATGCAGAATGTAGGAGGTGACTGGGGCCCAGTGACATTCTAGGTGCCATCTTGAGAAGATCAGAGCTGCAGCCCCTAATTGCAGCTCTAAGATCAAAATGGGAGTGAGGAGCTTTTGGAGTTTTTATAAACCTCTGTTTACCTATACACATTAGTTGCAAACCTTGGAAGTGAAGAAGGACTGGTGTCTCCTCCTGGGGATATTGAGGGAGAGATCAGGGCTGAGGCTACCTTTCAGCCAAGCCTGGAAGGAGAAGACCCCACTGAAGGATTAGTGATGCTGTGCTTGATGCCCAGACCCCTCCTATCACAGGCCCAGTGCAGAAGTCACTACCCACAGCGTTCCGTGCCACAGAGCACCAAGTCATGCAGGCAGAGGAGAGGCAAAGTGTGAATATTTGTCAAATGATTGCATGGGTGTTGAAATGCTTGCTGTGTTGAGAGACAGGGCCAGGGAAGAAAGAATTTAAAGTATGGTAGACGTTTGATGCTGGGGTGAGGAGTTCAGATGAAGAAGAATTGGAAATAATAATAACATACATGGTCTGGGGAGTTTATCCCAGAGACCTTTATGTGTAGAATTAGGTTTAATCCTCACCACCCTTGAGTGAGGCAGGTGCTGAGGTGATCACTTCACAGATGGGAAAACTGAGGCCTGAAGGTTTAAACCCTTGTTCTGGTTACAAAGAGAATAAGTAGAGGTGAGCTGATGCCTAGACCTCTTTTCTAGGGAAGTCTCCCATTCATTCCACATTGGGGGTTTGCTCTCCCACAGTATCTTTCATTGGAACCACAGCTCTGGGAGATTGTCTCCACTTTGTAGATGAGAAACAGGTTAGAGAAGTGTCATGTCAGAGCTGGGATTTCAGCTCCGGCTCCTGTGACCTTCCTGGCATGATTGTTCTCCAAGGAAGATGAAGGTGGCAGTGGGTGTTAACTCCAGGAGAATTCAGAGCAAGTGTGGGCAGCTGGGGGGATCTGGAGGAAGTGGGGATCCAGGGCCCATTTCTCAGGAGAGAAACTCCTGGGTTTGGGACTTATTGATGAAAGACAACAATGGGGTAGCCTGAGCTGAGGGTGCCACTGCCATGGAGAAGTCAGGAACAGTGTTTACTGCAAATGTGAGGTGTCATGCCTGGCCACCAAGGAGGGCCAGCGATGGGTGGCTACAGTTCAAAATATAGGTTTGGTGAGTGGGCCATGGAGAAGAGAAGGGAAGGAGAGGAAAGATTATACAGCCCTGGGAAACTGTCATGGTTTGGGAGAGGAGGAGGAAAAACAACAATAAAGGGCAGTGAGCAGTTTGTGGCCAGAGGTTCAGGGACATCCAGAACCATTGCATGTCTGGGGAACCAAGAGAGGGCCATTATATGAAAGGAACAGGTGTGGGAGCCCCAGCCAGGGGATGGGCAAGAAGGGGCTGGGAGAAGATGTGGGGCTGGGGTAAGCCTGCTGAAGGCATTTCCACTCTGCCTTTTTCTGGGGCCCTGAGGGGACTCGCTCTTGGCCTGCGGCTATACTGTGGGATGTCTCTGTCCCACCACAGTGTGTGCCTGTGAGTGAGGCTCAGCCTTACTCTTCTCAGTCTCCTGCACCTGACTTACACCTCCTTTCAGGAAATGACAATGAGGACATAGAGGTGTTTGTTACGGATCAATTTCAAGTAGAACCATAACCCAAAGGGGCAGCACTCTCACAGAATGATCGACTTCAGCCAAGGGACAAAAGGGTGTTTGCTCATAGTGGAAAAGGAGAGAGAGAAACTAAAAATTAGGAGCGGGAAGTAAGACTAAGTGCAAAATCCCTGAGAGATTCTAGGTGAGCTGGCCATCCATTTAGGAAGAGATGGGCTGTAGGAGTAAAGTCTCATCACTGAGGAAGGTGCCTGGGTAGGTAGTGCAGGAGGAACGTAACCTGTATCTTAACCAATCAGCACTTTGAAATCACAAAATTCAGAACTCCCTGAATTCTGGATCCAGCCAGGACTGGATCCTTTCATGGGTTGAAAGGCTCATTCTAGTCACTGGAGCTTATGGAAAACTAAAGAGTATTTTTATCATGAATATTCCATTTTTGACATCTGTTAAGTATTAGGAATATCTTAGACACTGCGCAGAACACGAACTGAACACTCTTGGCAGGGGCTGCTGGTGAGTGTGCTCTTAGGTAAAGTAAGCGGACACAGACCCCCTGTTCAAGAGAGGAAACCATGGCTGTGTCATCAAATGGGCCGCCCTGGGAGACACCTGAGCAGTCAGGACACACCCAGAGTTGTGCCTTCAGGGTTTTATCGTCTTTTCACATCACTTTTTCCTATTATCGTGTCATGCGTTCCCATTTTGCCAGTGAAGAGTATGAGCCTCAGAGAATTTATGTGCCATTTACCTGGTAAGTAACCAAGTTGGAATCAGAATGAGGAAATGCAGGGAAAATTTAAATTTCATTCCTTCATATCACAAATATCTCTTGACATGTGTTTAATTAAAGTAACGAACTGAGATTTACTCCATGGGGAAACTGTAGTCTCAATAAAGGCACTTGGGCAACTCCAACTCCTTGACTTCTGGTAGTTTACATTCTTGATGTGATTTTTGTATATATTTAGGAGGCTAAAGAGGCCAAAACCAAAAATGCAATCTTTTCTATGTATTGTTTAAAAGTGAATAAAAAGTATTCCTTAATTTGCTTTATTAGAAAAGTATTTCTTTTAAAATTCCTGATCCTTTATGCATTAGGGCGAAGGGTGAGATTTGCACCTTGTCACCACTAGATGGCAACATCTGAGCGTAGAGTTCAGGCTCAGCGCGGTGGGCACCAACATTCCACAGGGCGCCTGACATGCGGCCTGGGATGGCGCCTCAGAAGGTTGGGCCAGCCAGCCAGCAAGCACCTGTTCCCTGATCCTAAAATAAACCATGGCGGGTCAAAACTCCTAATTGGTTCTATACACCTCTGAAGCCCAGCTCTCCTCGCATTCCACCCTGCTTGAAAAACTAGCAATGGCTCCCTCCAAAGACTAATGTCACCTATCGTCCCCAGATAGAGATTTGATCAATCCTTATTTCTTGACTTTTTCTGTGCCCTGTGTTGGGGAGTGTGGTGTGTCCAGGCCCATCAGAGCTGGCCAGCCAGCCTGGTAGAGGGGTATTGCTCATGGCCATAGAGCCACTGAGCAGGACAGCTGGCCAGCACCCTGGACGACTGAGGATTCTGTCCACAGACACAGACTCATCCACAGAGCTTGTGAGCCATGTAGGACATTTATCCGTGTGCTTTTGGCTGAGTGCAGACATCCAGAGGGTCAACCAAATGGATTGCTTCAAGCAGGTGGCAGCGTGCCTTCCCCGGCATGCTGAGCTGCTGGCCTTCTCCCCACCTCAATTCATTCCTTGCCTGCCCACTACCAGACACATTTAACCTATACCTCTTTGCCACTGTTTCCTCACAGTTGGGCACAGCATTTGGCACAGCTGCTGGAGGAGTCTCCCTGGCCTTTCTGCCCTGAAGAAATCACTCCTGAGCTGTGTGGCTGGGCTCAGGGCCTTGGACTCTGCAGCTGGGATCTCTGGGTGGGATTCAGGCACATGCCTTGAAGCACCCAAGTTAGCAGCAGTCGTTGAGGTGTTTGTTAGTCTATGAACCTTTCCAGTACCCACTCCCTCAGTGGCTCACTGTTCCAGAGACTGCACCACATCCTGGCTATGTGATGTGAATGTCTGATTCATGCCTTCCAGGGCAAACAATCAAGTCAGAGGAAGAGGCAGAGAGATTCTAACATGAATATAAGGGTTGAAGTCCACGGGAGGTGGGGAGGCAGAGGGAGGATGATTGCTCCATCTGGGACTTGGGGAAAGGTGCAATTTGGTAGATAGAAGGACCTACAGGCATCCACCAGGCTTGAGAGAAGGTCCACGCACCCCCTCTTTCTCCTTCTTCAGAATTTCTTCTGGCTTGTGGGGCCTACCTCCTTCTACAGAAGTTGGATTGAGAAGGGTGGGGCTGTGCTCCTCCTGAGTGTGAGGAGATCCAGAAACCTGGTCCTTAGGCAAATGTCTAGGTCTTTCTTCACTTACATGAGGCCTGAGCTACTTCCCCTTGGGAGGAGGTGTGGCATTGCTCCCTCTCTTTGGCCTGGAGCAGGTAGCCTCATCTGGCTGTTCCCTGGGAACCTGGTACGTTCGCTTTCCACAGTGCCCTTCCCACACTGGCCTTGGTTCACATATGGGTAATCCAGGATCTAGCTATGGGTTGGGAAGGAGTCGGGCTGTGTAGTCATTGGCTGCTTTGGTTCTAAGTTTCAGGTCTTTCAGCTAGATGGAGTTCTCTCCAATGGCTCCAGCGAGGGCTGGGAAGACAAAATCTAATAAAATAAAGCCTGTCTCTTTGCTCCGCCTTCTCTCTATGAATGTCAGCATGTTATGAGTCTAATAGTCTACTTGGCAAATCATTCTTTCTTCTTTTATATAGTATGCAATTTCAAAGAAAATTTGTATTTGTTTGTAGTCTTGAGTTCAAACCTTTTAAATTTTTAGATGGCCAGAAAATTAATTAGATAGGCATGAACTTCAGTGTTTTGTTGGATGGCTGACGGTTACGAAGCTGTTAAAGGATCTTCACATGCTTTTGTTTTCTGTTCTGACTCTGTATCAATTCTTTTGAACAGCAATTAGATGACAATTAAAGAATCCTAATGGGAAGAGATCTCTCAAATGTCTGGTTCTGTTTTGCTTTGTTTTGTTTTCCCTGCACTCTATCTCTAGTGTCTCAGTTTGTTTAGGCTGCTATAAAATACCATAGACTGAGTGGCTTCTAAACAATAGAAAATATATTTTTTACAGATCAGGAGGCTGCAAAATCCAAGATCAAAGCCCTGGCAGATTTGGTGTCTGGTGGGAGCTCACTTCCTGGTTCACAGAGGGTGCCTTACCTTGGTGTCTTCACATGGTGGAAGAGATGAGGGAGCTCCCTGGGGCTCCTTGATAAGGGCGCTGATCCCATCATGAGGCCTCTCCTGTCCCCTACCCCGATCTGATCACCTCCCAAAGGCCCCACCTCTAATACTGTCACTTTGGGGGTTATTTCAATGTATGAATTTTGGGGATATGAACATTCAGACCACAGCACCTACCAAATGTAATGTGAGGCAGCATCAAAGTGCTCATGATTGCAAGTTTTCTGCTCAAAAGTGGGACATTCCTAATTGCCAGAAGAGCTTGGACCATCCCCAGAATAGGCATCACTCCCTGGGTAGGTGGAAAAACACAGAGGGTCTTGCCCACAGCTAACGGATGAGTTCTCTGAGGGATTCCGGTGGACTGTTTCAAGGCAGCGTTTTAAATCCTTTCTCAAGAAAGGAAATTGTGGGACCCTGGGGAAATCTCGTTACACATTTCTTTTGCCCTATTTGAAATATGAAGTGATGAGTTTTTCTGTAATCTTTCTATGGAGGCACCTATATCCAAAAGGACAAACAAGCAAGACTTGTAAATAAAGAAAGTTCAAGCAGCAGGTTTCCACTGTTACTCCTTTTTGTTCAATGAAAATATGCAGCCAGTCTTGCAGGAGTAGGTGCTAGAACCTCTACAGGCCTTGTTAATATCTAATCCCTTCATTCTACCTTCTCCCCTGAGATGGAAAAATCCCTATGTTGGTCATGTTCAGGATTTCAGGTTCTACTTTACATAGTTTTAATTTTAATAGACTTAGTAAAAATAACTGCAAGCTTGTGCTATGTACAAACACAATTTGTATGAATGAGTCAAGGAATCATTGCACATAACCCAAGAGGAGTTTCTGCAGGCAAGCAGAATTCACAGGGCTCGTGGCAATCAGGAAGGACTGAGGAGGCTCTCATGGAGTGGAGGGATTTGGGATTAAGGCTGTGAAGTCCAGTTTCACTCTACCTTTACTATGTAAGTACTCTTGGAAAATGTACCAAGCATCAGTTTGTTATCTGCACAGAGAAGGTAATTCTAACAAAAATATCAAT
Organism: Homo sapiens; assembly: GCF_000001405.40. Classification (NCBI taxonomy): domain Eukaryota; kingdom Metazoa; phylum Chordata; class Mammalia; order Primates; family Hominidae; genus Homo; species Homo sapiens. The sequence continues at coordinate 47,085,778 of NC_000007.14, read as the reverse complement.
TTAAACAACCACAGCTTTTGTGCACTGACTACTTCTCAAGGACTCACTAACTTATTTATTGTAACACAAGAAGTAGATGAGTCAGTGGGGAGGAAATGGGGCTTGAACTCAAAGTGCCTCTATCTCAAAGAGTAATTTGAATATTTTCCATGTTCATGGAAGCAGCTATAGGGAGGTGTGAAAATCTATCTGTGAAGAGCAAGCACTTCTTGAGAAGAATGGGATCCACATGAAAAAACAGACTCTCATGGTGTTCATGAAATTGAACAAAGACCATGCTATACACAGCAGGACTAGATTGTAAATCAAACAACCAGAGAGTCTCTTGTAAAGAAACATACTGAAAAGTGAAATCATGTTGCATGATGAACAACAAACCATCACTTGTACTAAATGCCAGTATTCAGGATATGGGGAAACTTCAGGACATGGGAAAAATAAAATCCTTTTAGCCAAAAGGGCAGTATAGGCCAAAGGAAAAAGGAAGACCATATAAAAATGAGTTCAGAAAACTAACTTTGAATAAGGGCCCAGAAGAAACTGGAATTCCACTGTAGGTGTGCCAAAGGGAGGGATTGACATTTACAGTCTAAGATATATGAAAATGTTTAATCTTTCATGAATCTTGTAATTTTGTCGAGCTCCACACTCTTCCCACAAGGTTCCAACATAGAAGATGGCAGTTGGTTATGTTTTTTAACTTCTGAATTTTACCTGTAAAATATATTCTAACTTGGGAGTCTTTGTCTTAGTAGGCCATGTAAATCTTTTCATTCTTTTTAGAGACAGTATGTGTGGACATACCTACACTACTGATGGACACTGAGGTTTCTTATAGTTTGACTTCCATAATATAACCTCCTTGTGCATATCTCTAACAGGGAATGCGTGTTTGTGTTGGACCTAATGCCTAGAAGCTCAATTATTGAGTTAATGATAATGTGTATTTTGATAGGTCTTGCCAATTTGCTGTTCTAGTAATTTTTGATAATTTCTACTTTAATTAAAATATATAAGTATACATTCCCACCATGGATTAATATTATCAATCACTTAAATTTTTGTGGCCAGGTGCGGTGGCTCATGCCTGTAATCCCAGCACTTTGGGAGGCTGAGGCGGGTGGATCACGAGGTCAAGAGATTGAGATCATTCTGGCCAACATGGTGAAACCCTATCTCTACCAAAAATACAAAAATTAGCTGGGTGTGGTGGGGTGCGCCTGTAGTCCGAGCTACTCGGGAGGCTGAGGCAGGAGAATTGCTTGAACCCGGGAGGCGGAGGTTGCAGTGAACCGAGATTGCACTACTGCACTCTAGCCTGGCTACAGAGTGAAACTCCATCTCAAAAAAAAATTATTTTTTTGCATATCTGAGGGAAAAATTTTCGTTTTTATTTTAATCTACATATTTCTAATTATAAACAAGATAGAGATTATGTTTTATGCTTATTTACCATTTATATATTTTCTTCTATAAATTGTTTATATCTTTTCCCCATATATTGTACTGTATGTATTTTTTCTGAGTGATTTATATTATCTTAACTCTTAACTATTTTATCTTAACTCTGAATATCTAGGATGAATTATCTTTTGTGGTCTTTGAAGCTTATAAAATTTGAGGCGTCAGCTGCAGGAGAAATAATGCAAAATTAAATAAGAATGTGACCATTCTTTGTTAGGCCTTTGCCACCACCCTAGGATGAACCACACAAGTGGGTGGCCCAGAGCTTTAGTGTCATTAAATGTTTCACGGTGAATCAGGCTCCTCTAGAGCTTACTCCTTTGTCACATTTGCAGCAAATATTTTCACTTTATTTTTTGTGTTTGTGTATCTGCCAATAATTTCCATGATAGCTTGTCCTCTAGGAAGAGGGACTGTGCTCTTGTCCCTTTTGAGTTTTGCAAGTTACCTGGGGTGTGGCTATGCCTAGCTGGCTTCCGTGCCCACTTTGCTGGTTTAGTGTGGGAATAAATGTGGTTGGCCTTAAGTGGTAGGGGTAACGAAATGATAGTATATCTCTCCTAAACACTTATTCCCAATCCTTACCCATTAAAACTGTCCCCACAACCCCACTGCCAATGTCTGTTGAGCCTGAGTTTTGAGTGTGTCAAATACGCAACACCACTACGTGGCCTGGCTGTTGGCCTGTGATTGCTCTGGACTTGTTTCTCCGTAGATCTGTTTGTTGTTGACTTCCAGGAGTGCTGTAAATGTTCTGCTTGGCTAAAGGCTTTTAGCTTTTATTTCCCAGTGCTAGTAGAGCTTTAAAAATATTTTTCTTTCATAATGAGCTTTTTAGGTGGGAAGGAAGTTGGCTGCCTTAGTCTGTTCTGTGATGCTATAAGAGAATACCTGAGACTGGGTAATTTATAAAGCATATACACTTATTTTTCACAGTTCTGGAGGCTGGAAAGTCCAAGATTAGGCACTGGCAGTTTGGGTGTCTGGCGAGGGCTGCTGTCTGTTTCCAGGATGGCACCTTGACCGTGACATCCTCTGGAGGGGAGGAGCACTCTTTGTTGCATGGCAGAAGAGCTGAAAAAAGCTAAGCACTCCTGCCAGCCCTGTTATGATGCCACAGGCCCATGCCTGAGTGGAGCCCTCACCACCTACACACCTCCCATCAGGCCCCACCTCCCAAAGACTGTTGCACTGGGGAGTAAATTTCAACATGAGTTTTGGAGGGGACAAAACATTCAATCCACAGTAGTGGCTGCGCATGTTCAGATTATCAAGTTCAGTCTTCTCTGGAGCTGACATTCTGCGAGAGAGGATAAACATGTTGCACTTTTCTGAGGTGAATACTTGGTTGGCAATGTGTGTGCCGAACCAGCAACTTCAAAAATCCTGTTTACCATAAAACACGGTGTATAATTTTACAGGAAATATATTTTATACCACAATCCAGTGCTTCTGTTGCCACACATACAATAGAAGTAAAATCATCATGGAAGAGGATTTACCTTTGCTCCATGCAGTACATTCTGATGTTTTCCCATCACTTCTCCTCCACATCCTATCCCAACTTGACCTCTCGTCTTCTGTTTATTCTATTTTAAAATATGAGTTACAACCCATTATATTGAATTTACAACTCACTAATGAGTCAGGTTCTGCAAGATGAAAAAAAGGCATAACTCTCTGAGAACATAGCCCCCCACTGAAGAGGGAAACGTGGTTTGTCTAAGGCCCCATGCCTTAGCTTAGAGACCTGTTGAAGCCCTCGCTCCCTGTCTCCTATCTGCTTTCTGTCCCTGCAGCCTCCTTGCTTCCTCAAATGTGCATCCCCTTTGCCACCCGGCCCCACTGCCCAAGCTCTGTAGATCAAATGAGGGACTCTTCTTTTGCAGGTCAATAACAAATTTCAAAAAGAGCTAGGCTGTTTTTTCTCCCTAATGTTGATTTTTTTAGAATGAGGAGGTTGAATTTCATTTAGGGGCGGCAGGACCCAGGAAAACCACCTCTGAGCCCGAGGCTAATTGATATTAGTTGATGTGGATCTGTAGAAAATAACACTCATGATGATAACAGGAAATAGTAACCAAAGCTCATGATGTGTCCGGTAGGGCATCTTCATGACAATTATTTCAGTAATAAACCCACTCAGGGTAGAAAGCCTGAGACACAGGGGAACTAATGGGGTTGAGAATGCAAGATCACTGTAAGGTCCTTAAAGCCAAGTGTGGTAAACTCAAGCTCAGCTTCATTTTTTAAAACTTAAGATGTTAACATAGAGCATTTTAATGTTTTATTCTTGCTGCCTTCCTCAGAAGGGAACATACAATGAATAACTGAGAGCCATTTGAAGTTTGCATATTGCTCCTGCTATTTCTTGGCCTTCCTCACTGCTCGACCTACCTCACCACTGGCCCCTGATCCCTGAGTCTTCCCGTCATGTTCCAGACTACCTTCCTCCCAGTGTCTCCCCTCTGCACTCTCTTCATTCCCTCCAGTCTCTGTGTGCATGCACAGAGGGTTAGGGTGAGGAGTAGTTATATTTTTTTGAAAATTTAAACTGGAATTCCAATGTTTGTAAATCCAGGGCCAGTTTTATCCTTAAGATTAGGTGAAGTAATGACAGGAGGGAAATGCTACACTGCCATGCAGCTCTGCCTCTCCCTGGCCTGTGATTTTGAGCAAGTCATTCCCACATTCTAAGCCTTCCATGATTTCTTCCTGTACCAATATGGGTACAAAATTAGGTAGGTGGGAGCATCTAGCTCAGGGTCTGATATACAGTGAATATGAAATTTAAATAATTATCCCCTTGGTCCTGCAGCCCGCAGGCTTCAGAGGCGCCTGTCACCCAGGCTGTGTGGTATCGTGCTATTTCTCTAGAGGACCATCTTCTGTGTTGCTCTCACCCGACTGCCCTGGTGCAGTCCTCCACTGAGGAGGGCCCACATCAGCAGCAGAGTTGCGGCAGGGGCACTTTGCCCTCACAGTGTAATACACCAACCCTTTAGTAGTGATTTTTGCATTTTTAACATTCTTTTTTTCAGGCTCTATATCATGGAGCACCTTGAGTTTTGGGCTCCAAAGTCAAATAGGGAAGCTATGCTTCATGGACTGAAAACAAAAATGGCTAGGATGCTGCTTGGGAGCATAGCTCCAGGCTGAGCCACACCAGAGCTGTCCTGTCCCCTCTGCAAGAGCCCAAGCTCATGTGTCATCATGATCCTCTGGAGTCAGGAGTCATCCAGCTCCAGCCCCAGACCAAACAGATGGAGATGGATATAAGCAAGACTGCAGGGTAAGATGCTGAGGTTCAGGAAAGGTCAAACCTCGCTAGATGAATGCTCGGCTCCTCCAGTGTTTATTTACTTTTACAGCATTGGCGGCACTTGATGAGGGGACCAAGACAGGCAGCAGCTGGTTGGGGCTTTTCCTGCCTTTTCCTCTGCTCTAACCAGGACACTCAGCCCTATTTCCAATTCCTCATAAGGAGAAGGATGTTTTTTGGCCAAAAAGACCTTTTATACCAGAATAAAATAGAGTCATGTCTTTAAACAGAAGGAAAAATCATGTTGCAACTAAGATTAACTACATTTTTAAGATTTCTTACATAGATGGACAGCATAAACTTATCTGATAATTTTACTTTCTTTACCTTCAAGATTTAGATTTCAAAAAGCCCTTTTATACGAATAATCAGTCCTCTGACTTAGCCCACTCTTCTTGTGTATCTCCTACGTGCCGGACCCCAGGCTGCAGGCAGGAGATTCAATGTCTCTCTCCTTAAGTAGCTCCAATGATGGTGTGTAAGACAGACGTAGCAGATAGTGCTGCATTTGAAAGGCATGATATGTCTAAAACACAAAACTACCAACTGCCCAGGGTTTGGGGAAGCTCCCAAATAGAACTCAAGGACTGAGTTTCAAAGAACAGTAGGCATTAGATAAGTGAGGAAAGAGGAAGAGGTGAGGATATTAGAAGAAGGGCAGGTACAAATGCACAGGGATTTGAGACCATGGAGTAAGGCAAGTTCAGGGATGTTTGGGACCCTGGTATCCAAGGAACACAGTACATTTGGAGAGGATTTCCATGCCAAGAAGCATCATAAAATATTGACTATCATGCCAAAGAACTTTAAGTTTATCCTGAGAGTGATGGAAGATCTAGCTGTAGAATTTGTAGAATTTCAAATAGGCCAATGCATTTTAGGACATGCATTTTATGAAGGAGGAGCATTCATATTGCAGTATCGACCAAAAAACGAGACGTGCTTGAACTAGGGTGAAGGTAGAAAGAAAATAGGAAAAGGGCAAATTTGAGAGATCCTGAGAGTGCTACGTTGACTCAACTCAATGGAAGGCTGATTGGGTCAGGCAGTGATCCTGTCTAGATCCCTGGTTCATGGTCTGTTGCACAGTGAAGTGCTTGGAGAACAAGGACAGTTTTGTCAACCCTTGGGGCCCTTGTTCCATCATAATGCTTGGCTCACAGTTGGAACTTAGAATTTGTTGCAGGAATCAAGGAATATCAGCTGCAGAAAATATATGAAGATCAGGTATGCTGGGAAATAAAATAATGTGAGAAAACATAGAGTTGAAAGTGCAGCGGGGGTAGGACTTACTGATCTCTGTTTTGGAGATCAGAAATGAGGAACCTCTAACATGGGGTGGTATTTGTAGGCAAATCTGGAGAGGAAAGCATGAAAGAAAATAGCTCAGACTAAGAAGTGGGTGGAAGTTGTAGACTTAGGAGTAAGCAGGAAAATTGGAGCATCCCTAAAAATCTGTCAAGAAACAGTCTAGGAAATAAGAGAAAAATAAGGGAAGACACTTTCAAAGGCCGAGGGAATAATGGGTCAGTTTGGTTTTCTTGATCCCCTAAGTTACAAGCATCAACGGAATTGGATGCAAAATCTCAGGTAGCTCAGAGGTGGAAGGGGTAGCTGGGAAACCAGACCCAGAAAGGGAAAGAGTCATGTTTCACCAAGTAAGGATCATTTCATTGGAGAAGTGGAGAAAAAGATGCAGTAGGTGGAGAGCTGGGTGAGGAGTGAGGTCATGAAGAGTTAATGTAAAGCTTTTCTCTGAAGCAAAAGAAGTTGAATCACTAGACAACAACTAAGGTTAATAGAAGTGTTTAACAGCTTTATTTATTTTATTTTTTTAAGGTGGCTATTTTGAACATTTTCATATCTTGAGGGGATGCACCAGAAGCAAGGAAGTAACTGTTGACAAAGTGAGACGGGTGAGTGGTTGGGTAGGGTCAAAGTCCCAAGGACACAGAAGCTGTGTAAGGATCAGCCTGGGGCAGGAAGACACTGACCTTTGAGATGAGGCATGCCAGGACAGAAGCACAAGATGTAGGGGACATACATGGAAGGACGCTTCTACTTAAAACCTCTGTTTTTCATGATCTGATATTCTCTCCACAAATGCACAACTCTTATCTTCATTTTACAGTAAGATTGAGGAACATTTCCAAGGCCCTGCAGCTGGTAATCATAGAAGGAGAAGATTCAATTGTATGTCCTTTGGCTTCAAATCCAGCAATCCAGTGAACTTTCAGAAACTAAAAAAAGTGTTAGGGTAGTGTGTGTGTGTGTGTGTGTGTGTGTGTGTGTGTGTGCATGTGTCTGTGTGTGTGCTTGTGTGCATATTAGATGCATTGTCAATAATTTATAATAAACCATTTTTTATGGGGCTTACATTTCTAAATTTATCTTTGAATCCATCCTTCGTGTTTGTATGTATGCTCAAATTAGTTTTTTAAATCAATGCTCTCATCAGGCCCATCCTTGGCCTAAAAACCATGAATTGTTTCCCATGGCCTGAAGAAGGAAGCCCATATGATACAATGTGGCCAACAGGGCCCTTCGTGATCTGGTTCTTAACTGACTCTTTCACCCTCACATTCCAATGATTCATCCAACCCTTCTGAGAATTAGAAAAGGCACTTTTTCCTCAAGATATTGTACTACCTTTTGACAGAAAACTGTAATAAGTTGATTTAAAAAATAGATTTGTTGAGACATAATTTACTTGCCAAAAAATTCACCCATTTTGTACATCCAAGTGTACAACGTGATGATTTTAGTGAATTCATGGAGTTGTGCAACCATCAGAACAATCTAAACACAACTATTTTATAGTACTTCTGATACCTTATAAATAAACCCTGTGCTTGGTGACAGTATATCTCTATTCACCTTTTCTTGTCATTTGTTGTAAAAAGAATTATATAACATGTGGTTTTGTGTTTGACATCTAGCAAAATGTTTTAGAGGATCATCCATGTTGTTACAGGCATCAGTAACCCATTTCTATTTTGTTGTTAAATAGTATTCCATTACATTTCATTGAATGGATATACCTTATCTTATTTTGTTTATCTATTCACCAGTTAATGGACATTTGGATTGTTTCCCTTTTTAGCTATTATGACTAATGCTACTCTGATTGTTTGCATACAAGTTTTGTGTGTTCATGTTTTCATTTCTTTTTGGTGTGGAGTACAATTGCTAGATCCTAAATTTATGTTTAATGTTTAAAAAAAATTGTAAACTCTTTTTCCTTGTGGTTGCACCATTTTTTATTCCCACCAGCAATGTTTAAGAGCTTCAGTTTCTCTATATCCTCACTAATACTTGTCATAATCCATCTTTTTAATTATAGCCATCCTAATGGGTGTGTAGTGATATATCTTTGTGATTTTGATTTGCATTTTCCAAAAGCTAATGATGTTGAACATCATGTTCTATTGATCTGTGTTAATTCCGCTACCAATACCACACTGTCTTGATTATGTAATGGTATGATAAACCTTAATATCAGGAAGAAAGCTTCCTTCACTTTATTATTCTTTGTCAAGATTGTTTTAACTTTCAGGGTCTGTACCTGTTCATATACAGGTTTTTTTTGTGTGTGTTTTTTTTGTTTTTTTGCCGGAGTCTTACTCTGTTGCCAGGCTGGAGTGCAATGGCACGATCTTGGCTCCCTGCAACCTCTACCTCCCTGGTTAAAGAGATTCTCCTGCCTTAGCCTCCCAAGTAGCTGGGACTACAGGAGTGTGCCACCATGCCCAGCTAATTTTTGTGTTTTTAGTAGAGATGGGGTTTCACCATGTTGGTCAGGATGGTCTTGATCTCTTGAATTTGTGATCCACCTGCCTCGGCCTCCAAAAGTGCTGGGATTACAGGTGTGAGCCACCGTGCCTGGCCCATATACATTTTAGAATAAACTTGTCTATATGTATAAAACACTTTGCAAAGATTTTAATAGAAATTGCATTAAGACTATAAGCTGATTTTGGGGGAATTTTCATCTTTACTATACTGAATTTTCCAATCCATGAACATGGTATGGTCTTCATTCATTTAGGTTTTTTTTGATTTATTTCATCAGCATTTTGTAGTTTTCAACCTACTAGTCCCGTACATGTTTGCTAGGTTTACACCTAAGTATTTCCTTTTTCTTAGCATTTATAAATTGCATTTTTATTTCTGTTTCTATGTGTTTTGTGGATTTGCACCATTATTCATTCTGTTTTTTGTACACTCAAAGATGGGCATCTTAGTGGGGAGGAGGAGCTGTAAGGAGGCCTGTGCTAGGAGTGGGAATATGTGGACTCAGGTCTTGCCTTTCCCTCCTCCTGGCTGGATCCTGGGCAAGGCACTGAGTCTAAGGTGGGGATTAATATTTACCTCAGTGGAACCAGAACAACACAAATTCTGTTTGACATGTAACTAATTATTGGTGCTTCCATCCTCCTTGGCAGACTTCCTTCCACTTTGAAATAGAAATCCATGTGTTCATCATAGTGCTTTGATGTGCCATTTTATAAATGAAAGACAAAGCCCATAGGGCCTGGTTTAAAAGGAGAAAGCAAAATAAAATTATCTATATCCTGACCTGCATAATAAATAAATACAGATTTGGACGTAGACAGTAATGAAATGAGGGATAGAAGAGGATTAAGCACCATAGTAGCCCAAGAGACATTCCATTCTTGATGTGAGGAAAGGAACAAAAAACACAGGGATATCTAGTACTCAGGTTTAAGTGTGTGTGCTCATTCTCTCCCTCTCTCTCTTTCTGTATCTCTCTCCCTCTCTTTCTGTCTTTCCCCTCTCTCTCCTTCTTTTTTTTTTTTGGTGGGCAAAAGAGAAGCGCCACCACCTGCGAGACAAAAGTAGGTAAAACTCCAGTTTTTTAAAAAATGAAATTGGAACTAAATAACATAAACAACTAGGAAGTGGCAAAAATCTTAGAAAATGCACAGAAATCATACCAACGTACTGTAACTCATCTAGGACAGATGACATGACGTTAATTGGCATCTATGTTTTCTAAGAAATACATGAGAAGTGTAGATGGAAGTGCTCACCTCTGCACTTCCTGTTGTGGTGTTGACATTCAAGGCAGCCTAAAAGTATAACCCAATCATGAGCTGGGTGATGAGGGCCAGGAGACAAACACTTTGTGACTCAGTTTCCTTATCTGTAATACAGAAAAACATATACATCAACTTCACAGGGATGTGTTGAGAAATAAATTAGCACAGTGCCTCACACATAGTACACATTTAAAAACTCTTAGCTACAGCTTATATTAAAATTAGATTCAGGTATCAGGGACATAGATTATTCTGTTGGGCATCTTCCAATTCATAGAGGAATGCCTGGCACATAGCAGGAGCGAGGAAGTGTTCAGAGAATGGCTTGAATGAATTAATGTGGTCAATTCCTGCAGTACATTAAACCCTCATTATCTTTGTGGAATGACTAAATTCTATCATTCTAAGTAGGCAATTAAGCTGAATTCTATAAATATTCATTTAAAATTTCAATAGCTGTTTATACGAGGCAGCCAAAACCCTCTGAAAATATAGACCTGAGTGATGAAGATGGTAAACATGCTCAGGACTATCTCAAATTACCTGCAGAATATTGTCCTTAAAATAGGCTTCTCCCACACTAAACTGCCCTTTCCTTTACACAACCTACCCTGTATAAAGGTTCCAACAGAAGACACATTTAAAACATTGCAGTTAATTTTAGCCAGACATCAATTCTATTTAAGGGAGACTTTCATATGCATCTTATTATTGCCTCTTAGCTGACCAAATCTTATTGTCAAAGATTCCTATAATATAATCACTTACAAACAGACTGAAAAAGTGAAGCAAAGTAGCCTGCAAACCCTGAGATAAGTGAAGTTGCCTAACACATGCCCTGTCTTTGACATTTGTTATTTAGAGGTTCTTTTAATGGTCAAAATATTTGCTTTTCCTTCAGACGCCTTCCAGGAGAGTTTATCTTAACACACAGAGACTAGCTGGGATTTTTAAGTGGAGCAAAGATTAGAGTCATACAAAGTTGCCTCTGTCTTTTCTCAAACAATTTTTTGTGTGTGTGTGGGGGAGGGCATACAAAGCAGCTGTAATATCATTGCAAGAGGCCTGATCACAGAGCATAGGAGATAAAGTGTGGGCTTCAGGTGGCTGTTAGCAAGTCCTTCACCCACGCTGGGCCTTGGTGACTCCCCAGGAGAACCAGAGAGCCTCTGACTTCCCTGTGTCTTTAAGTGCCAGGAGTGTAGAGAGGAGAGAATGAGGACTGAAATTTGGCAACTGCTTATGGTGTGCAAGCCCTCAGCAAATGTTCATCATGTAGTTCTTCAATTTAATTTTTAGAGCACCCTTGTGAAGTAGGTTCTAATAGAATGTCCACTTTACAGATGAGGAGAGATATCAGAGGTGCATTGGTGGTCAACAGGCCTGGAATCAGCCACATTAGCACAGAGCCAGTGATTGGGAAGCTAACACCAGATAGGAAAAAATCCAAGGAAAATTGTTCTATCCTCTCATATTCAGTTTTTAATTAAAGTAAAATGACCATAAAATGCAGGAGCTGCAATCTGAATCTCTAAGTGGCTAAGCATTATGCCGTTGACAAATTAACCTGGTTTTTCATGTTTGAAAATGAACTTGAGTGATGCCTTTTTACTTTCCTACAATATGATGCCAATTATCACTCTGCCCAAATAATAGAATCTACCAGTTTCCATTAAAATGCACTAATTCAGACTGTTTATTTTTTTAAGTCTTAATTGAAGAAATAGCTCACCTACAGTCATATCTTTCTTTTTCCAAGAAGACTAGTTGAAGAAGCTGCCTTTGGGTGAATCCGTCACATCTGGCAATATTCATTCCTCAGGCAGAAGAAAGGACATTGCATGCTTACCTTATTCTTCAGAGCGTGAAGTCCTCTAGTACTTTCCCCAAAGCTGCCCAGGTCAGGCTGTTAGATCACTGAGTATGGAGTCAGGAAGTTAGGGGCTCCACAGATCTCAGAGTTAGGGTTCCAAGATCCTGCCCATGCTCCAAGCCCAGTATCCTGCCAACATCCAACATTTGCATGTAGTAAGGCAGCCCTCTGTGGGGATCAAAGCCAGTTTCTCATCTGCCGCAAGCCCACTGCAGGTGGTTTCCTGATCAGCAAGGCAAGTTAACTCTCTCAGGATGTGAGGGCACTTTTCGTCCATGGCAGTCATAGAACTAAAAAGAAAATCTAAACTTTTAATTTGCCAATTAAAAATAGGAGAAAATATTTATGAGACTTTGTCTATGTCTTCAGATAAGTTTTAAAATTGTGTAACCTCTCAAATCAAATGCTCAGTTTAAATGTGAGAGGGAAGACAAGTGCTGGACTGAGAGTAGAAACAACACGATCTGCCACTTGACTTATAGATCCACGTACGTTACCCATGCTGGGCCTCGGTGACACCCCAGGGGAATCAGGGAGCCTGTGACTTCCCTGTGTCTGCAAGTGTCAGGGGTGGTGGAGAAGAGAGGATGAGGCAGCCCCCGACACAGCAGCCCCTCCCCAGCACTGAGTGTCAGGAGCGGCCGGTGTGCCATACCACAGAACATGCTTCCCATGAGCTATCAAGGAAAACACTTGGGGGAGCATAAAATATCAAACTAGACTTTAGTATCATTTTTATTGGATTTTAAGTGAAACAGAACCAAAAGACCAAAATAAAAAATAACCAAATTTTTACAAATCTTTCAATGAAGATATGTCCATTTCATGTACTTTATGATGCCTGGCATCATAACGAAACTAAAAATAGGAACACACAGCAAGGCCCAGGATCCCCCCCGTAAAGATCAGGCTCTTTACCGGGGAGATCTTGGGCCTCATTGTGGGTCCCTGCATGGCCCAGGTAAAGGTCAGGCTCTTGGCCAGGTGCAGTGGCTCATGCCTGTAATCCCAGCAATTTGGGAGGCCGAGGTGGGCAGATCACCTGAGGTTAGGAGTTTGAGACCAGCCTGGCCAACATGGCAAAACCCTATCTCTGCTAAAAATACAAAAAATTAGCTGGGCGTGGTGGGGCATGTCTGTAATCCTAGCTACTAGGGAGGCTGAGGCAGGACAATTGCTTTAACTGAGGAGGCGGAGGTTGCAGTGAGCCGAGATTGCACCATTGCACTGCAGACTGGGTGACAAGAGCGAAACTCCATCTTAAAAAAAAAAAAAAAAAAAGATCAGGCTCTTTCTGAACTTATGATTTAGGCATCACGAAGCAACCTCTGGGCCCACATGTCTACCCATAACCACAATTGGAAGAGGGTTTAATTTAAGACTTAATGAAGACAAGAAAAATAGAAAGAAAGAAAGAAAGGAAGAAAGGAAGGAAGGAAGAAAAAAAGAAGAAAGAGAAAGAAGAAAGAAAGAAAGAAAGAAAGAAAGAAAGAAAGAAAGAAAGAAAGAAAGAAAAGAATGACCTCAGTGGAACCCCATGATCTTGAGTCTTAAATGTTTATCTGCACAATATGGTCAGCCCAGGCCGAATCAATGAATACCTCATGATAAGAAGAGGGCCTCGATACCCTGGCCCTCCTTGAGGCCCTGTGGGAGCCCTTTTCCTGTGTGAACCAGAGATCAGCTTCTGTTGTGGTCCAGGTATGTGCCTGACAACCCCAAGCTTGTGCAATCATTCTGAGATGCTATTAGCTTCTTATATCTGGGAAACATCAACAGTTGCTACAGTAATTCAAATGTGGACAAATTGTCAATAATAAGAGGGTGGTACCTGCTATCAGTCACTTCTCATTTAATGCCTGCCATATGTTTTTGGCTAAAAGGAAAAGCTTTCCAATCGTGGGAGATGCCTACTTGCCTCTTGGGGCTCAGGGGCACTGGCTTGGCTTCTGTTCTTGCTGCTGCTCTTGGTGGTGTACTGATGCTAGGGCAGTGACATCTGCTACTGCTGCCTTCTGCCACGTGCGGCTGTGAGAGTCTGCATCTGATGTGCTCTATGCTGAATGAGGATGCTCAATGCATTCCATTTCCTTTCCCTCAATGCTCTATTATAGTGATAGATGTATATACAATACACCTATGTGTTATAAACCCAACAATACCATGTAATAATCATTAGGAATATTTTAAGCAATCTTATGCTTTCTAAAGCACATACTTATGAAGAGAAAAAAATCTATACATTTTTTCAGTCCGTTGGATGTACCTGCATAACTCCTGATGGTGCACTTCTTCTGTTTGTGGTTTGGACTGCTGTCTTTCTGGGGTCCTTTCCTTTTCACTTGAAGGACTTCATTTAGTGTTCCTTCTAGGTGGGTCTGCTATCTCTGAGCTCTCTCTGTCATGGTTTATCTGGGGATGACTATAATTTTCTACTATGAACAGTGTTGAAAATAACTAGTGCTTCTACCTCCTCGCGTCTTGGCTCCCTTCCTTTTATTCTCAGTGAATGCCACAAGGCATCTGAGAGCCAGTTTGACCTTCCCGGAGCCCTCCCATGAGCCCCCCGTTTATGAGAGTTGCTAGAGCTCAGAGCACTCTGTACTCTCCTCTCCATTTTCATGATCATTCAGTGCTAGTCAATTTTGTTTTAATCTAGACTTTCTTGTCCGCCACTTTCCCTGCTGGGCTCCACTGGGCTCCTACTCCCAGAGGCCTTGGCTCAGTGTCTTCTGGCATTGTCCTGAGTGTCACTGATTTGTGAGATTGCAGGATTCACAGGCAGGGACTGCAGTAGCCCATCTGAATGGTAGGGACGTCTCTCATTTCACCCACATATCCGAGCAGGGAACCTCATTCCTTTGGACTGCTCTTGGCAGGCCTGCACCCCGTTTCTCCAAAGAGAAACTGATAGATGGTGGGTTCTCTGCTTCCCAGGCCCTTCAAGAACCCCCTCTCCTCTCTTGTTTCCCTGGCTCAGGGCTTTGCTATGTTGGGCAGTGTCCTCTCCTGCTTCTGTGTCAGGGCTTATCTGTTTTGCTGGGCACATAGTCTGTGGTTTTTAGGTTTGCTGTCGAGTCCCACTGGATGTGTTCTTAGGGGGCCTCCAGGAAATCCAAGAACTTGTCATTGCTGCTGTTTCCTGTGATTCTGATCTGTCCCCAAAATGTTTTCAGTTCTTATCTTTGTATTTTTATCTATATAATCAAATATACAGATAAATTGTTTTATTTTTTTCCAGTCAAACATTGATATTTAATGTCCCACTATATGACAATAACTTCCTCAACAGTGTTGAATCATCATGGTGGCATTGGGCATGTCTCTCTTTCTGTCATATTCTTCACATTAGTGAGAATCATCTAATGTTTCCAAGTTAAGAGCAACGGCTTTGAAATGGGTATTCTTCTTTGTGTTAGGCAAAATGTCATTTTGTTCCTAGTCTTGACGTTTGAATTCTATTTACTATTAATTTAGCATCTCAATCACTATTTTGTGAGACTGGTTCTACAGGTTTTCCTTTCTGGTCTACATTGGTTATAGTTTGATATCAGGGTTAAGTTTGCTTGGAAAAATAAGTGTTTTTTGATGTTATATTATGGAAGAGTTTTTATGTTTTTAAAAAATATAGGTGAATTTAATGTTTTGAACTCCTAGTGACTAAAATCACTTTGGAGACTAGAAATTTCTCCTTGGTCCCCCTTCTTAGTTTCGATTATTATTTCTTCTAGGTCTTTGAGAATCATATAATTGCAAATTATAAAGCTATTTAGAATAATGAGGAAGCACAAGCATTATTTCTATACCCATAGGGAATTTAAGCTGATTCATAGCCCTGCAATGCAAGTATCTGCTTATGTTACAGATGAGAAAACTGAGGCTGAGAGAGCTTTAATGACTTGTTCATTAATGACTTGTTCATAGAGAACAGTTGAGGAAAACTGGTGCATGAAGCTGAATCTTTTGACTGCAAAACCTGCCCTCGTTTCTCCTGCATCCAGCCCAGTCCAGTGGCTACTGTTTATATTAATTATTATTTCTTCCAAGTTGTTAAAGGAAATAGCTCAAAGAACAGTACATTCTTGATCGTAGTGAAGTTTCCTTCCAAGCCTTTCTGAATCGTGCAGAATGTTTCCCTGATGTTGCCACGAGTAAGCACAGCTCCCAGGAGCGGTGGCCGCAGGCTTGTTCCCGTGTGAACGATCTGGTCCTGTTTCATGGGGTTGGTCTAAGTTCTCCCAGGCATTTGTTGTGTCTGAGGCTTCAAACTAAGTGGCCCATTTCCCAGATATGTTGTTGGCAATTCCCAATATTTTTCCCCTAAGTCAGAAGTTCTGTCTGCAACTTTTTCTGGATTTCTTCTCTTGGCATTTTCCACAGCATTCTAGTTTTTACTTGCCATAGAAAACCACTGTGGTCAGACAGCTTTTCACAACTCTCCCTAAGGGTCGCGACCAGAAATTTCCTGGGCAAGGCCATTGTTTTCTCATGGCGCATCACTGCTGAACATGGGCCGAGGTCGGGCAAAGGCAGGGGAAGCTTTGCGGATTGGAAATGCCATAATGGAAAGCAATGCCTGTGCATATTGGTCAGCAGAGACTCCGGCAAGGGGGTCATCCCTCCCAGAAAGCCTTGTCTTCTTGAATGGCTTCCTGTGCTGCCCAATCCTACATGCCAGGGAGACCTTTTTGGGGGTACCAGAGTCTTTCACAGCTTCTTGAGCAGCTTTTCCTAATACCATGATCAATGACTTCTATCACATGCACTCATTTAAAGTTGACATTGCTTAACGGTTCTCTGTAGTAGCCTAAAGAGCACATAATTTGAAGTCAGATGATCTCAACCAGTTCAAGCTGTTGTAATAAAGTAATCTAGACAGGGTGGCTTATAAACCACAGATGTTTGTTTCTCACAGTTCTGGAGGCTGGAAATCCGAGATCAGGGAGTCCGCAGGGTCGGTTTCTGGTGAGGGTTTTCTTCCACTTTGTAGACTGCCATCTTCTGGCTGTGTCCTTATGTGGTGGAAAGAAGGTGAGAGGGCTTTCTGGGGCCCCTTTTATAAAGGTGCTAATACCATTAGTCGGGCTCCATCCTAATGACCTAATCACCTCCCAAAAGCCTCACCTCCTAATGCAATCATATTGGGGGTTAGGATTTCCGCATACGAAATTGAGGAGGGAGACACAGTCAGTCAATACCATCTGAGATCAGTTTCTCATTGCTCCGCTAGCTGTGTGACCTTCAGAAGATCATACAAGGTCTTTGAGCACCAGCTTATTTATAAGCGCACTGTGCACAACACCCGCTGGTACTCAACATGAGTTGATGAATGAAAAAAAGTATGCCTCATGGAGTGCTTGTTAAAATCACTCAAAACAAAAACTCCAGCAGTCCTGGCACAAATGCTTACCATGCTAAAGAAGCGGGAGCAAGACAGGATGCTTTAGGGAGTGCCTAATCCCCATACTCATGATCTCTGCCTTCTTGTTCATATTGACGTTAATGTAAATAGTGCAACCAAGACATTTCTTTTGACTTACTTATGTGGGGACAAGTTTTCAACGGTTGGCCTGTAGTAAGCGCCCAGCACCTATGAGCTGCATGCACCCTCTCTCCCCATTTTCATTGTGGTTCTCACAGGTACAGGGTAGGCAGCCTTATGCAGAACCTCTTCATTAAAAATTTTGCAACTCAGTCACACTTAGGATTTGAGCCAACGTCTTCAGAATTAAAATATTATCACATTTACGCACCAAACAAAACAACTCTAAAAGCAACTTTTAGTGATGTTTTACAAAGCATAATATTTTTGTTTCTTTCTTAGGAAGTTCCTGTAATTCTTAAACACTTCAAGAACTCTATGGTTTACTTCTTGTTATTTTGTTAATTGTGTCCTGGATACGGTTTATATGTGGAGTGCAAACTCAATTGTACACTTCAGTTTATTGATATGTGAACAAAGACTTGATTGCTGATATGAGGGTTTGTCGGGAATTTATTTACACATTGAGATCCTTACACAGCATGAGCTGTGAAGTGCTCAAGGGTTCTTTCCTTCCATCTAACTCAGTTGCAGGGGGGTTAACGAATTTCAGAAGAGTTATATGTAATTTAATTTTCTCGTTTCATAGACAATCTAGAAAAAATAGAAAAAATTTTCAAATATATTTTTTAAACTTTCTGATAGATCAGCCATTTTTCCATATTGTTTTTTTCTAGATTAACTTATTCTATAAATAAAAGTTAAAATAGTTTTGCTTCTAGGTGAACATCCTAATATTTTAAAGATATTTCATTTACTTATTTATTACTATTTATAAATCCTATTCTGATTTACTCTCATAACCTTCTCTGGACAAAGAATGTGTGACGTGTACAGCAAGGGGCATGAGATGGGAAATGACCTCGGGCCTGCCCTTGTCTTATAGAATGGGTCAGCTGGTAATAATAGTGCAGTCATTCCATCTGTAAGCCTGTCTTGAAAGGCAAGTAACAGAAGAGTTAATTAAGTGCCTGGATCAATTAAGATCTTGATCTCCTCGCTCAGCAGTGCTGAGGCGAGTGAGGCCAGGGGAGCTCGAAGCTCCACTCCTGGGGCTGTGAGTTGGTGGATTTATGACACCCCCTAGAATAGTGGCTGACAGCATAGTCACAGGAGCCAGATGGCCAGAGCTTGAATTTGTGATCAACCCCTTATCAGCAGTGTGATTGTGACATGTTACTCATCCTCTTTCTCAGTTTCTTCCTTTGTGCAAGGAGTTTTATGGGGCCCCCGAGCAGCTTCCAGGAGTTGTTAAGTAAAAGGCCCCTTTGTATAAAGAGTGCTCTATGAGTGTTAAATCCCACAGCCACTTGGCCCTGCAAGCGGCTCGAGGCACAGGCAGGGAGGGTCCCCATTCATGCAGGGGCTGGACCATGGAAGGGTAAGAAGGGTAAGCTGGGCTCTGTGTGCAGCCCTGTGGTTTGCATGCTCAGAAGACTGCTCTTCTTCTCTAATCTGGCACCGCGTTGTGAGCTTGACTTCATGCCTGGCAGTATTTTTAATCTTGCAGAAATCCTTAAATTTTGTCAAGGCATCGTTTTCAAGTGAACAAAAAATCCTTAAGCACATGTTGTGGTGCTTATCATCAAGGTCTGTGCTCAGTGCTGAAGCCTGAGGACAACTGGATGATCGAGGCATATTTCTAACCCTCCCTTGCCTCCTAGTGTAGTGCAAAGGTAGGCAAGGGAAGCATTATTTCCATGTAGGAATGTTATAGAAAGGGGTAGCAGTCAGGAAGTGTAGTGGGGGTAAAACATAGGAAGACAAAAGAGGAAGAGGAGAACAGGGGCAGAAAAGCATGTTTCCTCCTCTCCCTTTGCCTTCAATTACAAGGTCCCCGTACCTGTGAAGTCCATGTGTCAGACTTCAAAGTATCCAGGACTTGAATACTAGGGGAGAATACTTCAGGGACAAGTCCCCTGTTGCTTCCGGAAGTACTGAAGCTCATGCTCACTTTTGAGGCTGACGGATCCATGACCAAGACTAACCCATCCCCATCGCCAAGAGTGCTGATCAGGAACATCCTCAGCCCAGGAATTTGGTGTAATGGGGAAATTAAATTTCTAAGAAGTATATCACTGGAAAGAGATAAGGAGGAGATGAAGACAGAGGCAAAGTCAAAAGACAGAAGGAAAAGAGGTAAAAAGTCATTATGTTGGGACTCTGGATTTGAACATGATGTCAGGATAGAAAATTTGGACCAACTTTCCCTTGGAGGACAATAGAAAGGCTGCACAAAATCCTTAACCAGGTCACTCCAGCTGCTGAGTGGAGAACATGCTGTAGTGAAAGAAGAATGGAAGCAAAGTGGTAATGTATGGGCTTATTTACTAGGCCAGGCAAGAAATAACAGTGACTTGAACCATAATGGTAGCAATGAAAATAAATATTTGAGAAATAATTGTCAGGGTTTGCTAACACTGAATGGAGAGTAAGCAGAGTAAGAATTACTCCTGATTTTTAATTTTGGTCACACAGTTGAATGGTGGGGACATTTAATAGGGAGAGGATCTTTTTTTACTTCTAATTTACCGTATATTTTTAAGGTTCACAACATGATGTTTTAAAATACCTAGACACACTGAAATGATTACTACAGTTAAGCAAATTAACTTCTCCATCTTCTCACAGAGTTACCCTTTGTATGTGAGTGTGGTAAGAGCGCCAGAATGCAATACAGTATTATGAACTATAGTCCTCCTGTACATCAGATTCCTAGACTTATTCCTCCTACACAGCTGCAACTCTATGCTCTTCAACATGCATCTCACCTTCTCCTACCTCCTTACCTGTGGTAACCTCTATTCTACTCTCTGTCTCTGAGATCAACTCTGTTAGATTCCACACGTAAGTGCAATTATGTGGTATTTTTCTTTCTGTGTCTGGCTTATTTCACTTAGCATAATGTCCTCCAGGACCATCCATGCTGTGTCAAATGGCAGGATATACCTTTTTTTAAAGGCGGAATAATATCACTCTTCCATTATCTACTCCTCTGCCAAAGATTGAGAAAGAACAGGTTTGGGAGAAGCTCAGTTTGAGGCAAGTTTGTTTTGAGATGCCGGAGGGATCTCCAATGTAGTTGTCAAATAGACAGTTGGACCTTGTGTTAGTCAGCTCAGGCTGCCATAACAAAATAGCACAGACTGTGTGGCTTAAACAACATAAATTTATTTTCGCATAGTTCTGGAGGCTGGAATTCTGAGATCAAGGTGTGGGCAGTGTTGGCTCCTTCTGAGGCCTCTGGCCATGGAATGCAGATGGTCATCTTTTCTCTGTGTCTTCACATGGTCATTCCTCTTTGCTCGCCCATTTCTGTGTCTCTATGTGTGCCCAAATCTCCTCTTGTTATAAGGATACCGGTGATATTAGATTAGGGCCCACCCTAACAACCTCATTTTAAGTTAGTCTCATCCTTAAAGGCCCTATCTCCAAAGCCATGAGAAGGAATATAATCATTCAAGAATGGGGGGTGGAGAGAGAGAGAGAGAGACAGAGAGAGAAAGAGAGAGAGAAGAAGAAGAAGAGGAGGAGGAGGAGAAGAAGAAGAGGAGGAGGAGGGAGAGGAGGAGAGGAGTAAGGAGAAGAGAAGTAGAGGAGGAGGAGGAGGTGGAGGGAGAGGAGGAGTAGAGGAGGAGGAGGAGGAGAAGGAAAACTCCAAGAGTTTACTTATGCCCTTATAATATAATTATGATCTTTATGAGCATTATTTATCATTCTTTATGAACTTTACTATCAGGTAAAGAAAGAGGGTCTCCACTCACAGACAAAAGAGGAACAACCAGAGATATAGAAGGTAGACAAGCGGAAATGTTGTGCCGTGAAGTGCAAGAGAAGCCTCAGAGAAATCCAAGAGAATGCTCTGAGAAAGTGCTATTGGACAACTGTGTCAAATTCTGCCAGGAAGTCTAGAAAAGTTTCATGGATTTAGTAGCATGGAAGTAATTGCTGCTTTGGCAAGAACACTTCCTATAGGACAGTGGACACAAAAAGATTAAAAGGATGAACATTGTGCAAAGATATGGTAGACTGGACATGTGAAAACACTGCTAGTACAGAATACCTAAAATACTTGTGAAATACACATGCTTATTTTAAAATAATGTCTGAATAGGTGGGAATGTTAAGTAAATCCTCAGATGCTAAAGGCGATGAGAAAAATAAGATCTAGGGTGGTGAAATGTGAACAGTGCTGGGAGTTTACTTTAGTAAGAACTCTTGATTCTGGGTTAACTTGCTATACACATGGCCCTATCTCCAAAGCCATGAGAAGGAATATAATCATTCAAGAATGGGGGGGTGGAGAGAGAGAGAGAGAGAAAGAGAGACAGAGAGAGAGAGAAGAAGAAGCAGACGAAGAGGTGGAGGAGGAAGAGGAGGAGAGGAGGGAGAGGAGGAGGAGAGGAGTAAAGAGAGGAGAAGTAGAGGAGGAGGAGGTGGAGGAAGAGGAGGAGTAGAGGGGGAGGAGGAGGGGGAGGGAGAGGAGGAGTAGAGGAGGAGGAGGAGGTGGAGGGAGAGAAGGAGTAGAGGAGGAGGAGGAGGTGGAGGGAAAGGAGGAGTAGAGGAGGAGGAGGAAGAGGTGGAGGGAGAGGAGGAGTAGAGGAAGAGGAGGAGGAGGTGGAGGGAGAGGAGGAGGGGGAGGGAGGCAAGAAAAACCCAAGACTTGCCTGAGTAGAATGAGAAACCAGATACCCTGTACAGGCCAGGCTGCCAGAAGAGTAACAGTTGCAGGGGTCAAGTTATAGAAATGGTCCACCCTTCAGATGGAGATATGGGATGCATGCTTGATTTGGTCTTGACTTTCAAACCGGGTGGGGAAAAAAATAAGTCATCAAGAAATTCCATTCTGATTTTGTGTAGGCTAGTGCCTACATTCATTCTCTGTGCACCCTGAAAACTAAGCTAAAATTCAATTTAAGATTGTCCTGTGCTAGTAGTTTCTTGGTAAAAAACATATTCTCTTCGAAGGAAGACATTGGCCTTACAAGATTCACAGGATTTTTACACATAGAATTCTAAAGAATATGGTTTTACAATTAAAAAAATTATAAGGAGGAAGAAAGAAATCACCATAAGCAAGTGTCAAGAGAAACATCAATTCATAGAATGATAGCTGTGGAAAAGTCAGATTTTGTCATTTTTAAATACAGAATATGAAATAAATGTGTTTGGCTAAACAAATTATGGATATTGAAAATATGATGATGAGCAGAGACACACATGTTAAGGCAGATTTTAAAAAGATCAACATAGAATATTTAGAAATAAGATATTTCCCATGCCCTCTATCTCCATTAATTCATATTTATTTTATTTCATCCTACTGGTACTCATTTTGAAGAGTTAAAAGAAAACTAGAGATACAAAATTTCAAAATCTACAACATGTAATTTAAGTATAGATAGCCTTCTTCTCAATATAATAGCATATATGGGTGCATTTAAAATCTTTGAGGATTCATTATTTTCGGGATTTGTGTTACACTAATCAATATGCCTGAATTCATTCCTTCCCTGAAATTTTAAAGAAATGTGACATAAAGCAAAACTTTAGTTATGTTTTTCTTATTTATTTGCACTTGAATGAGCTTACTAATTTAAGGAAAATTTAACTTTTTTGAGCTTTTTAATGTTTCTTTAAATATTCTATTTTAAATAGAAGTTATGTTTTGCCAAAAACAAATAACTAAATATGAAAAGATCCAGATTTTATTCAAGATTTCAGAAGCAAAAATTAATTGGTGAAATGTTTTTTGGCAAAATATGTTTTTTTTTTAAAATTTTATTCCAAATTAAAGAGGGTTACACTGAAAAGAAAGAATGTGTATTTGGATGACAGTCTGGATGACAAATATGGAGCAAATTCCTCCTTGCCTTCCTAAAACTCTTTCTTTTAGAAGCTACATTCTTCTCTTTAAGACTTGCTGCTATTTGCTCCATTCTTAATATTTGATTCTTTTCTTGTTTTAAAAAAACCTATTATTTTAAAAATTATTTTTCATTTATTTTATTATCGTTTTTAAATGTTTCCCTTCTTCACAAATATATCTGCCTTAGTCCATTTGGGTGTCTCTAAGAAAATACCGTAAACTAAGTAGCTTATAAACAACAGAAATTTACTTCTCAGAGTTCTGGAGGCTGGGAAGTCCAAGATCAAGATGCCAGCAGTTTGGTTTGGGTGTCTGGTGAGGGCTCATTTCCCCTGGTGAGGGTTCATAGGCAGCACCTTCTCGCGATGTACTCACGTGGTGGAAGGGGCAAGGCAACTCTCTGGGGCTGCTTTTATAAAGGTGCTAATTCATCTTCCATTCATGAGGGCTCTGCCTTCATGACCTAATTACCTCCCAAAGGCCCCAACTTCTAATATTTCATATTGGTGATTGGTGAATTTTTAGGGGATACAAATAGTCAAATCATAGCATTCCATCCCTGGCTCCCCAGTATGCATGTTCTTTTTACATGCAAAATGCATTTATTTCATCCTGATAGCCCCCATGTCATAACTCATTCCAGCAACAACTTTAAAGTCTAAGTCCAAATTCTCAGTGAAGCGTCATCTAAATCAGATACGGGTGAGACTCCAGGAACTATTCTTCCTGAGTTAAGCTGCTCTCCAGCTGCGAATCTGTGAAATCAAACAAGTTATGTGCTTCCAAAATACAATGGTGGGGTGGACATCGGATAGGCATTCTCATTCCAAAAGAGAGAAAAAAATAAAGGGTTAACAAGTTCCAAGTCCAAAATCCAACAGGGCAAACAACATGAAATCGTAAAGCTCAAGAATAAACTTCTTTGACTCAATATCCCATCTTCTGGATGCACTGGGGTTGGCATTGGCCCTGAAGGCTCCAGGCATCCCCACCCTCAGACCTTTGCTGGTGCAGCCCAAGCCACAACTCTCATTGGTTGCAGCTGGGTGCCTGTGACTCTTCCAGGCTGGAACCACACTCTGGTGAGTGAAAGAGTGAGACCCTGTCTCTAAAACATTAAAAGTAAAATAACTAAATTAATTAAAATTTCATTCTTAAATCATTTCTCACTTCTCACATTTTATTAGAAGACCTTAAGAGAAGCTAAGCCATACCTTGAACACTTTGTTTAGACATTTCTTCAGCCAAATATCCTATATCATTGCTTCAAAGTTCTATCTTCTACAAAACACAAGGACACAAACACGAGTAAACCAAATTATCTGTGGCTTCATAGCAAGGATCGCCTTTCCTCCAGTTCCCAATAATATGTTTCTCTTTTCCGTCTGAGACCTCATCAGAATGATCTTTACTGACCATATTTCTACTAACATTCCATTCTTAACCACTTCAGTAATCTCTAAGAAGGCTGAGGCTTTCTCTACAGCACTCCTCTTCTGCACCCTCACCAAAATTGCCCTTTACAGTTCATTAACAGCAATACAGGCTTTTCTAGCATATGCTTCAAAACTCTTCCAGCTTCTACCTATTACCCAGTTCCAAAACTGCGTCCATGTTTTAGGTATTTGTTGCAGCAGCATGCCCACTTCTTGGCACCAATTTTCTTTTTAATTTGTTTGGGCTACTATAAGAAAATACCATAGACTGGGTGGCTTACAAACAACAGAGCCTTATTTCCCTATTTCCCACAGTTCTGGAGCCTGGGAAGTCCTAGGTGAAGACACAGACAGATTTGATGTCTAATGAGGGCCTGCTTCCAGGTTCATAGACTGAGTATTCTCCCTGTGCCCTCATATGGTGGAAAAGGCAAGGCAGCTCTCTGAAGTCTCTTTTAGAAGGGGACTAATCCCACTGTGAGGTTGGTCCTGCCCCTACGGCTCCATTGGGCATTGCTCTAGTGGGGGCTCTCTCTGGTAACCCCATCCTCGTGGTGTCCCTCTGCCTGGATCATCCACCCAAAGCTCCCGGAAGTTCCATCTTCAAAATCTGGGTGGAGGCCACTATGATCTTATGACTCATGCACGATGTGTACTGGTGGAGATGGCCCCACATAATGACACCTATGTTTACCACTTGTGCTCCCTGGTCGGATGAGACCATGGCCTGTGCTGTGTCATTTACAGCAATACAGGCTTTTCTAGCATACACCTGAAAAGGCTTCCAGCCTCTGCCAATTACTCCCTTTCAAAACTGCTTCCACTTTTTAGATATTTACGTATCTAGGCAAAGCCCTTACGAACTAGTCACCTCTAAAACACCCCACCACCTAATATCATCAGCTAAACAGTTAGAATTTTAACATATGAATTTTAGGGTTACACAAACATTTAGGCCAGGCAATATCCATTTTACGTTTAAGTACAAATGTGTTTTTTGTTATTGTGGTATTGAATTACCTTATTTGTCAATATTTGTTCGTTTCTTTTCATGCATCTCTTTCTCTGCATGTGTTCATTTAACTACTGAAAACATTTACCTAGTGGGGAAAATTTCCAGTAGACTCCACTACATTGTTTGCAGTGCTGCTGCATCATTAGATGTACTGTTGGATATTTCAAGCATTTAACTGATTCTTACTTATTTCTAATTTTTAGTAAAGACTGGTTCTGCCAAGATGTCCTGGCCCTTTATCACTGCAGTGGTCAGCCCTTACTGCTCCCTTACAAACCTGAAAATCAAGCCTCCTGAACGTTCTCACTAACCATTTACAACAGCTTCAAAACTCATCCCCATGTACAATCACGCCTATCTGCCAAAGCATTTTCCTTTGGTTTCTCCAGTGAAATGTCTTCAGTTCTCGCTAAAATTCAAGTGCTTCCTTTCACCTTCCTGGCCCTGCTGGCTGGGTGTGTTCTTAGCTCTACCTTATAACTTTCATCAAATAAAAATTAAATCCAGTCTTAGACAACAAAAAACCATATTCAAGAGGATTGTTGCAAAAGAGAAAGGGGATTATTAAAATAGGTGGAGGGACTATTGTAATGGGAGAAGGGAACTGTTACAATAGGGGGAGTGAGCAATTGTGGTAGGAGTGGGGAGCCATTTGAATAGGAAAGATTTTGATTATAAGGTCTGCAAGAGTCTTAAAGGTCAGGCAGAAGGGAGCTGTCTTTTACAGGGAGGATTAATAAGGCTTGAAAGAACCTGACGTGGGTACGTAGGATGAGCAAGTGATTGAACAGTTGATCGGGGAATGTATTTCCCTGAGATCAGCCAATTGTTGGGAGAGGTTATTAAAGAAAGAGGGTCTGTTTCTCATTCCAATGTTCAAAGCTGAATGGGCCAAAGTTTAGGGACCTGGGGAAGGAGGTCCTGACTAAAGTTGGTTAAGTCACTTTAGCAGGCATTGTGTCTAGTTTGGTCAGTGGGGTCACAGAAGAATGTTCATTTCCAGGAACACAATGAGCCATTTTCTGGAACAAAAAGGATGGATGGAGGAATTTCTTTCCATGATGACAATTTTATTTATTTATTTATTTATCTATTTAAGTTTTAAGTTCAGGGGTACATGTGCAGGTTTGTTGCATAGGTAAACGTGTGTCATGGGGGGATTGGTGTGCAGATTATTTCATTACCTGGGTATTAAGTCTATTACCTATTAGTTATTTTTCCTGATCCTCTCCCTTGTCCCACCCTCCACTCTCTGATAGGCCCCAGTGTGTGTTGTTCCCCTCTATATGTTCAGGTGTTCTCATCATTTAGCTCCCACTTATAAATGAGAACATGCGGTATTTGGTTTTCTGATCCTCCATTAGTTTGCTAAGGATAATGGCCTCTGGCTTCATCCATATCCCTGCAACGGACATGACCTCATTCTTTTTTTTATGGCTGCCTAGTATTCCATGGTGTATATGTACCACATTTGCAGTTTTCCAGGAGCAGACGTAGGTAAAGTGTAATAGCATCACTTTCTTACGCCACCAACCACTACATCTTACATTATTTTTACTTATACGGATAGTTTTGCTTGTTCTTTTCTCTTCTATTGAGCTGCAAGGAGAAAGAATACAGTTCTTGGCTTCTGGCAGACATGCATTTGGATTTCATCCTTTCTGTTTCCCATTTGTGTATCCCCAGGTGAGACATTTCACCCATTGGTCAAGCTATGATAATGTAGCCTGTGTTGGCCTTAGTCTCTCTGTTTACTCCTACCTTACCTTTCCACTGTGGGCTCCCGAAGGCCAGTCTTTCTTCCTGAACCCTAACTTAAGGAATACGAATTACCCTTTTTCCCCTTTTCCCCCTTTTTTCCCCTTCTTTGAGGGAGGCATTAAGCCTCACTCACTCTTATATTCACACCAACCGAGCATATGTTCTGCACATAGGATGTTTGAGACCCTGCTCTTCCCATAGAGTTTTCTTCTTGATATTATTAATTCTATATGTGTAATTTGTCTTTCTTTAACGAAGCATTCAAAATAATACAGGTTTGATTATTTTATTGAAGTAAACTGACTTTTTTTTTTGATAACTGTACCCTTTGGCCTTAGGGTAATGTATAGGATTCCTGTGGAGTATAATGGCTGAAATATTGGATGATATTTAATTAGAACAAATCACAGAGTGTTGAATTAAACATTTTCTATCCAATACCAATATGATCTTTTACCAGCTTGCTTCAAATGAATATAATCTGTATCTCATTCTTTAGAACTTACGGAAATATTCACATCATGTTTCATGATTATACTCATATTACAGAGAAAACTGTAGTTAAGGAAGTGATTTGCCTAAGCTCCATAGTTGTTAAATGGCAAGGCCAGGATTAGACACCCAAACCTTTGCTACCTTAGGATTTATATTTCTGTCATAGTACAGTTCCCAAGGATATCACATTTTCTTCTTCTTCTTTTTTTTTTTTTTTGTTTTTTTTTTTTGAGACGGAGTCTCGCTGTGTCGCCCAGGCTGGAGTGCAGTGGCGCGACCTCAGCTCACTGCAAGCTCCGCCTCCCAGGTTCACGCCATTCTCCTGCCTCAGCCTTTCCGAATAGCTGGGACTACAGGCGCCCGCCGCCACGCCCGGCTAATTTTTTATATTTTTAGTAGAGACGGGGTTTCACCGTGGTCTCGATCTCCTGACCTCGTGATCCGCCCGCCTCGGCCTCCCAAAGTGCTGGGATTACAAGTGTGAGCCACTGCGTCCAGCTGGATATCACATTTTCTGAAGCATGGTGAGACAGTGAGATGTATCCATGGGCCTCATCAGTGAGAAATGGCAGAATATAAAATTTGTACCCAGTTGCTCACCCCTTGCTCCTGCCTTATACCAGCTTCTGAAATTGCTTTTTTTTTTCATAATGACATTCAGTATGACCCAAAATTCATCTTTTACATATATTTTGTGCTTGCTTATTGGCTGGCTTCTCCACTAAAGTATTAGCTCCAAAGGGCACACTGTCTGTCTTGTTCATAGCTGCACACACAGATTCCTAGACCTGTTATTGGCACACATTGGGTACTCAGAAAATAATTGCTGAAGAAAATGGGGCAAATAGATCCCACTGTCTGAACATGTTATTGGTTATTTCATTAAATTATAGCCAAGTTTCTCGTTTTTGTCCTGCATGGTAAAACATTATAAAGTCAAAAGTGTGTTCTGGAGGCTTTCAATGGATAAGTTGCTAGACCTGTTTCTCCCTGCTCCCTCCACCCCAACTAAGTACAACGATAAACACTGAAAATCATAGCAAAGATAACCAAAAGAGGGCTCTGAAAGGTAGTAAGAAGAAGGCAAACTGGTCTGGGGCCCTGACTAAAGACATAGTGAAAGGGCATCTTATGTCTCCTCAGCCAACAGAAGAAGAGGATCCAGGTCTGGTGTTTCTTAAAACACAGCCTAGCAGTGGAGGGGGGCCAGTGAAGCCCACTCTTATCTCTGACTAAATGGGAACCCTGTAGACTACATCAAGCAAATAAAAAGGGACAGGGGAGATTTCCCCACTCCTGCCCACAGACTCCTGCCCAAATCTCCCGAAGAAGAAACTTCCTGGCTCAGAAATGTGTACAGGAGAATTTTATGAAATATTTAAGGAAGAATAACCAATGATTTAATACATTCTTTTCCAAAAATAGAAGAGGCATAAACACTCACAAGTTACTTTATGAAGTGAAAACCTGACAAAGACAGCACACACACACACACACACCTAAACTCCACAACAGTATCTTTCATGAACTTAGGCACAAAAATTATCAATGAACTATTAGCAAATTGAGTTTAATAGTGTGTAAAGAGAATTATGCACTGTGATCAAGTGGAATTTATTTGAAGTATGCAAGAAAGTCCAACATAAAAAAATCATATAATTCAGAAAAATCACTTAAAAATGTCCAACATCCATCATGATAAAATCTCTCAGCAAGCTAGGAATACAGGGAACTCTCAACTTGAAAAAGAGCATCTATACAATACCTACAGCTAACATCATACTTGCTAATGAAAACAATGATTTACCTTTAAGATCTGGAATGAGACAAAGATATCTGCTCTCACAACTCTTACTAAATAAAGTATTGGAAGTTTTAGTAATAAGGTAATACGTCAATAAGAGAAGGATAAGAAAAAAAGGCATATGTGTTGGAAAGAAAATAAGAAAAGTGACTCTATTTACAGATGACAGGGTTGTCAACAGAAAATCCCAAAGGGTCTACTAAAAAATTCTTAGAAGTAATAAATGAGTTCAACAAGGTTGTGAGATGCAAGATCCACACACACACACAAATTAAATCACACTTTACTGACAATAACTGGCAATGGAAATTTAAAACAAAATATAATCTATAATCACTCCAAATAGAATGAAATACTTAGCTATACACTTGACAAAATATGTAATATATAGCATCTGTGTGGTGAAAATTATAAAATGTTGATGAAAGAAATCAACCTGTAATCTCAGCACTTTGGAAGCCCGAGGTGGGAGGATGACTTGAAGCCAGGAAGTCCAGCCTGGGCAACATAGCAAGACTCTGCCTCTATCAAAAAAGCAAATAAATAAGTTAGCTGGGCACAGTGGCATGTGCCTGTAGTCTCAGCTACTCAGGAGGCTGAGGCAGGAGGATCCGTTGAGCTCAGGGATTTGAGGCAGCCACAGTAAGTCATGATTGCACCACTGCACTCCAGCCTGGGTGGCAGAAGGAGACCTGGTCTTGTAAAAAGAAGAAGATGAAGATGAAGGAGTAGGAGAAGGGGAAGGAGAAGGAGGAGGAGGAGGAGGGGCAGCAAGAGAGAGGAGTAGAAGAAGAAGAAAGAGAGAAATAAATCAAAGAAGACCTAACTATAATAAATAGACATACCATGTTCATGAATCAAAACCTCAACTTATTATAAAGGTCAATTCACTTCAAATTAATCTATAAGTTGAATGCAGTTCCTGCCAATATCCTAGCAAAGTTTTTTTGTAAACATAGATAAGATTATTCTAAAATGTATGTGGAAAGGCACAGGTCCTAAAATAGCTAAAACATTCTTGATAAGGAAGAGTAAAGAGGAAAAAATAAATTTATACATTACTAAGGCTTACTATATAACTACAGTAGTCAAGATAGTTTTTTTCTACAAAATATTTCTAGTTTTATTTTGAGAAAAGGTAACACCAAGAAAACATTTTAATTCAATGATAGAAACATGGTTATAGTAAGAAATATTCATAATCAAAAACATACACCATGTTATAAGTACCTACACTTACAAACCATTTCTTCAATAACATTCCCCATATTTTAAGTTCATGTATGTTGACATGATCAGATTTGCCATTTAACAGAATAGGGAGGGGGAAGAGGTGTGATTATCATATCAGCTAGATGTGCTCACTGCATGCTCTATTATTTCTCTTCCAGGCCTGGGTGACTGGAAGGGCAGTTGACAGGCATTTTAATAAACTGAAAAGCCATTTGTTCTTCAGGACAGGGCTTCTTTTTTCAGGAGCAATCAGAAGAAAACAGGAAACAGCTCAGCACTCTGCACTGCAACAGGCCACCTTAACAGCTAACCAGCATCACTCAACTGCTATGCAGCCGGGCCTGGTACACAAAAACACAGAAGAGATTAGAATTGTGTTTGCTCAAAACCCGGTCTTTTCACCTGAAAAATCTTTATACAAATTTGGGTCATATTACCAGTTAGATTTAAAGGTAATAATATTACACATATACATTTATACCACCTTTTGTAAGTTTTTAACTTTAAGGAATGAAGGCAGTTTTGAGGCAATGTCATGACAGCGTTGGGCTGTGTGTAATGGCTGCACACATTTCTTAAGAGACAGGAGGCCACAAATTAGGTTACCAACCTGTTCATTTCAAACCAAAAATATCAGCACTATAGAATCAAATATACGCTGGGCGAAGGGGCTCACACCTGTAATCGCAGAACTTTAGGAGGCCAAGGTGAGCAGATCACTTGAGCCCAGGAGTTTGAGGGTAGGCTGGCCAACATGGCGAAACCCCGTCTCTACCAAAAATCCAAAAATCCAAAAATTAGCCCTCCGTGGTGGCTGGCGTCTGTAATTCCACCTACTCCAGAGACTGAGGCCTGAGAATTGCTTGAACCCAGGAGGTGAAAGATGCAGATGGCGCCGCTGCACTCCAGCATGGGCAGCAGAGCTAGACTACATTTCAAAAATAAAAAACAAACAAAAAAGACAAATATAAATTTTCCCCTCAAATATCCATATCCAATCTAAAGTCGTTCACCTCACTAAATTACAAGAAAATTTGAAAACAACAAAATGGCACATAAAATGAATCTTGCCATCTGATGCAACGCTTCAAACTGGTAAAAAAGGTAGACAAATGTCACCCAACCGTTTCATTAGGCAGTCGCTTCTTCCAGTGACTCTGCTTCCATGGACTGAGTATGTAGTCCTTTTCCAAGTCCTCCATCACGCGTTAGCTGATGATCATTTTCCTAGGAGGGCACTTGTCCTTTTTCCCCTTCAGGAGACTTGGGAGGACTCTTGGATCGCGACCTGGACTTGGATTCCCTCTTGGATGTGGGGGGAGGACTCCCGGACGTAGATCTAGACATGGACCGTGAGCAGGATCTGGAGACGGAGGAGGACTTGGATCTTCGTGGAGAGCTGGATTTGGAGATTGATGGAGATCGAGAGCGAGACCCAGACTTCGAGTGAGAGCGGCGGTAGGGAGACCTGTTGCGGGAAGACCGGATGTAGGGAGACCTCCTGTAGCGAGATTCCCTGTAGTGAGATTCCCTGTAGGGAGATCGGCTGTAGTGATGCCAGCTGTAAGATCGACTGTAGGGAGATGGGCCGTAGCGAGATCCCCTGTAATGAGATCGTCTGTAGGGAGATCGGCTGTAGCGAGATCTCCTGTAGGGAGACGGGCTATAGCGAGACCCCCCATAGTGAGATCTGCTGCGGGACCTAGAGTAGCTGGGACCCCGGGATTGGCTGCGGTGTCGCTCCCTGGGGCTGCGGCTCCGCCGTCCGTAGCGGCCGCCCCAGGACCTGCCGCTTGGCTCTTCCTGGCTGCTGCGAGGCAGGTCCCGGCGGCCATAGCGCGCCATCTGCACCCGCAGCTCGCGTCCGTCCAGCACCGCCCAGTCCATGGCGGCCTCGGCGTCTTGCGCGTCGCTCCGGTAGTGAAACCGGACGAAGGCGAAGCCCCGGGGCGCCTTGGTGTGGGGCTCCCGCGGGATGTACACGTCGCCCACGCGCCCGTACTTCTCGAACACGCGCCTCAAGCAGTCGGGAGAGGTGCGGTAGGTCAGGTTGTCCACCTTGAGGGTGATCATGCCATCCACGTCGGGAGGGGGGCGGCCGCAGCTCATGGCTCCGAGAGCAGCCCCGGCCCGGAAACTGGCGCTGCACTGGGCGCTGGCGGGGCGACCTGCGTTCCTCTCTCGCGGTTGCGCCCCGCGTGGGGACGTCGGGAGAGACCTGGGGGAGAGGCGGGCGGCCGACTCCGCAGGGAGCGCTCTAGAGCAGCAATTCCCAAATTCCCAATTTCAGGCCAAATACTCCAGGACCCAGAGGAAGGTTTCCTTTTGGTAGCTGAACTCCAAATGAAGCCAGGTCCCGAAGATCCTGGCTTTATACCTGGGCAACATCCTAACCTAATCAGCGCCCAGCTAATGTAATCACTGGGCTGGGTTTACATTAGACGTTCCACCCTCCCATAACCTTCCCTTTTATTCTACATTTTAAATCAATCTTAGAACAACGCTAAGTGATTAAAAGTCAATTTATGGGAACAGGCAATCCAGACAAATATTAAACAAAAGAAACCTAGGGTAGCAATACTAATATCCAGTGTATTGATAGGATCAAAGAAGCACATTTTATAGTTAATGAAATTTCATAGGAAAATATTACAATATTACAGTAATGAACTTTATGCACCTAACCACATGGCACTGACACATAGAGAGCCAAGACTCAGACTTAGATGGTAAAACTGAAAAGTCTGCAATCATCATAGGAGATGTTGGTTTTTCAAGATAGTTTTATGGTGGTGGAGGAACAGACACACAGTCTACTTGGACAGAATTAAGGATACAAAAATAAACCCACACAAATGTGCTCAACAGATTTTTGACAAAGGTGCAAAACCAACTCAATGAGGAAGGGACTTTTCAAGAAGTGGTTCTTGAGCTACTGAACATTCACTGGCAAAGAGAATGAACCTTGATGTAAACGTCTTTATTTATTTATTTATTTATTTATTTATTTATTTATTTATTTATTGAGACAGAGTCTCGCTCTGTTGCCAGGCTGGAGTGCAGTGGCACGGTCTCGGCTCACTGCAATCTCCGCCTCCTGGGTTCAAGTGATTCTCCTGCCTCAGCCTCCCAAGTAGCTGGGATTACAGGCACGTGCCACCACGCCCGGCTAATTTTTGTATTTTTAGTAGAGATGGGGTTTCACCATGTTAGCCAGGCTGGTCTTGAACTCCTGACTTCGTGATCTGCCCGCCTCAGCCTTCCACAGTGCTGGAATTACAAGCGTGAGCCACCGCGCCCAGCCCATAATTTATTTTTAAAAACCCTCAAATTGGATCATGTACTTAGCTTTAAAACATAAAATTAGGATACTTTTTATGAAAAAATAGGAACAAATCTTCAGGGTTCACAGCTAGGCAGAATTCTTAGAGTTGTCACAAAAAGTACAATTCATGAAAGTGAAAATTTATATTTTGGACCTCATTAAAACCTAAAACTTTTGCTCTGCAGAAGCTGATAAAAAGAGGATAAAGATACAAGATACAGACTGGGAAAAATATTCACAAATCATGTGTTCAATGTAGGACTAGTATCTAGAATATGTTAAAAATCTCAAAACTCAACAGTAAAAAACCCCAAACTATTCAATTAGAAAATGGGCAAAATACACAAAGAGATATTTCACCAAAGAGGATACACAGACAGCAAGTGAAAAGTGTTCAACATCATTAATTATTAAAAATGCAAATTAAAACCACAATGGGATATCACTGCACATCCATTAGAATTATTAAAATAAAAAATAGTGATAGCACCAAATGCTGATGAGGATGTAGAGAGACTGGATCATTCATTTATTAGTAGTGGTAATGTATACTGGTGTAGAAACCCTAGAAAACAGTTTGATACTTGCTTATAAAAGTGAACATTTGACTATCATATAACCCAGCTATTTTACCCTTGGGCATTTATTCCAGAGTGAGAAAAACTTATGTTCACATAAAAACTTGTGTACAAATCTTTATAGCATCTTTATTCTTAATAGTCCAGAACTGGATACAATCTAGATGTCCTTCAGTGGGTGAATAATTGAACAAACTCTAGTACATCCACATCATAGAATGCCACTCAGCAATAGGAGGAGTGAATACAACTTCTGTAAATCTCCAGGAAATTATACTGAGCGAAAAGAGCCAATCTCAAAAGATTACACACTTTGGGCATTGCATTTATATAATGTTTTCAAAATGGCAGTTTTAGAAATGGAGAATATATTAGTTGTTGCCATGAATGAGGGTTGAATGAGGGAAGAGGGA
Organism: Homo sapiens; assembly: GCF_000001405.40. Lineage (NCBI taxonomy): Eukaryota > Metazoa > Chordata > Mammalia > Primates > Hominidae > Homo > Homo sapiens. The sequence goes on along the minus strand of NC_000007.14, from coordinate 47,050,585 downwards.
TTATGAGTGTGGGTGTTAAATGGCAAAATGCGGGATCTTTGTGGTGATGGAGCTGTTCTGTATCTGGACTGTGGTGGCAGTCACACAAATTTATACATGTGATAGAATTGCGTAGAACTAAACACATACACACACAAATGAGTGCAAATAAAACTGGGGAACTCTGGTTGGTGGATTATGTCAATGTCAGTATTCTGGCTGTGATATTGTGTTATAGTTTTGCAAATGTTATGTATGGGAGAAACTAAGTAAAAGCTACTAGGGATCTCTCTGTATTGTTCCTTATAACTTCATTTAAATCTACAATTATATAATAGTAATTTGAATTAAAGTGTGTTTGACCCTTGAATAATTTTTTTAACAGTTAACATTAGGTGAACTCAAAGTTGAATTGTCATTGAAATGTTTTAAAGCTAAAGTAACTTTGCAGAAACCTGCAATTTTTTTTATTGCCAAATATAAGGCACACTTTTAAAAATGTGAATATTCTGTAAGAGATGATTAAGAGCAAGGACTTAGAAGCCAGGCTGTTTGGGTTTCGTTCTAGATTCTATGACTTACTACTGGCTTTGTGACCTTGGGAAAACTCCTTAACCTATCAAGCTTTCCTCTTCTGTAATATGGTTCCGTATAGTGGTGCCTACCTGCAGAATTATTTTGAAGATTAAATGAGTTAATATAGTTAAAATACTTAGAAGGTACCTGATATTGACTAAGCATTAAGTAGTAAGATAACCCATATTTTTTCAAGATTTCCTCAGAATTTTAATCTGCTACTACTTGGTTTTAGATACTTTAAGAAGCTGTGTTATCTTTTGTATGAACGTAATTCCTATTGCTGTCATACAACCCTTTGGAACACTAGTAGAAGAAGCAAACGAATGTCCGGGGTTGCAAGCTCTTGAGGTTTGTGTTAGGCTGGCACTGGGTTGGGTGACAATCCTCAGGAATTGTGGAGCCTGACTCCCTTGGAAGTTCTCTGCCAGCTCGCTGACCCCAGTCCTCGTAAACACAGTTCTTTGCCAAGCCCTTTCCTTGCTCCACCGCTCACTGTGATACGAGCCCCACTCCAAACCCCAGACTCCCGAACTGATCTCATGTAAACTTCAGGACCATCCTTTTGGGGTCCTGCTCTTGCGGTTGCGTAAGTACTCATTCTGCTCATCTTTGCATGACTTAAGATGGTGCTGTTGTTTTTGCCTGTGACCGAGAGCCTAATAGAAGAACTTCTGGAACCATCAGCGTGGCTTTCTGGGCCCTGGGAAATCTGGATGTTAGAATTAACAGGTTCAGATCGGCATAGTAGAGGAGGTTTGTGGTGTTCAGGGTGTCCCTGCCAGGAGAATTGGCTCGCTCCTACTTGAAAAGTCACTTCCGTGGAAAGGTGAATAAGAAGAAGAATAAAGGAATTAGTCAAGTTTCTGTGCTTACTACATGCCAGAGTCTTTTCAGGTATAATCGTATGTCTTTTTCTGAACCCAACTCTGTGAGGTCAGCTTATTACATTTTACAGAAGAGCACAGGGAGGGCCAGATGCTCAGAGGTTCTGACTAGCACAGATGGTGTCAGAGCCAGGATTCAAACCTATGTAGCTTTTATTGTACCCTACTGCAGTTAATAAAACTTCTTTTTCATACATTGTGTCAAATATAGGCAGTTAGCGCTAAAATGTGTCTGAAAGAATCTGTAACACTGAAGAGCCCAAAGGTAGAAATAAGTTTGAGAGTCAGGCATGAGTACAGTATCCTGGTGGGAGCAACTCTGAGAGTCAGGGAATGAAGCTGTGGGGAGGATCAAGGAAGGCACTGGATGTCTGGGACAGGAGGGAGGGCAGGGACCCTGGCCAGGAAGCCAAAGGGAGTTTGAGCAGATTTCTACAGACGCACAATTGCCACGTCTTTGGGCTCCCACAGCTCCAGCAAGTGTGTCAGCTGGGCACTTGAGACATCCTTCAGCCTCCAATAGCCCAGCCCATGCATTCCCTGTGATGAAGAAGACCTCACCTTTCTTCCAGTGGTCACATGAATTTGGTGACCTTGCCCTCACATGGGCTTCTGAATGGTTTCATGTTACTCCTAGCTTTGACCAGACATGGGGGAGCTGTTATCACTGCTCTGTCCTGGCTGTGTCTTGTTTTCTAACACAACTTTATCCTGCTCTTCCATCCTTCATCCTGTGGGGTGTTTCAGTCTGTAAAAGAAACAGAAAGAAACTGATATGAGGGTTACATACAAGAGAAAGGTTACATACAAGAAAGAGATGGGCCGGGCAGTGTGACTCACGCCTGTAGTCCCAGCACTTTGGGAGGCTGAGACGGGTGGATCATGAGGTCAGGAGTTTGAGACCAGCCTGGCCAACATGGTGAAACCCCGTCTCTACTAATGATACAAAAATTAGCTGGGCGTGGAGATGCGTGACTGTAATCCCAGCTACTCGGGAAGCTGAGGCAGGAAAATCCCTTGAACCTGGGAGGCAGAGGTCGTGGTGAGCCGAGATCCCGCCATTGCACTCCAGCCTGGGCGACAGGGCGAGACTCCGTCTCAACAACAGCAACGACAACGACAACAACAACAAAAAAAAAAAAAAAAGAGAGAGAGACAGATGGGCTAAGTTAGCCGAAAAAAGCCAGGTATTGAGGGGGTGGGGAATGGGTGTTGAGAAATGACTCAGTGGGTACAATGTATGTTGTTCAGATGATGGATGCCCTAAAAGCCACGACTTGACCACTACACAGTATTTGCATGTAACAAAATAACGCTTGTACTATAAATGTATACAATGACGAGGCACCAAGAGGTACCTGCGGAATCCCTTTCTCTGGGTCCTTTTTAAAAAGAAGGGTCATTTTTTGCCTCTGATGGTTTAGAGCTAAGTCTTGCCTAAGCAGGGTGACACCTTCCTGGTTTCTCAAGAACTCATTATGTTCTCTCAGCTTCTAATTAGCATTTTTATGTGCTTTCCTGGGGCTCAGTCCAGAAAGCCAAATAAATCATTTGCCTAACCTTCCTTGTTGAGGTTCCCCTGTGGGATGAGTGTAAGTATTTTATTAATTTTTTGGCAGCAAGCTCCTATCAGTTCAGTCTTAGCTCAGCCAAGACTCTATAGCTATCTCTGGAGGCACACAGGCTGAGACAGGAGAAACAGTAAGAAATTATTTAGCTGTGCAGCAGAGATAATCTTACCGATGGTCTCTGAGTATATTTTGAAACCTTGTTTTTGTTTGTTTGCTTGTTTGTTTGTTTGCAAATTGCCTTCATGGGAGATTAGCCCCTTCTGATGTTTTTCGTAAAGGGCACTTGAGTGTTTCTGCTGGGGGTTGGCCCCTCCGGGACAAGTCCTGGTGCTGAGCGTGAAGCAGGTGAGCTAGGTGCAGCGGCTTCTCCTGCCTGGTCCCCGTGTGGCAGTGTGCTCTCGCGATCCAGCCTTTCCAGTGTGACTGCCTCTTCTGCCCAGCCCACAGCTCCTGCCCATGTTCCCACTCAGCCTCTGACGCCAAGTTCATACTTTGTGCTTCTCAAGGATTCTGGCTGCAGAGCCTCCTTCCCTGCCAGATCCTGGCTCTTTTTGAGACTCCAGAAAGGTCACACAACCTGTGAGCCTCAGCTCCTCATTTATTTCACGTCTTGAGAATCACCTTTCTTACAGAATTATTGTAAGAATATTCAACATTTAGTTTATTGATATTTAAAAATAAAATATTATCAGCGCATATGTGTACCATTCTGCAAATGACAAAAGCACCCAGTAGCTGTGTATTCCTTGAGTAGGATGGCTGATTTCACAAGACTTGAGACCCTGCTTTCTTTTTCTTTTTTTTTTAAACAAGGGCATAAAAATGAAGCAAGAAATCATGTTTTCCTGACCTGTAATCAGCCTGCCCTGCCTCAGCTCCTTGCACCCTCTACTGCAGCTTCCACATCTGGACTTAATATTTTATCTGTCTGAAAATATATTTTAAAATGGATTTGATACTTTTCTTGATACCTGGAAGGACTTGAGGTGTCCGTCTCATTATTATGCCTATTTTTGCCCAAAATTCTTGGCTCTGACTGGCCTTCCCCTTTGTCAGCTAAGTGTGCAAAACTTGTCAGACACAGGCCCTGTGAGAAATCAGCACAAAACAAAATGGGAGACAAAGATGCAGAACCCATCTTGTGCTCTTTGATGTGCTGCAGTCAATGACTGAGGCTCTTTCATCAGCAAGAGCGTTTGGGTTCCCTGTTTTTTTCATTGCAACTTTCTTCCTCCTCACTCCAAATTAGCTGAAACTTTACCAGTTAGCAGGGTAGGGTGTCATCTACCCCAAGTTTTGGTATATAGTTTTCTTTCTGATTGATTATAAGCATCTTAACAACCATTTTCTGTAATGGGATTACTTTCAATGATCAAGTACGATTGAAAATGGGTTAAAGGTAGGGAAGATTTTCCTCCAGCCCCAGAAACTTACATGTTCTCAAATGCATGCAAAATTCTCTCTCTCTGTCCATGACTTCCTCAGCCTAACCCTCTGTTTCTATGACTCCTAAACTCAACCTTGCACTGGCCCCTGTGTTTAGAAATTGCATTTGGTTTCTCTGATAATCGGTTTTTTCCAGCCAGCTCTGCATTTTTCCTAGGCAGACAGCATGGAGTCACAAGAGTGACAGCTCATACACTGAGTGCTACAGGGGTTAAGGCGTTTTCCTGTATTATCTTATTTAATCCCCAGGGCACTGCGGTTACCATCCTCATTTTGCAAGTGAGGAAACAGGCTTGAGAAGGTGAAGTAATCTCAGGCACCAAGTACGAGGTGGAATTCAGAATCCAAACTTGGGTGCAGAAGTCAGAGCTGTGCTCGGAAGCTGTGTCTGCCTGGATTCCATTTTCTATCCTACTAACAATCAGCAAGCACTTCGAGGGCTCTGGCATGTCAGGGCCCTGTGTCATGGTGCATGGATAAACAGAAGCCCTAGTAAATGCTGCACCATTGCATCCACTTAGATAATACGATGCCCTACTTGTAATATATAATTGAGGTTTATTCCTCACAGGAATTGAAGGAAAAGGGACAGAGATAATGTGATTTTATGCAGTCTACTCTCCTCCTTCCCCCTGCCCTTCAGAATTAATCCCTTGGAGCCAAGAAGGCTGCAAGTCCGGCTGCCAGGGCCTGGCAGAGAATCTCGCTGTGTTTACTTTCTCATATGTTCTTCTGTGACCTTCTGTATCTGCTTCTGCCTCCCAGGCTTGTTTCTGGGAAGCAGAAAGCTGGAGAGTCGCTCAAGAGAGCACTGGCCCCTGTGTCAAAGGGCAGAGGCTCTGGAACTTGGGCCGAGCACTAATTATACATGTGACATCCTGCCCTGGCTGCAGGCTTTCTGTCTCTCATTTTCCCAAGAAATTGGACATTTGATGATAAAGCAGACTTTATCCTATCCCATATTTTGTTCTAGATATTTATTTTGTATCATGATATTTTATTCCAGAAGTTTTCTTTTTGTGATTATTCATTTAAAAATAAGTGACACAGCACTTTACACATACCTGGCCAATGCATGTTGATGCATCAAATATGCATACATTGTTCAAAATGATTGTTCAGCATCATTATGTTTTATTGGACCATTTTGTGGATGATCTTACTTGATGTTCACAACAGCCAAGTGAAAAAAGCAAAACTAATTCCACATAACAACTGAACGTTTGCTGCACAGAAACATGGCTGGCAGGTGGTCTAAGGTCTAATGGAGCCAGCTGGTGCTGTCTTCTGCATCAGAGGCCCTTGCTAAGTCACAGCCACCGCTGGTCCTGGCCTAGGAGTTAAACCACAGACCACAGTGAAAGACTTGAAAGTGCAAATCCATTAACATGATCATCCCTGGCTTATTGCTAAGTAACAACAATTATCTTGACCCTTTTAATAGAAGAGGACATCCGCAGGCCTGACTGTGAGTGAGGCAGCTCACCTGGTCTTCCCACTCAGGGAAACAGTGAACTTTTCCTACCTTTCACTTGGTGCCCCAAACTAGGGTCCTTTTTCTTCGTAACACTTCTAAGTGTTTTAAATTAAATTAGTATTTGTTGTTTACCCTTTGTTTTTCTTAAACAACAATAAAAAAATTAGCTGAAAAGAACAGAAGGCAAACTGTAGGATAAACCATATATTTGTATATGTATGTATGCATGCACATGTGTGTGTTCACAGATATGTGCATATGTGAGTGTGTACGTGTATGCCTGTGTTTTTGAATTTCTGTATATTTTTGTGCATGTTTGTGGGTATGTTTTTATGTGTGTTTGTATGCATGTATGTTCGTGAGTATGTGTGTGTGCATACATGTGTACCTACAAGAGGAACAGATATATTTGCTTTGGTGTTTCTTTGCAGATTCTCTATGTTATTATTTTTTTCTTTTGTATCTCACCAGGTCTGCTTGTATGGAGCATTCCAGGCAGGAGTATAGTGGTTCCCACTGGACAGATTAATTTCTTACCTATAGCATAATCTCAACTTCTCCATCATTGCTCATAGAAGAGTCTATATCTTTAGCTCTTCCTTCTCTGATTTGCTAAAGGCTACATCCTTGTGTCTTGCAGACACCCACCTCCTCTCTCATATAGTCTATGAAATGCCTAGTACATTTCCCCTTTCCTCCTTGACTCCCCAACTTTTCTGTGCAGCAGAGAAAGAGACTCAGGATGTATTGCCAGGCTATCTGTTTGCTCCTTCTCTCAACAAAGATTCATGGGACCCGTCTTTGGAAGAGTGCAGGGTGCGTGGCCTGGAGGGCACATCAGTGGACAAGCACAGCCTTTCTACCGTAGGTCCAGTGAAGAAGAAAGTGCACAGGTGGCATCAGCGTAATGCACCTTAGGTCCAGGCGGGCACCAACACCAGAGGATGGGGCACATCTGACAGGATTTGGATAGGAAGAAAACTTGCTTTGTCCTGGGAATAACTCAAAGTGACTCCTTTATCATTCACAAATATTTTACATTGCTGTGACTCCTCCTACAACTGTATTCATATTCTCCCACGAATAATGCATGCTCTCTGGTTTCCTTGTTGCAGTTAGGGAGTGACTCTACTGAACTCTTCTATGCACTCAGATGTAGATTGCAGCAGCCTCTCCTGCCATCCCTCTGGTGTCTCCAACAAGCTCTTTGAGAATCCTAGTGGCCAATGGGTCACACACTTGACAGTCTCAAAAAACATGTTGCTTACGGCAACCTTGTTGCAACTTGAATATGCAAGAGGTTTTTAGGTGGTTGGGATACAATTAACTTCCTAAGCAGAACTAGGAGAATTGCTCAGGAAAGAAGTAACTGTGACAATCATTTTAGTTATCCACTCTTGGCCTCTTTTCTTCAGCCACATTTAATTTTTCTTCCCAGACAGGGTGGGAAAAAAGATGCTTTTATTCCTTGCTGCTATGACTAAAATAACAACAGATTTCTGTGAAAGATAAAGAAAGGAATGGACTTCCATTTAGCTCCACTCTGAGCCACTTCAAACCTTCTATGCTTTAATGCTCACCATAACCCTGTATAGTAAGTCCCATAGTCCATTTACCTAGATGAGAAACTGGGGATACAGCCACCTCATCCTGGTAATGGTGCTCAGGACAGGTCAGTCCTCCAAGTCCTCCACACCAGGGACCTGCTCGTTCTGGACAAACAGGGGTGGCCTGTAGGATGGCTTGCAATGCAGTGACTAAAGAGGCTAAGGTCTAATTTTCCGGGTTGGGGACTGCTGTTCTGCATCACCCAGATGTGATTCTGACCAAGCAGGTTCATGAGCCCAGTGATTCAGGGCTCAGCTGGTAACAGGGAAGCAGGAGGCCAAGAGTTTCTGTGAGTTCTTAAATACCCTGTAGTTAAGTCTGTGAGGGAAAATCACTTCAGGAAACTCACCAGATCATCTGCCGGTGGACTGTGTTCTGGCATGTCCATGTTGGGACCCATGCTGGATGCCTCCTCATGCTGCGGCCCAGGGAAGCTCAACTCCCTTGTGCTCTACACTTTGCCTCTCTAGCCTTCTCTTTCCTCCTGTCCTGGATGTGTCACTTACCACACTGGTTCCTCCCTCCATGTTCCTAACTGGGGACTTGTGGACTATGACCAGTGGTGCTCTTTGAGCTAAAGCCTGTTCTGTAGCTCCTGCTCTGACAGTCCCCTGACATCGCAGCCCCACAGAAGTTCTCAGGCTCCCAGTACCCTCAGGAAGCCCCTCAAGATGCTGCTCCCCATCCTTCCCTGCAGCCCAAATGATAGAGTCTACACCCTTCCTGGGTGTGCTGATCCCTCGGCCACCTGTCCTCATCCATTGCTGTTTAAACCTTCCTGTCAATCCTCAGCTCATGAGGTCACTCCTCATGAAGTTCATGGTCGCTCTCCATGAACTTCTGTAGGCAATTTTTCTTGTCACATTCTCCAGTCTTTGAAAACCCACCATTTGGGTTTGGGGTCTTTCAGGGAATATTCTCTGACTCTGAAAACTTGAAGAGACTGTGATGCTGGTAAGTACTGTGAATGCCCTTCCGTCATGGGGTATGGCTATGTGGCAAACTTCTCACAAGACCGTAATCTTGAGTGGAAGAGGTATGTCTGCAACACTTCCTTGAATTCTTTCTTAAGGTGCAAAGTGGCTTGCATGACATAGATTATCAGTAAATCTTTCTCGACTGCTTGACTCTACTTTAATGCATTTAAACCCTACTGAATATATATTAATATTGTAAACACAAAAGCATTCTCATTTGAAAATTATAGGAATTGCATTTGGGAGAATGCAGGAAATGAAGTGTCAGTGTACTGACGAGAATAGTCAAACAATATTAGAAACAATGAAATCAATGATTAATCAGTGTTTATTATGATGTATCTAGGATCCCCCAAAGTGACCATGTTCTTTCATCCAGCAACTTAGGTACTAAAGAAGAAATAGTTTAAAAACCTTTGTGCAAGAGATGTTATTTCTGCACTTTAAAGAAATATTGGCCAGAGAAATACTTCAAGTTCCAATTGTAGAAAAAGGTGTCATTGGAATTGTGATTTTTCCAAACTATGAAATATTATTATTTTGGGTATTGCATTTATTATTGCAGATGTTGAAATGACAATCGTGAAAAGCATTATAATATATAAAATAATGCTTTTGCTAGAACTTTAGGTTTAAAAACATAGGTTCATAAGGTAATTCAACACATCTAGCTCTACGTCTCTATCTCCAAACATCCAGTCATTTATATTATTTATATTTGTGTGTGTGTGCATGTTAGCAGTTGCGAATCTGTATGAGTCTGCAGCAATCTCAATTCTTGCCTCCTCAGAAAAAAGAATTCAACTTAAGGGGCATAAGGCAGAGTTAGAGACCCAGGCAAGTTTTAGAGCAAGAGTGAAAGTTTACTAAAAAGTTTTAGAGCTGGAACGGAAGGAAGTACCCTTGGAAGAGGGCCAAGTGGATGACTTGAGAGATTTAAAAGCATGGTTTGACCTTTGACTTGGGGTCTTATATGTTAGCAATTCTTCTGGGGTTGCATTACTTCTCCCCTGATTCTTCCCCTGCGTGGACTGTCTGCACGTGCAGTGGCCTGCCAGCACTTGGGAGGGGGCGCATGTGCAGTGTGTTTACTGAAGTTATGCACATGCTCACTTGAGGCGTCTTTCCCTCACCAGTCGAGAGTTCCCAGAGGAAGGTCATATTCCAGTTAAAGTCTGCCATTCTGCCTCTTAATGCACATGCTTGAGCACGCTCGCCCAACTCCTGAGATCTTATCGGGAAGCTGCTGATCACCTGTTTCAGGTGTTTTCTATCTATTAGGAGACTGCCTTTCCCTGGCATTGGCTTCGACCAATTGTTATTTTAGAGAAACAGTTTTAACAACCACAGAGCATTGGCTTCGGCCAATTATGATTTTAGAAAGATAGTTTAACAACCGCCTATCACCTGACATTCCTGGTGGGTGGTGGTGGGGGGCCTCTCCTGCCCTTCTCATGCCTAACTACCTTCTGTAAGGAGCATATATACACAGATGACACTGACAACACACGTATATGCATATCCCCAGTTATACATAGCAAGTAATTTATAACTAACTAGCTACCCAGAGATATATTGTCATTTATATGCATATACCCATGCACATATATATATATATCTAATCTGTTTGTATATCGGTTGTCTATCTATATATCTGTCTATATAACTGCATTAAAAAACTCACCAAAAAGTTAATAGTGGTTGTGTTTAGAAAAAGGCCTATATGGAACTAATTTTTTTTCTTTTATACTATGTGTCTCCTAAATTTGCTCTTATGAGCATGCATTACTTTTTGTTTTAAATAAAAACAATGTATTTTTTTTCAAAAGCACTTTGTCCACCATTTCACATTTATGACCCTTAAGACTTTCTAAAAGTTGGACTGCAATTTAAATAAAAATAGCCACAGCCAAGACAATGGGCATTTTTCCTCTCTGGCAACCACACAATGAGAATGCATTTGATACACAGCCCAGAACATTCCGAGTGAACTAACAGCAGGAAACACACTCAAGCTGAGATCATTAAAAGTTACTAGATGACAATTTGTTCTAAGTTTTGAAAATTAACCCAGCAAATATGATTTGGCCACAAGAGGAAAATATCAAAAAATCACCTAAACCCAGCTCTTCCAATGTTGAACAATCTTTTGCTGTTGTTTGAATATAGCCCAGATGTCTGCATTTTGTTCTTATGTGACTTTACAGAGGGCCCCAGTCATAGCAAAGAAGTTCCTACAGCTCGCTGAGAGCTGGGTGCACCCCAGGTGCCCTGCTGGGTATTTTTAATGTGGTGTTCTTATTATCATAGCAATCTTGCCACACAATACAGGTGTTGTTTTCTTCTTTTATAAAAGAGAAAGCTGAGGTAGACTGATGCTAAGTAACTTCTGAGAGGGTTGTGGTGACAAATGAAAGAATGAAGGTAAAATGCCCATTTCAATGCCTGGGGCATGGTAAACATTTAACAATGTTAACTGGTGTAATTAACAAAGGCAACATTCTTGGTGGGTCATGCCTGCGAGGGACCTTTCCACAACAGAGCCCTGAGATGCGAGATGTGTGGTCAGCAGGGCTCCTGAGCAGGGATTCCCACAGATATAATTTACTTCTTTGAGGCTAGGGGCCATGTGAATGGGAGCCGAGTTCCTACCTGTTCTCCATGGTGGCTGCTTTAAGACAAAGGCCAGCGAGAATCTGATATTGGGGAAAGAGCTTTCACATCAGGAAAGGAGTTAGCAGGCAGAAAGGCAGAATGATTTCTCACTTGGAAAAAGTAAACAAGAACTACAGGACACCATGAGTTCCTGGGAGGGAAAAGGGTTGGAACTACAGATGTGCAATAAAGACCCAAACACCCACTGAGTGCGACTTCTAGCCTTCCAGAAAGCTTCATGTTCATGATGATGTCCCCTGGGGCCACCCGTGGCTGGCTCAGCCTCTGTTCCTGATTTCCTTTTCATTGCTCTCAGGCTCTCTGTCCTCAACACAAATCCACATCTCACCCACTCTGTGCTCAGGTAGGAAAGCACCAAAGGAGATTGAAATAGTCTACTTAAATCTAGTGTCTGTTGCTGATGTTCTTTCCAGAATATTTTCCCATTCTGATCTACGCAGCAAGTCATAATGAAAAGGTGGCATGTGTCCATCTTCCTCAACTTGACCTAGAGTTTGGAGAACGGTAGCCCAGGGATTTACGTAACCTGTAGGCGGCTCACGGCGAATCCACCCTGCTTCTTTGTGCAGATTACAGCAAGCATCCCCCTGGGGAAGCACAGCACTGCAGGCAGGTGCTTCCTCCTCAAGGCAGACCTACCCTGCCCCAGCAAAGAAGCTTGAATTTTAGCTCTCTCTCCTCTCTTTGGCCAGACACCCTGAACAAAAACAGTGCACAGCCTATGCAACTGTACATACTGACCTTAGGTGGTAGAAGCCTGAATTATTAAAAGAAGCAGGATGAATTTATGTGAATAATAACAAACATTTTTAAAAGAGACTGAGGGAAAGTATTCCTGGATGTTTCAAGAAACCTGAAGCAGATTAACTTTTTCCACCTAAACATGTTGCTGACCAAGTAACACAACACATGATCTTAAAGATAAATGGACCCCCACTGGCCCTCCTGATTAATTCACATATTCATTCCACATTCACCTACTGTCTGCCTGGCCCTGTGCTGGCATTGAGGATTCAGGGACCAATGTGGCAGCCGCTGTACTTGTGAAGCATCTCACTTAACCTGGGGCCCATGGACATGACATCTAAGGACATGTATGTGAGTAAGAGTGAGTGCGTGTATGTGTGTGTGTGCATTTTCCAAGAATGGAAAGATTTCAGGAGATTTTAAAGAGATAAGAGGGACAGGGGAAGGTAATTAACCCTATGAGTTCAACAACAAAACTGACATCCAGATGAGCCCACAGAGTAAAAACAGAGCAGGAAAACAATTTGGCACACAATGTTATCTTTCTTGTTCCCATCCCTTGTGGTAACTTTTCTTTTGCTAATAGAATAGAAGAAAAAGATGGAAAGAGTCAGAAAGAACAGAAACATTGATATTCAACCATTTGAAACAAGAAAGAAACTCTAAGCACAGAAGGCAAAGAGGTGAGGGTGGAAGAAATGTTATAAAGCAAACGGCATGGAGTATAGCACACATGCACTTACACACACCCACATGACTGCACAGAACGAAAAAGGCGTGTAATACCTCCTTCCCATGGCTTAGCACATGTATATATGTGCATGCACATGTACAGAAAGAAAGCACGTGGCACACACTCGGTATGTCTTAGTACATAATTACATGCATGCACACACTGAGAAAAAAGGCATGAAGCACCCCACACATATGCACACACACACATATGTCTACATAGAAAGGGGAGAGCATGCACACAGCCCTTCTTGTTGCATTTTACACACATGTACACAAACACGGGGAAAGGTTCATAGTCGGTTTAGGAAATCATTGATGATAAAGGTTATTTGTTTTATTTCAGTTAAATAGATTAACTAGTTAAATATATTTCTTTACTGTGGGATTTCTCCAGTCCTTTAATATGCTAAAAGGAATTAACATATCTCAAGGAAAAGATATAATATATAGTTCATACTATGTCCAAAGGGTATTATTTTTTAATTTTTAAAGCATCTCATAAGACTAGTATTTTGTGGGAGAATTAGAGGAGAGTGAGCTAGATGTGACGAGCCCAACCACCTATCCTGATTCGAAGGAATGGTGTCATAAATTGTGGTGCAGAGTGGCCAGGATCCTTCAAACTGTGCTTATCACGGCTGGAGGGGCCAAGGCTGGATTCTCTGGGGCCTACCACACATTACCAAAGTGTAGTAATGAGGTGAGGAACGAAGATGAGAAGACTGAGGAGTCAGGGTGAATGTGTGATGATGAGGATGTTGATGTTGACGATGACAACGATGATGATGAAGATGATGATGGCAATGGTGATAATGATGCTGCTGCTGATGACAGTGACGATGATTAGGAAAGGAATAATGATGACAATGACGGTGATGACAGCAGAATTGGTGCTACTAAGAGTAAGCATTCCTGAGCACAGACTGAAGTGAGACTGCATGGAGCAGCTCCTATGCTGATAAGCATGGTGCATGCTGCAGCTGCTATTATTGTTGCATGTTAGCTTCCACTCAAAGTACCTTGTAAGTGCTATGTGTCTAATATGCATAATCCCAAGGAAAATGCAACCACCTCACTCCTATTTAATAGGTGGGGAAACTGAGGCTTAAATGGTTTACTTTGACAAGTTTATCCAGTCACTAAGCAGTAGGGCCTCCAGTTAGTTCAATTGTGCTCTAACCCCAGGGCCATACCCTTTGATCACTCACTCATGGAAGAGTTTCTTTATGACAGACAGTGCTAAGTATTTACAAATATCAATCCTCACTACAGCCCTTTGCCAGGTGTGTTATTGTTCCTGGTTCATAGAGGAGAACATGAAGGCAGATATTGTTAGGCAACTAGCCTAAGCTCGTCCAGCTGATACAAGTCAGAGCCCATCATCAGAATCAAAGCTCTCCCATTAATAAACAGGAGCACATTTCAATATATGTGTTTGATTAAAGATTGGTGGCCCTTCTGTACTTCAGGGTCCAGCAGGGATGGATGACACAGCAAGTCAGGGGAAGTAGCACACAGTGTGTGAGTTCTGCAGAATGATGTATGGTTGGCCTCCAATGGGCACACGTAGGAAGCCTGGAGCCAACTATTGGGGAAGCTCTTAGATACCCTGTGCTCTGACTCATTCATGCATTTTGTTATTTCTTGAGCACAATATAAGGGGAAGGACAATCTAGGCAGAGAAAAGAGCGCATGTAAGGACTTAGGCACGTGAAAAATGACACAGTACTTGGTGAAGGGCAAGAAGTTAGAACCAAAAATTTTGAGGCCAGGGGGAAAGCGGAGGTGTGTAAGGTAGCAATACTGTGGTCATATGTTAAGGGCTTGTGAACCATGCTGGAAACAACCGGCCCTGTACCATGCAGAAGTTACCAGGGACTTCGTTTTGTCTTGTTTTAATTGCCTTGGGGTGTTGAAGGTTTGGAAATGGCTTGAGCCCGTTTGTTTCCTAGGATGACATACCTGGAGGTGTGTAGCGGTATATCCTGGGATATGAACAAATGCAGAGACAACACAAACTGTCAAATGAAGACATAAATGATGAAGGCCAGTGAGAAGTGAGAGGGGCAATGGGACATCTTCATGGCTTCCGCCAGCTTTAGCCTTCTGTAAACTCTGAAATCCAGGGGCAGGGTCAAGGATGCAGAAAATTTTCCAACAGGAAGTTTCCTGTTTCATCTCATTTAGAGAATGGACATGTTGTAATGACTTGGCTATGAAGAAGAATGGAAAACACATTTTTCTAAAGCCTGCATTTCAAGGTCTCATATTGTAGATGGAATACTGCTGCAAGTCATGGCTTTTGCAGGTTAAAGAAGACAGGATTTTGTTCGGTCTTTTTTTTCTCCTGGGAGTGCAGATTACAGAACAAAAGCATTCTGTTGCATAAACCCAACACAAGGCATCAGAGTTCGGGCAGTTCACTTTCCCGTGCATTGGTGCTTAGCTAGAGATCACCAAGGGTCACACATCTAAGGGAATTCTCTGTATTCACGGGGAACCTCCGACTCTTGGGAAGACAAGTTTTCAAATGAAAAAAGAACAGTCAGTTCTCCAGAGCCGTATAGAAGAGCCTATCTTTCCAAAGTGTCTCTTTTTAGATGTCATCTGACGTGGTAGAATAAACTTGAGATTAGAATAATCTAGAATTAAAGTCCAATCCTCCAACGAAGTGGCTCTGGGACTCTGGCCATTTTCCTTAGTTTCTCTGAGGCTCTCTTTTCTTACCAGTAAAACTATGAATAGTAATAAGAATCTAGTGAATAAAGTTGTTGTGAGATGAAATGAATTAATGCAGGTGAAAATTGGGTTCAGTGCCTGGCACATAGAGGTTATTTAATAAATGGCTGGACCTGGTGGCTCACGACTGTAATCCCAGCACTTTGGGAGGCAGAGGTGGGCAGATCACCTGAGGTCAGGAGTTTGAGACCAGCCTGGCCAACATGGTGAAAACCCATCTCTACTAAAAATACCGAAATTAGCTGGGTGTGGTGGCGGGCACCTGTAATCCCAGCTACTCAGGAGTCTGAGGCAGGAGAATCGCTTGAACCCAGGAGGCAGAGGTTGCAGTGAGCCGAGATTGTGCCACTACACTCCAGCCTGGGTGACAGAGCAAAACTCTAACTCAAAAATTAAAATTAAATAAATAAATGCTGATTTGCTGCATCCCTCCAGCACTTTCCTGAGTTGCTCCCACATGAGGGTATACGTGTTTGGGGGCTGCAGATGGTACTCATGTGGAAGTGTGAGCTTTATCTTATAGGAGCCACACTTGCTGGAAGTCATCTGAAAATGGTTCAAACCCGCTATGGAGTTATTCACAGCAACATCACCTAAAGTCAGGGTGGAGTCTGGGTTGGGAGTGCCCTGGAACCAGGCGTGCAGGGAGAACTAAGGCCCCCTGACATGGGGGTGGCATTCCTTCCATCCCTGTTTCCCAGTGTCCATGTCCTACCAGCCCAGGACACAGTAGTGAGTGATTCATCCTTGTGGCAGTGAATGTCTGGGGCTGGGTGTGATGGAGGCAGGATGAGTGTGAGAGCCCCAGGAAAAGGCCACATATGAGGATTCAGTGTGGCCTAGTGCAGCTGCCTCAGCTTTGGGCTTGGACAGTTGCTGAACTCTGGGACTTTATGCCAGTTGTTGAGTGTCCTAATCTGAGAAGTGGCATCTGCCACTGCGCTGCTTTTTGAGGTTCTTTTATAATCATTTAAGGTTGTACATGGCACAAAGACTTGAGAGTCTCACATATCATAAAATGCTCAAAAACCTGTTTTCGGTTTGCTTTTTGTGCCGTATTTTAGAAATTTGTCAAGGTAATACATATTTATGATTTTAAAGATAGTAATGAAGAGCTAGTAATAAAAAGCAAAATTTCTGCCTCATTCTTTCCACTTACAGTTTCACTCTGCAGAGGGAAGCAAGTTTTATTCTCTTAACAATCTGGTTTAGTTTTTCAGCAACTCCATAGCTCGAAGTAATATGCTCATTCATCTATTCTTTTATTGATCCAGCTGAGATACTGCCTAAGATTTCTGGTTCTGATTTCCGGGATTTAGAACACAAATTCTATGATTCAAAATGTACACTTCAGCCCAAGTGTGTCCTCTTCAAGTTCCTTCTCTCTCCTGTACCCTGGGCCTTCAAGGTCAGGTTTCAAAGTGCCTTAACAGCTAGGCTAAGGGCTTTGAGCCTTGCCCAAGGTCAAGAGGAAGTCGTAAGGGAATTGTTACATAGGGGAGTTATATTGTTAACCATTATCATGCCATAGTTTGAGCCCAATCTTCCCAGCAGATGAGCAAATACAACAATTTGTGATCTTTAGAAAACATCTGGTTGGGTGTGATGGCTCACGTCTGTAATCCCAGTGCTTTGGGAAGCCAACGCAAGAGGAGCTCTTGAAGTCAGGAGTTCGAGACCAGCCTGAGCAACACAGCAAAACCCTGACCGTACAAAAAATAAAAATAAAAATTGACCAGGCACGATGGCTCACGCCTGTAATCCCATCACTTTGGGAGGCCGAGGCGGGCGGATCACCTGAGGTCGGGAGTTTGAGACCAGCCTGACCAACATGGAGAAATCCCATCTCTACTAAAAATACAAAAAAATTAACCGGGCATGGTGGTCCATGCTTGTAATCCCAACTACTCAGGAGGCTGAGGCAGGAGAATCGCTTGAACAGAGGAGGTGGAGGTTGCAGTGAGCCAAGATCGAGCCATTGCACTCCAGCCTGGGCAACAAAAGTGAAACTCTGTCTCAAAAAAAAAAAAAAAAAAATTAGCTAAGTGTGGTGGCAGCATATGCCTATAATCTCAGCTACTTCAGAGGCTGGAGTGGTAAGATTGCTTGAGGCCAGGAGTTT
The DNA here is from genome assembly GCF_000001405.40 of Homo sapiens. Taxonomy (NCBI): domain Eukaryota; kingdom Metazoa; phylum Chordata; class Mammalia; order Primates; family Hominidae; genus Homo; species Homo sapiens. The sequence continues at coordinate 47,033,045 of NC_000007.14, read as the reverse complement.
CAGGCTGCAGTGAGCTATGATCCTGCCACTGCTTTCTAGCCTGGGCGACAGAGCAAGACTCTGTTTCAAAAAGAAAAAAAAAAATCTTAGTTGGAATAAGATACAGATCAAAGTTACTTTTCAAAAGCCAGCTATGCTTTGTTAGGGGAGAGGGGAGTTGTGACTGATGCCTAGTGGTAGCTCTCATCATTATTTTCATGATCTTTGTTGTAGCTTGGCTTTGTAAGATTTTTGGTTTTGGTCTCCATCACCAACCTCTTTCTGTAGAACTGATGGATCTGGATAAAGCACACGTGACGGCTGCTGTGCTCTGAGCGTTAGGATCTGCTTGCTTGCAAGCCAACCCTCTAACCTCCATCAGTCAAATACACTCTTTTTTGTCCCAAACTGTGTCCTAGATTTTATGGAATGGGAATCCAGTGCCTCATAATCTACCTAACACCCTCTCTTAAAGTGTGTGGCCGAACTAAAGAGATTTTTTATCCCCATGATTTGTACCTTCTTAAGTTTTTATGGTTAATATTTTATTGTTTTAATGTGAATCACTCTCCAGAAGTGCTTCAGAGATGGTTCCCATGTGTTTCCTTCCAAAAATATCCATATTGCTCTACTGTGTAAACCTTACAGCTGTTTGTTTGGCAGATTCTCTTTTTTTTGTTTTTGTTTTTTTTTTGGTTTTAAGGAGTGGAGAGTTTAATAGGCAAGAAGTGAAGGGAGAAGACAGAAGGAAGAAGCTCCCCCTTACAGAGACAGAGGGAGGGGGGCTCCAAAGCTGAAAGAGGAGGTCCCCCGGCGGATTCTTTCTCAATGCTTCATTCTGAAAAGATTCCAGGGAAGAACTTTTGCCATAGAACATCTTATAAAAGTTATTCTTCTCACTCCAAATGAAAAATATTAGAGTAAAAGTCAGTAAGTAGAGGAATTATACTGGTACACCTTCAGATTTTTATTTTGCTTTTTCATAAGAAGGGCGTGTGTTAAAGAATAGCTTCATAATAGTGCAAAAATACAAACTTGTAATCCTGATATTGTACCACTGGTGGGTTCCCGAGGGTAAAGCAAGGGTCGGGTCTCTTGGATGTACATCAGTTTTCACATCTGTACGTTTTATGAAGTAATGAGGAACTTAACTGGTTTACTCCCCCAGCTCTTTATCCCCTGTATACTCCTTTCTCAATAATAAGTAAGCCTAAGATGATAACAGAATATGGAATATTCTACTTAGGTAAAACCTATTTATGCAGTCTCAAATATTTAGATGAATACTTGTCAATAGATGAAAAATCACTTGAATTTTTATTTTGTGTGGCTATATAAACAATGTCATGCTTGATTAACATCATAATGCTTTAATTGAAGGCTATGAAATCTAACCTGTTTGCTCACTATACATTTAGAAACATTTTTTTCTCATAGGACAAATTTGTCTCCTACTATGCTGTGCCCACCGACCACACTTCACAGCTTTGGGTGAGATACAGTATAAGTGAGTAGTGGATGTAAAACAGTGCCTCATATGTTGGATATGTGTCTGTGTCCGTTTGCTAGGGCTGCTGTGACAAGGAACCACAAACTGGGTGGCATAAGCCATAGGAACTGATTACTTCACTGTCCTGGAGGCCCAGAGTCTGAGAGCAAGGTGTTGTCAGGGTTGGCGTCTTCTGAGGCCTCTCTCCTTGGCTTGTGGATGGCCATCTTCTCCCTGTGTCTTTTCTCATAGTCTTCCCTCTGTGTGTGTCTCTGCATCCCACAGCTCCAAGCCCCTCCACTTATGGGGCTATCACCCTCAGGGCCAGATATCAGACAATTAGAGACAGCCCTTCTGCCCCAGAGCCCGGAAATTATTCGGACCAGCCGATCCTGAACCTGCCTACCTGGCCTCTCCCATGCATTTCTGCAGAAGCGATGGTAAAGGCTCTTGCCCACATTTCCTATTCTCCCTCTGCCTCCTGGCGACCCTGGTACTGCCTTGTGTGGCTCCCCGTGGTCTGAGGATCCCCACTCCTCTCAAGCTGTCTTTTCAAAGGCAATCATTTCCTGATCTGTTGGCTTCACCATGCATCACATTTTCTATCAATACACTGCATTTTCAAACACGCTCGCCCTAGACACAGCAGCAGAGCCCCATGGTGCATGGTCCCTGAAGCAACACTACCCTCGCGCCAGTTTTGCTTTGCCACCATCTCTGATGTTCCCAAGCTCTTTTACCTCCTCCTCTGAGGATCCTAACCAGGTCCTTGGAAGGATTTTCCCTCTCTGTCTTCTGCCTCTCCATGATGGCTATTATAAAACCAGCTGTGTTGTGCAGTGCTTGGGTATGCTCATGTGTACCCTACTGATTGAAGGTAGGAACTATGTCTTTCCAGACGTGAGGGCCCCAGAGCCAGCAAATGTCCCTGGGATGTAGGAATGCTATCCACCCCTGTCATACAGCCATTCCTCTTAAGCACAGAGGCACACAGATCAAGAATTAAAAGATGACAAGGAAGAGATTTTATCGTTAATTCTTTGTGAAGTCAGCCCTGATGTGCAATTTTATTTTCCCAAGTCCCTGTTCCCATTGGAATATATCTTAGTATTTTCAAATAAATGCAAGAAGCTTTAAGTAACCAGAGAAGACTGTAGTGTGATCTTACTGTCTCCTAGCCCCATGTCAGTTAAAACTCTCTCACCTTGTGCTTACTTGGGATTAGTCGTCACATATGTGGGGTATAAAATACCGTGTATTATATTCCTGGAAGCCTAAATAAGAAAGAAGGAAGTGTATATTTGTATTCTGTGCCTACCTTTCAACAGAGAAAGGCAATGTTTAAATCTCTTACTTGCAGTTACCCATTTAATGGCTGATTCTGAGAGTCATTCAACCTCAGAGTGAGAAGATCTGTCAGGGTCCTGTGGCCCAAGTGTGGGCAACAGCCAGGGTCTGAAGAGGTCAGATGACTTTTTTAAATTAATGAGAAATGTGACTGTGTGTGTATAGAGATAAAACCTCTGAGTAAATATTACAAATAAAAATAAACCAGTGAATTATTTTGCCTATAAAAATGCCAAAGTTTTAGATGCTTACAGATATCCAGATGTTTTGAGTCTTGCAGGATCTGATTTTCAGTGGATAAAAACTGAATTTATTTGCATATGATTTAGTTGGTTAACTGTCATCTAATTATTCTAGATCTCCTTGGTGATAATAATTGGCTGATAATTGGTTGATAAACCTGACATTAATAGTTATAATTTAGTTAATGAAATGTACGCATATGCAAATTGAAGTGTAATAATGTAATATTTTACAAGTTGTCTTCCTAAAGAGATGTCCCCTGTAGGGAATTATTATTCATTTCAGTTTTAAGTTAAATTACTTTATAATTGCCTGTGATTCTGATATAGCAGGGGTGCTCTTTTTTAAAAATAGAAAATGGGCCAGGTGCCATGGCTCATGCCCTGCAATCCCAGGACTTTGGGAGGTTGAGGCAGGTGGATCACCTGAGGTCAGGAGTTTGAGACCAGCCTGGCCAACATGGTGAAACCCTGTCTCTACTAAAAATGTCAAAATTAGCTAGGCATGGTGGCAGGTGCCTGTAATCTCAGCTACTCGGGAGGCCAAGGTAGGAGAACTGCTTGAACCCAGGAGGGGAGGTTGCAGTGAGCTAAGATCGTGCCATTGCACTCCAACCTGGGCAACAAGAGTGAAACTCCATCTCCAAAAATAAAAAATAAAAAATAAAAAAAAAATAAAAAATAAAAATAGAAAATGTTCAGAAAAATATTGATTTCTTCCTTTTTCTTCTACTTTAAGTTTTTCTTTCCTTCTTCCTTCATTCCCACTCTTCCCTCCTGCTCTCCCTCCTTCTTTATCCTCTTCCATCCTTTTCCCCTTTCTTCTCATAGGCCTGAAATAAAAGGCTAGGCATCAATGTCCCAAACATCCTGCCGAATATACATTAATTTTTTTTTTTTTTGAGACAGAGTCTCACTCTGTCACCCGGGCTGGAGTGCAGTGGCGCCATCTCGGCTCATGCAAGCTCCGCCTCCCCGGTTCACACCATTCTTCTGCTTCAGCCTCCCGAGCAGCTGGGACCACAGGTGCCCACCACCACTCCTGGCTAATTTTTTGCAAATATACATTAATTTTAATGAAAATTGAATTGGGATCTACACCAATAAAAGAACAGATAGTCAACATTTGGTTCTTATGAAGAGAAATCGCCTAGTGTTCCAGATTTAACAATAAAATTATAGAAAGCCCACTTCAATCAAAATTTCAGATTAAAAAAATCAATAATTTTTCAGTATATCTAAGTTCCATGCAATATCTAGGACATACTTACATGGAAACATGACTCTTGGTTACCTGAAACTTAAACAGAACTCAGCATTCAGTATTTTATCTGGCAACCCCTCAAGGCAAAATAATTGATTCGGGAAAGAGGCAGATCCAATTTGAATTGCACAATGCATTGGATTTGCACTTTATTAGTGTGTGATGGCCGCACCTCTCTAAATGTCTTCTCAGCAGCACAGGGATGCTTGCTCATGTATCAAGATGCTGCCCTGAGGTCTGAGGGAGATCATGTTTATGCATCCTGGGCATATAGGAGGGGCCTAACCAGGCAGTTCTCCTTTTTTGCACAGAAGCCCTTGGGGATCCTAATGCCCTTCTTTCAGAGAGAAATTTCTCCTCTCTCACAAGTTGAACAGAGCCTGGCAGTTGTGCAGGACAGCTAGGCACTGGGACTATTCTGCAGACATTATTTTCGGTTATTTTTCCTTCCATCTTCTGATGGGAGTAAAAACTGTAAATTAAAAACAGCCTGCAGGCTCTAGCAGTTAACTGGGCAAAGTGTCATGAACAGAAGATTTAAGGTTTAAAGATGTGCTCTAAATTCTAGTGGGAATTAGTTTTTATTAAACTCTAGTTTGGTCTCACTTCATTGCTCAGCTTTAAGAGCAAAAAAAAAAAAAAAGACAATAAAGGACTTAAGTAATTTTCTGCAATTAAAATCTTCTGGAATTTTAAAAAGCCCAATTATATTGGCATTTGCCAAATATAAATGCATTTTCCATCAACCCATCCAAGAGGAGCTGAATCAACCATCAGATTCTCAAGGAGCTGGTGGTGACTCTGCAGTCAACAGCTTGGGAATCAGTGGTTCCAGGTCTGGTCCTTCGACTGATTGTGGCACAAAAGACTACCTTCTCCCAGGGGTGTTGCATGCTCACAAATCCTCATGGCCCCTTGGCGTCATGCATATTGGAAAATAAAGAACTCAAAAGTAGGGAAAAAGGGAGAGGAATGTGTAGCTCTTTGCAGAACAGAAGTGATGATTTTCAGAAAAGTGCAGCTATTTGGGTGGCATCCCTTATGCATTGCTGTAGTTGACAGATGCCCATACTTGGCTGCATATCCGGTGGGCTCAGGCCACAGCTACAGGGTCTCAGCCTCTAGGAAGGGTCTGCAAAGGGGCAGACTCAAGATTGGAAATTCCTGCCTCACCCAAATTTGACTGCATTTACTTCCAGGTGTAGAGAAACTTTGCAACACACTAAATAATTTTTTCAAAAGTTCATTATAATATTAATAATAATAATAGTCACAAGAGGACCAGTAGCTCCAGGATTTGAGAATATACGGTGTGCTAACCTCACATGCTTTATTTACATCACTTGCTGATGAGCACAAAGAGCCCAGCTGCATGAAATGACATCTCAGGCCATGTGGTTAGTGACTGGAAGGGTTGGGGTTCCAGGTCCCTTGTCCATAACCTGGTGCAGCTGGGAAGCCCTAAGATGTGTCCAAATGATGGGCTCTTCCTTCTTCAAGTTCAGTTCCCACAACATCCGTCCAACAATCCCCTGAAAGTACCAAATTGTTGAATGATGTCACTCAGTTTGATAAATGTTTTATAAATACACAATTTTAAATTTCTATGAACACAGGAAATGTTCTAATACCAGGTGGTCCTACTCAAGCAAACTCATGCTCGAAAATTAGATGGCTAACAAATGAGGCCAGGGCCATTGGCTTGCCTTCTCCCCAAAGGACTAGTTATCTTCACTCACAAAATGTAGCCTCAGTGTTTACCTCTAATCCCGGGAAGACAGCCAGGCAGCTCTTGTGTCTGATATTATTACGATGCTGGAACAGCACAACAAACAAAACACCCCAACAACAGCAAAACCTTGGAACCTGCTCGAGGCAGGGACAGCAGGTGCCCTTGTTAAGAGCCTGGCTCTGGAGCAGAAGCTGCAGCTTTTGCTCCACTCCACCGTAACCTGTTTTGTGACCTTGCTCACACCATTGGACCTCTCTGCACCTGTTTTCACAGGCATGAAACAGCGGTAATAAAAATATGTACTTGATGGGGTTTTGTGAAGATTTAGGGGTGATATACATCAGCACATAGAACATTATCTGACACACATTAACTTCTGTGTAAGTGTCAGTGATCAGCAGCAGTAAAACAAGTGATAGCAAACTATCTTGAAACGTGTATTTCCAAACCAAAAGGAGATTGCAATAGTGGAAAAGGGGAGAAAACTTGGATGCCAATCAAAAGGGATAGATAAATTATGATGGAGCTCTGTATTGTTTTTTATAAATCTATGTATTCTTCACTGTTAGGCCACAAAGTAGAGCTTTTCTTGACATCTGATGGCAGCACAATAGTAAGCTGCACCGCTTCTGTGGACATTGCAGATGAACACATAAAACCTCTCCCTCAACCAGATCCTGTACGTGACAATGAAGAAACACATGCTCAAGTGCTGAAAAATAGATTAGCAAAAAAAAGGTCAGTACCTTAAGCAAGGACCACGATAGAACAACTTAGCAAAATGTTCTTCATCACTCAGTACTGGTATCGTTGTGGGCAGTATCAGTCTCACAGTCATGGTAAGAATGTAGATGGTCTGAAAGACAAACAATATTGAAGATCTCAGGAATCAAAGAGAAATGTTATCGTGTAATTTATGGGCCATTTGAGAAAATGCAATCTGGTGTATTCACTAATATATTATACACTGAAATAATAATAAAATGTATTTTCATATATTTTAAAAAAAGAAGATGCAAATTCCAGATGCAAAATTCTAGTAAGCAGCAGAGCTGAGATTTGAAACCCATTTGGGCGCTTCTAAAGGGCTTATTCTCTGTATTATGGAGCACACATTTTGCCTCTGCTCTTCACAGGCTGAGACCAGGGAGATGCTGGCCCAGGATGCAAAGGCAGGAGAAGTGTTTCCCCGGTACTGGGAAGACTTTCAATAGTATTAGCCGACTGACATGCATAGAAAGCATGATTCCACAGATCCCCATTGTGGCTGAAATACCTTCCCTTACCTCTTATGGGTAATTTAAGATTAACTAAGCCGTTTAGGGTTCTAAAGTTGATTTTTTCTGATTATCTTCATTAGCCTTATCAGAGTCAGTACCTTGAACTGTAATTTTCATAAAATTTTAATTTCCAGTAGAACATCAATATGAACAAAAACAGCTTCCCATGACCCTCCAAATGAAGTATGGTCTGGATATGAGTACAAAGTACGGGTATGGCCTAACCCAGCCTTGTTATCCTTGTGTTTTGTTTTGTTTTTAGACTTTAGGTTTCCGTACTTGAAAATTGTAGAAAATAGGACATGATAGTCCTATAGTTCTTATTATTGAGAAAGCTTCAGGCTGAAGCCGACTTCCTTCTGCTAGTAGAAAAAAGAGTCTGTGACCATATCCTTCAGCCTCTTGTACAAATTCAGTTTATATATAAACTCAAAGTCTTAGCTAGACCGTGGGAATTTTGGCAGTGTTTACTTACAAAGTTAAAGTGACCTAGCCAGGAAAATGATTTTAAACTGAATATTGTGAAGTATTGTCAGTTGAAGATGAATATTGTTACCATCCATAGTGCAGTGTTGAATTCATTGGATTGACAGCAGGAAGTAGTTCCTGAGCTCAGCGCCAGGAGCAAGCCATGTGCAACCCATTTTTATGTTTTAAGTGTTTCCATAATCAGACACAGCTTCAATTAGGAAAGTTGGTATACGTTTTTCATTTTCATGTGGTGTTTAGTCAAACACTAAGGGATAAAAATGGAAACCAGAAAGCCCTAGGGGAATCAAAGGTTTTTATTTATCCTGGAGCCCACTGGGCATCCAAGATCAATTGAACCTTTGAGCTGTTTCTAAATATGGAAGACAGTTCCTGAATCTCTTCTCAGGAGATTGTATATGTGCAAATACTGGGGGCTGTTGTTCAGCTGAATCAAATCTTTGCTCTCCATCCATAGTGAACAGACAAAAGTTCTTTCTTCAGTGAAGTAAAGTATACATAAGTGGTAAATAAAACCAGCGTGCAGACAGGTCAAAATAATTGTTAAAAAAAGTGTTTGAAACCTCTGCCCCAATCTTCCAAATGCTCCCCCTATGACCTCTTTGCAACCTGCCATCCATTAGCACTTGGATAAACCTAAATCTATCCACTTGAAAGCCAATCCCAGTCAACTAGAGGATCATGATCCACCTGATTTTCAGGATACCAAGGGGATAGGGTCTGGATTCACATTTAAATGGGGAAAAAGCTACACAATCAGATAAAAAGTAACATTTTGGCCAGTGCCTACAACAGAGATATGTGCTGACCATCATGAGGAAACCATAGGTGGGTCCATATATTTTGCGGGTAAGAGCGTCAGTGAGGAGTAAATGTTCTAGTAGGACCTTGCTGGGTAAGAGGGGTATTCCTGGCAGACACAGAGGAAGGGTGATCTGTAGGGAAAATAAGCAGACAGCTGAACTATCTGTTCAGAGATGATTGCATAGTTCTCTGTGGCTGGAGTACAGGTAGTGCTGAGGGAAATGACAGAAAATGGAGTGGATAGGTCAGCTGAGCCAGCCTCTAGTGGATTTCACTTGGTGTGCCAAACCCAGTCGCTGGGCAACAGCCCCTGGGGATGAGTTGCCAGTGCTTCCAGAGGTGGCTGGTTGAGGGTAGCTCAGAAACAGGGTGCCTCTGGCCCGTGTTCTTCTCCTAAGGTGGGCCTTTGTTTTTTCAGGGCAAGTTCCCTGAGAAAAGATATAGTGACAGTACAAAATATCATTTTTTCTACTCCATGGCTCCAACAAGACTAATTTTTTAAAAATTTTAAATAAAAATAAATAATTTACTTAATAATAAATAATAAATTATACATTTTAAATAAAATAATCATTTTGCTGATGTACTACTGCCTGTGGTTCAAAAACTTTGGGAGAAATTCATCTTTTTATTCTTTTTAGCAATGCAATTTTTACATGATTCTCCTTTATTTCTAATATATGTGATTCATCTGATGAGTGAATAAATACCATTTAATTTCATTCAGTAAAAATTAAATAAAATGTACATGCTATCATGTGGTATGTATTTTTAAGTATAAAAAGAATAAATAATATTTCTAAAATGCTTATTAATTAAAAACAATTTTAACATGGCTTGGTGGTTAGGAATGCTTTTAGCTGCAAGTAATCAAAAATTTACTTTATAGTGACTTAAACAAATATGGATTCATTTTTAATCTACAACAGGAAATCTGAAGAATTGCAGTGCCTGCTGTTGCTGGAGCTGCTCAGCAGTGCCATTCAGAAGCTGGACTTTCTAAACCGTTCTTATCACATTGGCCAATTGTGCTCACACTGATGCCTCACTCACGGTTGCAATGTGATTGCTTTGGATTTTGAAATAATTACTGGGCACAAGATGGGTAAAAGGGAGAAAAGGCTCAGTTTAAAGCCTATCAGAAGCACCCATGCACTTTTCCTCCATATTTCTTGGCCACTCTCAGCTGTGAAGTGAATATCTGCTTTTATTTTCTGGAGAGTGGACAGTGACAAAATGACGATGGTAGGAAGTGCTTCATCAGAGAATGAGCCAATAAGCCATGTCTGCCAGGAAGGGACCATTATCATTTTTTTCCGTTTTACAGATGGGGAAACTGAGGTTTGAATGACCTAAGAGAATTGTACAAACTTACATAGCTTGTCAGTGATAGAAACAGGACACAAACTTCTTATACTTTCTGTCAGTGTATTTCAGACCTCACAGCTTTTTCTGAAATACTTGCTCCTAATCAGGATCTTTTGCCTCAAGAATATTCTTGACCTTTCCCTTTCTTGGGGAAGCTTGAAACGTGCATAAGCCGAGTTCACCAGATGAGCTCTCCTGGGGACGTAAGGGACAAGACTGTAGGGCCACTAGCTGGTTGGGAAGGAATTCCTCTCTCCTGCGATGTGCTCAGATACAGATGCTTTTGCATTTCTTTATCCACTGTGGCCAGGCTGTGGATAAAGAAATGTAAAAGCATCTGTATCTGAGAACATTGCAGGAGAGAGGAATTCCTTCCCAACCAGCCAGTGGCCATTCAGTCTCGTCCTATATTATTTCAAAGCTATTTCAGAAATAGTAAAAAAAAAAAATTGCTTTTTGGAAACTACCATATATTATAAGATCATCTTAGACTGTCTTATTTCAATAAATAGTGAAAAGTAGTACCCCCATGGAGCTCTTATCCCTTTGGTAGAAATGTTAACACCTCACCCCAGCACTATTCATGTCCCATTATCTTTTATCTTTCACATATCTGTGCTTATAACATAAGAGGCGTTCTGTATTTCTTTGTTTCTTAGAAAATAATATGTTTCCCTTTTATGGCCTTTCTCATAATTGCCATGTGGGATTTGTTTAATTCTATGTTTCCTTTTATTAATTGATGACAAACATTGTGGATGTTGAATTAATTCAGGAAGGATTATTATTGGAGATAAGTCCAACTGCCCTAACTCCTAGGACAGGTTCCAGATGTGATTGTTTCAAGGTGTGTAACCACAACTTATCAAGAGCCTGGAAATTCAGAATGCTGCTGTTGATGACAAAGCTGCTTAATACTTTATGGTACTTAGTACTTCACACTGGAAAAAGACTTTTATGATCAGTATAATGGAAATAACTTTTATTAAGTCATAACTCATTGCCAAGAATTATATGTGGGCTTTGGCTTTTCAGATGGGCATAAAGGTCAAATAAACTTTCTGTTGTTTATACGACTAACCTATTTAGAGTCCCAAACAACCTAGTGGCCAATTACCTGATCTTACCAATTCAGGCTAATCTCAGATACAACAGGGATTTCTTCAACACTTTAGAATTGCCTTTTCTTCTCTGAAAGGTGTCATCGGGCTGCTGGTGGAGTATTAAGGCATTGGAGATATTTTTGTGGGCACCCTCTGTCTTCTACTATCACCGGCTGAGGTGTAACTCATCTGTGCTGGCATTGGTTGGGAGTCTCTTTTGGTGTTTTTGGTGCCTTCTTTGTCCCTATCATCAGGTCTTCCCAGGGGTCTTGCCATCTCTTCCAATGTCAGAGCTCCTTAGTTCGAGCAGTATCAGTAACTTGCTTGTCTCTTTCAAGACAAGAATATTCTCAAATGCTCTTGTATACTGCCTAAGGCTACTGGAAACCTTGAGGATGGTTCAACTCCCTCTCTTTCTAGACATACATGGACAGCACGACTGCTGTTTCTGTTGCTCATGAAGATGCTCCACAGGTCTTTTTTATCATGTTTGCAACCTCCTTGATTCACAAGTCTCCTTTGCCCACTGTCTCCCTATCTTCTCCTTACTCACACACCTGTGACTCTCCACCATCTCAGTGATCTTCCGCCCACTCTCAAGTTTCTCCTCCCTCAGCTTCTTCTTTCTCAAACTTCTCTTCTCTCAAGCTTGTCTTCCCTACAGCTTCTTCTCTCTCAAGCTTCTTCCTCCTCTCCTCCCTCTCTAGGCTCTTCCTTATGTCAGTTGGGTTTCAGTTAGGGTGGGGAGGATGTTTATAGATGAGACTGTTTATAGGTATTTGAGTTTAAAATAATATCCAGTTTATTAGCTAGCCTACAGTTTTAAAAACAGCATTTCTTATTTTTTAGGGCATATTTTACTTTACATATGAATCTAGTCAATTTTGTGTTATTTGTTTAATATTCAATTACAGATTGAACCCCTAAAAATTTACCTTCATCTGCAAGCATATGTACTTCTTCAACTTTATCAAACTGAAATTACAACAATGTTTCTGGTCGACTCACCACACATCTCGAACATGGAAGCCTTAACAGTCAAACAGACAAATGCTCTCTAGGTTGCAGTGCTACTGAGGCAGGAGAATAGGGCTTGGAGGTAGAGAACATAAGGCCGATGCACGCTGACTTCCTAGAACTAAATCAAGTGAAAGCCCCTCAGCCATGACAGGAACGTGAATAGCTTTGTAACTTCACTTCATCCTCTCCATTGAAGTAGACCACACACACCAAGTAACGTCCTCTCCATTTACACTTTGTAACTTCACATTCATCCTCTCCATTTACCTAGATCACACAAACCAAGTAATGTCCTCTCCATTTACAATAGGGTGCATTCCAAGTAAACGACTCTGTGACTTCACTTCATTCTCTTCATGTACGTAGAATGTACACCAAGTAACCAATGGGAAACCTCTAGAGTATTGAAACCCCAGAAAATTCTGTAAGCGGGCCCGTGAGCCTCTATGCTCAGGCCCACCCCCACATTGTGGAGTGTACTTTCATTCTCAATAAATCCCTGTATTTGCTGTCCTTGCTTTGTTTGTGCATTTTTTCCAATTCTTTGTTCGAGATGCCAAGAACCTGGACACCTTCTACCAGTAACACTGTTACCAGCCTAGTGCACCTGAGCTTACAATTATAACAACAATACTGGACTAAGCATTTAGACACTGTTTATAATACAATTGTATTCAGTCACATTTTTAAATTGCAGTACCATTCTGTGATGTCAGTTTCTATTAAACATTTCAAATTATAACCAAGAATTTAAATAACAGGTTTTCTATTTTGTCAGTGTTATGGCCACTTTCAGAGGCAGATGGACTCCATCCAAAATTTGGTTTGGATGTCAAGACTGTTGGTACTACACACACATATGATCTCAAAAAAGGAATAAAAGGCATTTGATAAAAATCAATATACATTGTGTATTGATATGGTTTGGCTGTGTCCCCACCCAAATCTCACCTTGAATTGTAGCTCCCATAATTCCCATGTGTCATAGGAGGGACCTGGTGGAAGGTAATTGAATACACACACACACACACATACACCAAGAGAGTATGAAAAAGTCAAAATCGAGATCTCTGGGGAGAGCAGAGCAGGTTTCTCAAGCAGGTCCTACATGGCTCCTGCTGTGTAGGGCTGTGGCCAGGGCTGGGGCTGGGATGAAAGTTCTCTCAAGCAGACAGGCACTTGCATGGTTTTAATCTTGCACTGGTGCCAAAGGAAGGAGCGCCCAGGCATCTTATCTTGCCCAGATGTGGGGCACAAGGAGAAGAAGAAAGGTTGGGGCTTAATAGATGTCAGCAGCAGTCCAACATCAAAAAATGGAGGGAGACCCAGCAACATGGTTAGATTCTCATAAACACTTCACTCACCTTGAATAAGAAAAAAACCACACATGAATGGTAGTATTGATTGGGAATTTACCTGTTAATCAATGCAACTCAAAAGCATTAATTCTATGGGTTTAATTTGAGTTAGCATCCTATTCTGTCCTATTTCTATACCTTCCCTGGACACACAGACTCTGACACAGTAGAGAGCATTTTACTCTTTTCAGATGGCTGAATCTAAGATTCAGAGTGGGGGTGGAATTGGCTCAATTAACTATTTACCTGTTTTTAACGTAAAATTGTCAAACTTGAAAATGCAGGTCCTGTATTATTTCAAAACTATTTCAGAAATAGTAAAAAAAAAATTTGCTTTTTGGAAACTACCAGATATTATAAGATCATGTTAGACTTAGTCTTATTTCAATAAATAGTGAAAAGTAGTATCCCATGGAGCTCTTATCCCTTTTGGTGGAAATATTAACACCTCACCCCAGCATTATTCATGTCCCATTATCTTTTACCTTTCACATATCTGTGCTTATAACACATCTATGTATTTTTTAGTATCAACTCAGGTATCATTATTTTTGAGTACTTTTTAAAAAAGACATTAAAAACAATTCCAAATGATAAAACCATGGAACTCTTAGCTATTTAAACTTTTGTATAAAAATGCAAATTTTTGTATTAATTGAAATAAAACCAACTTGTATTTTGAGGACAAGAATACTCTTGACAAAGACAATGCAAGAAACATATAAAAAACATGAAAGAAAATATTACCATGGCAAATATACACAAATAACAAAATGTCATAACCGAATTGAAGTCATTCTAGGAATTGAAGTTTGGAATTGACATTCAAAAATCAATCAATCTGATTCAAACATTAAGAGAAAAAGGAGAAAAAATATGATCTCAAAAAAGGAATAAAAGGCATTTGATAAAAATCAATATACACTGTGTATTGATATGGTTTGGCTGTGTCCCCACCCAAATCTCACCTTGAATTGTAGCTCCCATAATTCCCATGTGTCATGGGAGGGACCTGGTGGAAGGTAATTGAATCATGGGGGCAGGTCTTTCCCATGCTATTCTCATGATAGCGAATAAGTCTCACGACATATGATGGTTTTATAAAGGGAAGTTGCCCTGCACATGCTTTCTCTTACCTGTTACCATGTAAGACATGACTTTGCTCCTCATTTGCCTTCTGCCATGGTTGTGAGGCCTCCCCAGCCATGTGGAACTGTGAGTCAGTTAAACCTTTTTTCTTTATAAATTACACAGTCTCAGGTATGTTTTTATTAGCAGCGTGAGAATAGACTAATACATGTGTTAAGGATAAAAACTTGTGGTGAATTAAAAATTAAAAAAACAAAATATTTTTAACATAAAAAATGTATTCACAAAAATTCTACAGCACACATCATCCTTAAAGGTATAAAAATTTTCCTAAAATTAGGAAACCAAAAATGATACCTAAAATTATCTCTTCTATCCAACGTTGTGTTGGGGTCCATGGCCCAGAAAATGAAGCACATCGTTCATGACAGCAGATAATTCCAAAGACTTTTCAAAGTGGCTACACCATGCCACACTTCCTTAAAGATTATAATAAAACTCGCACTGTTCCAAGTCCTTGTCAACACTTATATTTTCCATCTTTAGATTTAACCATTGTTTTGGCTGTATCTGTATCCCATACAATTTTAATCTGCATTTCCTAATGACTAATGAGTTTGGGTTTGTGCTAGGAAGTTCATTTTTGAGCTGATCATCTTCTTCATTTGACATGTTAGTTTAGGTCTCCTGCTCATTTTTCTTTTCCTCTCTTTTATTATTGACTCATAGGAGTTTGCTTTGTGTTTTAGAAATTGTTATCATTGCTGGTTATATGGCTTAACAAGAAGAAATTATCCCAGTTTGTGGCTTCCTTTTCCATACTCTTTTTGGTGTCTTTTGATGAATAGAAGCTCTTAATTTAATATGGTCAAAATTATTTCTCTTTTCCTATGTATTGCTCTTTTTCCCCTGCTTAGTATGTTTTCACCTCACCAAGGTCATGAAGCTAGTCTCCTACGTATTATCTGCAAGTTTATTATTTCATCTTTCATATTTATATCTATAATACTTCTATAATATCTTCTTACTGATGTCATAAGTTACATTTTTTTCAATACAGATATTTATTTGACCACTATCATGTTTCATTTTATCCTTGGGTCTTTGTTTTCTTGTCTGAAAGAATAAGGCAACTCTTGGTAGTAAAAACCAAAAATAAAATTTTAAGCCTCTAACCATCTGAATGGATCAGACCCCTCCTCTTAGCCAAGAGCATTCCAAAGGTAACCAGAAAAACTTGTTCAGGCCATGATGGAAAGGGGAAGTTGGGCATGTCTCATTATACCATCTTCCCTTTTGTTATTCAGGCACAGCTGACAAGCATTAAAATCAACACAAGCCTGAAGACTGATAGAACAGACTCTTTAAGTCTGATAAGAAACATTTACAATCCATTCTCTCTGAAGCCTGCTATCTGAAGGCTTCATCTGCATGATAAAACATTGACCTCCACAACCCCTTATTGTAGCCCAGACTATTCTTTCTATTAATTCCAGGTCTTATTTTATTTTACTTTATTTTTGACACAGCGTCTCACTCGTCACCCAGGCTGGAGTGCAGTGGTGCAATCTTGGTTCACTACTACCCCTGCCTCCTGAGTTTAAGCAATTCTCCTGCCTCAGCCTCCCAAGTAGCTGGGACTACAGGTGTGCACCACCATGCCCAGCTAATTTTTGTAATTCTAGTAGAGATGGGATTTCATTATATTAGCTGGGCAGGTCTTGAACTCCTGACCTCAACTGATTCTCCTGCCTCGGCCTCCCGAAGTGTTTGGATTACAGGCATGAGCCACTGCACCTGGCCTGATTCCAGGTCTTTAGATAATAACTCTTTCAACCAATTGTCAATAAGAAAATCTTTGAATCCATCTATGACGTGGAAGCCCCCGTTTCCAGTTTTCCCACGTTTCTGGACCAAAGCAATGTACATCTTGCATGTATTGATTAATGTCTTGTCTCCCTGAAATGTATAAAACCTAGTTGTAACCCAATCACCTTAGGCACATGTCATCAGGACCTCCTGAGGCTGTGTCACAGGCATTTCCTTAGCTTTGGCAAAATAAGCTTTTAAACTGATTGAGACTTGTCTCAGGTACTTTTTAGTTTACAATAGGATATATAGGCTTTCTTTCCATTGTCATCTCATTGATTATTTCCTCCTAGACATTGCTAAGGTTTTTGCACTGATATCTGCTTTTAGGCATAAGTTGATTAACTGAGATTTTAGGTCAATCTTCTAGATATGAGAATAGTGTGAGAAGGCTGAGTGTTTGCTAAAAGAAAGAAAGTTATCTTGTGAATTGAGGCTATCTTGTGCACTATCAAGCCCACATGTGTAGTTAATATGGATAGAGAAGGGGAGAAAGTGAGAGCTTGGATGAGTAACCCATAGATCATTCCATGAGACTAAGCTTTATCTATTTTTTTCTATCTTGAGCAAACCTTTTGCTTTAAATACTGTTTCAGAATAACTAGGATGCATCTTACATTACACAAGACAAACTGGTTGTATGCATGATGAAGCTTCATTCTCCCTCCTACTTCCAACAAATCCACTTATAATTATTCTCTAGGATGTTGCCTGATTATTGTTGTGAGATTGAAAACTACATACAGTTGTATGGGAAGACCTCATCTCCCATGTGTGTCCATGATTTACATTGTGAAGGCAAAGTCAGCCTCACTCAGAATGAGAAATGTGCCCCCAACTTGATGGCCTTTCTCTTATGCTATAAAGCAAGGGGAGAAAAGATTCACACTCTTTTTTTCTTTGAAACAGAGTCTCACTCTGTCACCCAGGCTGGAGTGCAGAGGCGTGATCTCAGCTCACTGCAACCTCGTCTCCTGGGTTCAAGAGATTCTCCTGCCTCAACCTCTTGAGTAGCTGGGACTACAGGCACCACCATGCCTGGTTACTTTTTTTTTTGTATTTTTAGTAGAGACAGTGTTTTGCCATGTTGGCCAGGCTGGTTTCGAACTCCTGACCTCAAGCAATCCACCCGCCTCACCCTCTCAAAGTGCTGGGATTACAGGCATGAGCCACTGCACCCAGCAGATTCACACTCTTCGTAAGATTATAGATGTCATCCTATTATGCTTAGTCTGTATGTAAATGCCTGAATGACTTATTACAGAGTCTTTCTCATTCTGGGTTACTGTATTTTTACTTGACTTTAAAAATAATAACTCACTTTAGGATGCCAAATCTTTTTAAAGGAGACTATATGTATGTTGGTGACACCTTAAGAGAGGAAGTAAGAGGGAAAAGATGAGCCTGAAAGCTTTTGTGTGAGAACCCGGCAGCTTCCTGCTATCCAGCTAATTATTGTTCTTGTGCACACGGTTACTGACTTCCTTTCCTAACCATTTCTTATAACCCGACTACTAGAACTTCTCAAAGTGTTGTTTCTATTACACAATTAGTGTTCATTCAATCAAGCAATACTTTGGGAAATAGACTGAGGGAGGGGTTAGAATAAACTGTCTACTCTAAAGGTTGTGCCTTGAAAATTCGTATTAAACAGAATAATCATTGTTTGAAACTTTTGTAGGAGATGATTCTTTCAATGGCAGATCTTTAGAGACCCATATAAAACCAAAAATTTGTTCTTTTGCTTTATGGCCAATAGCAGCACATCACAGCTTCAAAAAAACAACACATATGATCTAGAAAATCCATCCAAAAAAAATTTCCGTAGACAAGTAAACACTTACTTATTGCCAGATACAAGCAATAGCATTACGGGTCCTGAGAGAAGTTCTGGGTCACTGAAGAATGGGTTATATAATGTATCTGAAAGAAACCTTCAGAAACCCTACCATAGTGTACCGCCGCCTCCCTCGTGTTCCAGCCTTGAAGGCGGCTACCAGGGGTCCTGCCCACAACTGTTTCACCCTCACCCCAGCCCTCAGGGAGCCTTCTTCCTCATGCTCCCCTCCTATCTTACTGGATCATCCTGTGGCCTCTTTCACAATCCTGGTTCTTTTTCTCAGAGTGTGTCCCTCATTTTTGCCACTGTGGAGGGGTTTAGCTTTCCTCAGTTTCTTGAGTGAGGTTACCTGCACAGTTAAATAAATGCTGGGCAGCCCAACAAACACCAAAGAGAAGGATCCTGAGAAGAAAAAAGAGGAATAGATACAAATACCTGGACCTTAACTTTATTTTCATTGCAGTGCATTGAATCACATTGCGTTATGTTAACTGATAGGATGCTACCTTTCATATGTCAAGCTATACTGATATCCTGCCAATTCAAAGAAGAGGTGGATAATAGCCTTCTCTACAGAACGAAGAAAATCTTGCCTTTTAAGTAA
Organism: Homo sapiens; assembly: GCF_000001405.40. Lineage (NCBI taxonomy): Eukaryota > Metazoa > Chordata > Mammalia > Primates > Hominidae > Homo > Homo sapiens. The sequence continues at coordinate 47,014,168 of NC_000007.14, read as the reverse complement.
TAATCACACTGTTACTGAAAAATTACCCAAATCAGATAGTAATTTTACTGTAGACTCTTTCTTATTTGCTAGAAATTTCTTTTAGTCTCAACTTCACTTATATTTCTTTTTCCTAAAAATATTCACTTTCATCTAAGGTATTCATTTTAAGTTTTCTACTTTTTGAAAAATGTGTATTCAAATTTCTAACCTGCATTGAGTTACATTCTTTTTCAAGATTAATTCAATTCTTGTAAAATTGCTACTTGGTGCCTTTGTGTATCATTCTAGACCTTTTGAAACAGGTAAGAGTTAGAGATACAAGATTAGTCTTACATGTCTGAATTTTCCCTTTGGTGAAGATAAAAAAAGCAGGCTTTAGAGCCAGACAGACATGAGATAGAGTCCTGGCTTTAAGTATCTGCTATCTGACCTAGGGTGATATTTAAATTGTCTAGGTTTCAGTCTCCTCTTCTATAAAATGGAGGCGTGATGCTCATTTTGAGGACTTCTGCTAAGAATATGAAATAATTTAATGTTCATCAAAGGACACAGCTCATAACCGAACACAATCAACATTCAGTGAATCCTTGTTGAATGAATAAATGAGTGCGTGAGTGAATAGAGAAGAATGAATAAAGTTTTTTATTGCTTTTTTAAAGGAAACATGCAATTTTGATACTTTTAGTCTTTCTGTATCTTGGTCATAAAAAGGTTTGAATGGACTTTACGGGGTTCTAACCCTGGTCAACAGCCAAACCCTACTGTACTCAATAGCTATTGATTTGGGTTGATTACAGCTCAGTAATCAACAAAGACCACACAGTCCTTCATTGAAAATTTTGAGACAAAGCTCTATTTCAGAATTTACAAATTTTCAGAACCTTATAAGATATGTATATAATGTATACCTATTATGTGGGATAAAGACTATAAATATCCTCTCTTCAGTTTAGCATTCACAGCTAAATGTTTTCAAATCAAGTCAAACCTTAAGACTGAATAAATTATAATTTTTTGTTTGTTTTTAAAAAATTCCGGATACTAGAATTGTGAATAAGAAAGTGTAGAAGTATAACATGATCAATTATTAAATTGGGATAATTGTAGATTCACATGCAATTGTAAGAATTAATAGAGACATCTATCATACAACATGGTTACTGTAGTTTATAATAAATTACATTCTTGAAAAATGCTGGGTGGATATAAAGTATTCTCACAAAAATGATAACTATGTGAGATATTGCATATGTTAATTGGCTAGATTTAGTCATTCCACAATGTATAACCACTACAAAACATCATGTTGTACATCGGAAATACATATAATTTTATCTGTCAATTAAAAAAATTAAAAAAGAAACATTTAAAAAAAATTTATATGGAGAGATCCATTGCACTCATTGTCCTGTTCCCCACAAAGGTAGCATTTTTGCAAAACTCTAGTATTACAGCCAGGATATAGGTATTGACATAATCCACTAATCTTATTAAGATTTCCCCAGTTTTACCTGTATTCATTCTGTATGTGTGTATTAAGTTCTGTATATTTTGTCACTTGTGTAGGCTCATGTATTCAACATAGTCAATATCTGAATAGTTCCAACACCAAAAGGATCCCTGTGTTACCCTTTTACAACCACACCTGCACACCTCCTTCCCTTCACCCAATGCCCCACTCTGGCAATCACTGATCTGTTCTCTATTCTTAAAATTTTGTCAACTTGAAAATGTTATATAAATGAAATCATACAGTAGGTAACCTTTGGTTAAATTTCCATTTCTACATGTTCATTGTTAGTAGATAGAGATGAGATAATTGATTCTGTGTCCTGTGACTTTACTCAACTCATTTATTATTACTGGGAGGTTTTTGGATTTTTTATTTTAAGTAAATTCCTTGGGAATTTCTACGTGGACAATTTTCTTCTGCAAATAGAGATAATTTTGTTTCTTCCTTTCCAATCTGTATGTCTTTATTTTTCTTGCCTTCATGCAATGGCAAGAACTTCCAGCACTGTGTTGAATACGAGTGGTGAGAGTGGACATCTCTGCCTGCTCCCTTCTTAGGGAGAAAACCTTCAGTCTTTCACCATTAACTATGATGTTAGAGGTAGGTGTTTTTTTTTGTAGATACTCTTATAAATTTGAAGTAATTCTCTTCTGTTTCTATCTTGTTGAGAGTTTTTATTAGGAATGGGTGTTATATTTTCTTGAAATGCTTTTCCTGCATCAATTGATAAGATCATATGACTTGTCTTCCTCTTGTTTGTATGGTAAATTATGTGGATTGATTTTCAGATGTCAAACCAGGCTTGTGTACTTGGAATAAATCTTACTTGGTTATGGTGGTTTGATTGGACACTGCAGAATTTAGTTTGCTAATATGTTGTAGATAGCTTTTGTGTCTAAGTCCATAAGAAATATTGACCTGTAGCAGTATTTCTAGCATTGACTGTGTCCAGTGTTGATAGAAAGGTAATGTTGGCCTCATAAAATGAGTTGACAAGATTTCCCTGTTTCCTATTTTCTGCCAGACACTGTGTAAAATGGCTATTATGTTTTGTAAAAAATGTTTTGAAGAGCTCTTCAGGTCAACCTTTTGGGCCTGGACATTTCCTTTTAGGGAGCTTTTAAATTATGAATTTGGTGGTTATAGGTTTATTAAGATTATCATTTCATCTCAGGTGAGTTTTGGTAGTTTGGGGTTTTGAGGAGTTGGTCTATACTTTCTAAGTTATAAAATTTACCAGCATATCTTTCTCCATCCTTTTACTTTCAACTAACCTATGTTGTGGAATTTGAAGTGAGTTTCTTGTAAGTAGCACGCAGTTGGACTATCTGTATTTGTTTTTACCACCTCACCAATCTTTTAATTGGTGTATTTAAGGTAATTATTGATATGTTAGGGCCTACATCTGGACTCTTAGTTTATGGGTGTTGCAACTTTTGTTGTTGTCGCTGAGGTTTCTTAGGCTCTGTTCACTCTTGTTTTTTCTTTCCAGACTATTTTCTTTTGGTTGTTCAGGTTAGGTAAATTAAATTGTTCTGTCTTCAAATTCACTCATTGTATCCCCTGTCTTTACTAGTAGGAGCATGGTGTCAACTGAAAACAAAAAATATTATATTATTGTATTTTTTACTTCTATAATTTCCACTTGGTTCTTTTTTTTTTTTTAGAAACTATTTATTTGCAGTTTTTTTTAAAATTTTTCCATTTGTTTCAAGAGAACTTGTAATTGATTGTTGCAGCATTTTGGTGTCAATCTTTATGATTTGCCCATGGATTTGGCCAAAAAAATCTAACATAGAAGCTGGCTAGAAGTGCATTTGTTTCATTACTCCCAAGTCTTTCTTTGGTCTCTTGGTTTTCCTAATGATGTAATTGGTAATTTCCAATAAAACAGTTTGTGTTTGATGTTCACATAGCTGTTCATTTCAGTGAGACTCAGAACAATTTGTATAGCAGACAAAGTTATGAAAAATGTGCTGCGAAGTTAAACTGAACTTTAAAAAAACATATAAAAGAAAGCATTGGCTTAGAGCTAGTTAGACTTTTACATGAATTTTGAATTGTGTGATCTTCTCAATCTCTTGTTTGTTGAGGGCCATTTTACTGGAGCTAGTACAATAAGGGAAGACAAGAAAATAAAGGTAAAAAGATTATAACAGAAAAAGTAAAAGTGTAATTATTCTAATTCAACATAATTGTAATTATAAAAAATCTTTTCAGCATTACAGATAAACTATTAGGTAAGTGAATTTAGCAAGGCCACCTGGTTCAACACCATCATATAAAAACCCGTTGTATTTGATACATCAGTGGCAAACAAAAAGAAAATGAAAATTTAAAAATATGTAATTTAACATTAAAAAATCAAATAACTAAGAATAAATCTATAAAAAAGATGTAAAATATTTATACCGAAAAGTATAAAAGATAGTTGAGAATATATATGTTTTATAAATATGTATACTAATTTCTATTTGAGACAAGGTCTTGCTCTGTTGCCCAGGCTAGATTGCAGTGGCGCAATCATGACTCACTGCGGCCTTAACCTGCCGGGCTCGAGCAAACCTCCACCTCAGCCTCCCAAGTAGTGGTGTCCCGGACCAAACTGAGGGTCAGGCTGCTATTTCTCGTGGCCCCAAAATAAGATGCAGATGAACTGGGGAGGAAGATAGTTTTTATTTCTGCAACTGGTTACAGGGAGAAGGCCTGGAAATTATCACCAGACCAACTCAAAATTACAAAGTTTTCCAGAACTTACATACCTTCTAAGCTATATGTCTACATATAAGTGTGCATTCATCTAAAGGCATAAGTGATTAACTTCTTTTAATCTGTAACTAAGGTCTGAGTCCTGAAGATCTTCCTCTGGTGCCTCAGTAAATTTACTTAATCTAAATGGATCCAGGTGCTGGGGTGATTACCCTTATCTTGTCTCCTGCTAAATCACAGAGGTTTGGGGATTTCCTTCAGACCCTCAATAAACTTGTTTGTGGAGGCCTGGGGAGTTTCTTCAGACCCACAATAAGCTTGTTTAATTCTAAATGGGTCCTGCTAAGAATTCCTTCATTATTTTGTCATGCTTTAAGGCCCAGGAAAGGCCTTGGCAAAACTCTCGGTGGGCTTTTGTTACATCCCAGCCTTTGTATAAGGGGGCTGGCTTTTAATATTTAACTTAACCACCCAGTCAGTACTGAAACAGTTGTTATGGAAGCCTGCATTAGTGAGACCTGGCCTGCCACAGTGGGGCCTACAGGCATGTGCCACTATGCCCGACTAATTTTTTGCATTTTATGTAGAGGCAGGGTTTGCCATGTTGCCCAGCTGTTCTCAAATTCCTGGGCCAATCTGATCCACCCATCTCAGCCTCCCAAGGTGCTGCCATTATAGGTGTGAGCCAGTGTGCCTGGCCTTGAGAAAAAAAATATTTTTAAAAGACCAAAATAAATGAAAGAACGTACTATGTTCGTGAAATGGGAGACACATTATTGTACAGAACTCAATTCTTTTAAAATTATCATAGTTTAATGCAATATTGGTCGAACTCTAGACAAGTTTTGTTGTGTGTGTGCATGTGCAGAAATTGACACAGTATTTCTAAAATTTGGTGTAAATGCAAATAAATATTTCTTCCAATTTACTTCAGGCAATAGCTTTACTAAATATTTCATGGCTACGTAACACCATTTTCAGCCTCCTATAATAGTTTTCTCACTACCCATTTTCTGGTTCTCAAACCAAACTTACATCTTCGAGGTTTTATTATGGTATCATCCCACTTCCATGTACCTATTTGTCTTTATTAAATATTGCTACATAATGAAAAATGAGAATATTGCAGTGGCATACAACAATATAAACTTATTTAGTTCACAAATCTGTGGGTCAGCTGAGTGCCAGTTGGTCTAGACTGGGTTCACCTAGGTGGTTCTGTGGATCTTGGGCTTATTCATACATCTGCAGGTCAGATGTGAGTGGTTAGGCTCAGCTGGACTGACTTGGCCAGGGCAACTCTGTTTCATGCTCATCCCCTGCTGAGAATAGTCAGGGCATATTTTTCTCATGACAATGACAGAAGTGTAAGAGTAAAAGCCCAATCATATGAGTGCTTTTTAAGCCTTAAAAAGCAGTGCCTGCTAACATTCCATTGGCCAAAGCAAGTCATTCGTCCAAGTCCAAAGTCAGGTAAGTGAGGGCAAATTATTCTCTACCCATGCAGGAAAGACAAATATTTTTGAAAAATAATCTAATCTATCATAATTTGTAATGAACTATTTTATTTTTTAAAAAATATGATTTTTTTAGAGCAGTTTTAGGTTCACAGCAAAATGGTGCAAAAGTACAAAGAATTCTCATGCATCAACCTCTCCCACCTGACAGTTTTCGTCTTGAATTAGTAGGGAGCATTTGTTACATTTGATGAATCAACATTGACACATTATTATTATTAACTATATAGTTTACATTAGGGTTCACACTTAGTGCAGTACAGTCCTATGGGTTGTGACAAATGCATAATGTCTAGTATCCATCATTGCAGTATCATACAGAGTAGTTTCACTGGCCTAAAAATCCCCTGTGCTCAACCTATTTTTTGTTCCCTATATCCAAACCCCTGGCAACCTGATCTTTTTACTGTGTCCATAGTTTTTCCTTTTCTGGAATGCATATAACTAAAATCATACAGTATATTACTGTTTTCAGATTGGCTTCCCTCTCATACACATTTAATTTTTCTCTACGTCTTCCCATGGCTTGATGGCTCATTTCTTTTTAGCCCTAAGTAACATCCCATTATTTAGATGTGCCAGATCATTTACCTACTCTGCTATGGAAAGACATCTAAGTTGCTTCCAAATTCTGGCAATTATGAATAAAGCTGTAACAGATATCTATGTATAAGTTATTATGTGGACATACATTTTCAATTCATTTCAGTAAATAGCAACGGATGCAATTTCTGGACCATATGATAACATATGTTTAGTTTTGTAAGAAATAGCTTAACAGCTGCACCATTTTGCATTCCCACGAGCATTTGCTCGTTTCCCATTCTCTACAGCTTTTGATGGTGTTAGGGTTTTTTATTTTAACCACATGCACGCCTGTCATTGTTTTAATTTGCAATTCTCAAATGACATATGATGTTGAGTATGTTTTCACATTCTTGTTTGTCGTCTATATATCTTCTTTGATGAGATGTCTTCAAATCGATTCCATTTTTTGCTCCTTGTTGAATTTTAAGTTTTTTTAAAAACATATTTTGCATTATGTGGGTTATTTATGAGATACAAGGTATGTATTTGCAAATATATTCTCCCAGTCTGTGGCTTATCTTTTTATTCTCTTGATACTGTCTTTTAGAGAAAAAATTTTGTAATTTTAGTGAACTCCAGTTTATAAATTATTTATTTCATGGATCATGTTTTTGGTGTAGAGTTAAAAATCATGATCAAGCTTAAGGTCATCTAACTTTTTTCTATGTTATCTTCTGTAAGTTTCATAATTTTGCATTTTGCATTTAGGCCTATGACTCATTTTGAATTAAGGATGTAAGTTCAGTGTCTAGGTTCACTTTTCTATATGTGGGTGTCTAGTTGTTCTAGCATCATTTGTTGTAAAAATAATTCTTTCTCCACTGTATTGTCTTTTCTCCTTCATCAAAGATCAGTTGACTTCATGTTTGTGGTTCTATCTCTGGTTTCTAGTCTGTTCCTTTAATCTATTTATCTTATGCCACACTGTCTTGATTACTGTAGCTTCAGTATTGTATTGGCTGTTCTTGGTCTTTTGTCTCTTCAAATAAACTTTAGAACAAGTTTGCCTATATCCTCAAAATAAATTTCTGGGAGTTTCATTGGGATGGCATTGAATCTATAGGTCGAGTTGGGAAGAGCTGACATCTTACTAATGCTGAGTCTTTCCAGAAATTGATCATATCTCCATTTATTTAGTTCTTTGATTTCTTTCACCAGAGTTTAATAGTTTTCCTCAGCTAAATCTTATAAATACTTTGTTAAATTTATAACTATTTTATTTTGGGGGTGCTATTATAAATGATATTTTGTTTTTTTCTCAAAATCCCATTATTCTTTGCTGAAATTGATTTGATTAAATGTATGTATATATATATATGTATATATATAAAATATATATGACTATTCAGATTGTCTATTTCTTCTTGTGTGAGTTTTGGCAGATTGTGTCTTTCAAAAATTGTTCAATTTCATCTAGGTTTTTGAATTTGTGAGCATAAGATTGTTCTACATATATATATATATATATTTATTTATTTATTTATTTTTTTTTGAGACAGAGTCTTGCTCTGTTGCCCAGGCTGGAGTGCAGTGGCGTGATCTCGGCTCACCACAACCTCCGCTTCCTTGGGTTCAAGCGATTCTCCTGCCTCAGCATCCTGAGTAGCTCATTGTTATCGTTTTAATATCCACAGAATATGTGGTGATGACCTCTTTCATTTCTGATATTAGTAATTTGTTATATCTCTATTTTTCTTAGTTACTCTGGCTAGAGTGTTACTAATTTTATTGAATTTTTAAAAGAGTCATCTTTTGGTTTCACTGATTTTTTTAACTGGTATCCTATTTTCAGTTTTATTGATTTCAGTTCCAATTTTTATTACTTGTTTTCTTCTGCTTACTTCAAATTTAATTTGCTCTTCTTTTTCTAGTTTCCTAAGTGGAAACTTAGGTTATTGAGTTCAGATTTTCTTCTTTAATATATGCATTCAGTGCTATAAATTTTCCTCTGCTTTCAATGCCTTCCACAAATTTTGAAAAGTTGAATTTTTATTTATTTCAAAAATTTTTAAATTTCTCTTAAGATTTCCCATGTGTTTCCTAGAAATGTGCTGTTTAACTTCCAGGTTGGGATTTTCCACTATCTTCCTATTGTTGATTTCCAGTTTAATTCCTCTGTGGCCTTAATGGCCTGAGAGCAAACATTGCATGATTGCTATTCTTTTAAATTTGTTAAGTGGTTTTTTTTTTTTTCAGAATACAGTTTATCTTGGTTAGTATTTCATGTAGGCTTGAAGACAATGTGCATAATTTTATACATGTTAATTAAAGTGAATTAATTAATGATGCTATTGAGTTCAACTGTGGCCTTACTGATTTTCTGCCTGCTGGTCTAACGGATGGAGGGGTGTTGAATTCTCCAGTGTAATAGTAAATTTATCTGTTTCCCATTGAAGTTATTTCACTTTGTGGCTCACATGTATTGACACTCTGTTGCAAGGTACATACACATTAAGGATTGCTATGTCTTCTTGGAGACTTGACTAATTTATCGTTATGTGATGCCCTTCTTTATCTTTGCCAATTTTCCTTGCTCTGAAGTCGGCTCTGTCTGACATCAATATAACAACTCCACCTTTCATTTGATTAGTGTTAGCATGATGTATCTTCCTCCATCCCCTTATTTTCAATCTATCTGTATTTTTATATTTGAAGTTGATTTCTTTTAGATGACATATAGTTGGCTGTTGTTTCACTCTGACAGTCTCTGTCTTTTGATTGTATATTTAGACCAGTAGGATTTACGGTGATTATTGATGTAGTTGAATTAATATCTACCCTATTTGTTACTCTTTTCTATTGACTCTCTTTGTCTTTGTTTCTGCTTTCTGTGGTTTAAATTGGGCATTTTATATGACTTTATTTTCTTTCCTTTCTTCGCACATCAATTATACCTCTCCCCTCCCCCCATTCTTTTAGTGGTTACCCTAGTGTTTGCAATACATATTTACAACTAATCCAACTCCATCTTCACATAACACTATACTACTTTCTAGGTAGTAAAAGTTCCTATAATAAAGCTTTTCTAATATCTCTTGCTTGTCCTTTGTATCATTGCTGGCATTAATTTTACTTATTCTTAAACTATAATCAGTGAATGCATTGTTACTACTATTATTTTTAACAAACTATTATCTGTCAGATTAAGAATTTAAAAAAGCAAATTTTCAAAATTTTACTTTTGCTTATTCCTTCCTTAATACTCTTCCTTTCTTTATATAGATCTGATTTTCTATCCTTTTCTCTATCTATCCTTTTCTCAAATAATTTCCTTTAACATATCCCTCAGGAAGACTCTATCGGCAATAAATTCCCTTAAGTTTTTGTTGTCTGAAAGTCTTTATTTCTTTTTCATGTTTGAAAGATAATTTTACTGGATATGGGATTTTAGGTTGGTGGTTTTTTTCTCTCAACATCTTAAATATTTTATTGCATTCTCTTCTTGCTTGTATAATTTTTGAGACAAAGTCTGATATAATTTTTGCCCCTGTTCCTATATAGGTAAATTTTTTTCCCCTCTGGCTTCTTTGAGGATTTCTTTATCTTTGATTTTTCATGATTTGAATATGATATGTTTAGGTGTAGACATTCTGACATTTATCCTGCTTGATGTTTTTTGAGCATTCTATAAAGATATGAAATAAATTTCACAGAAAATTAAAATTTGTAAATTAAATGGTAAGCGTAGAGTTATCCAATAGAAATGTAATGTGGACTATATGTAATTTTAAATGTTTTAATTCCCATGTTTAAAAAGCTAAAAGTAATGGTAAATATGGGTGATTATGTCTATATTAGTTAATTTGACAGTGGTAATCAGTGCACAATATATATGCATATCAAATCATCACATTGTACAGCTTGAATATATACAATTTTTACTTGTCAATTAAATATTTAAAAGTAAAATTAATTTTAGTAATATAGTTTGACTCAATATATTTAAATATTATCATTTTACCATGTAATCAATATAGAATTATAAATTATATAGTATATTATATTTCTTTTATTGATATTAGTTCTTTGACATCTGTTGTTTATTTTACACTCACAACCCATGTTAATTTATACTACCTGTATTTCAAGTGCTCAGTAGTCATACATGGCTTGAGGTTACTGTATTAGACAGTGAAGGTCTAAACATTTTTGTATGCTAAAAGACTTCATAATATAAATATTTAAAAAACTAAATTACTATAATAAAACATTTTAAATATGCTTATACATATACTTACATAAATAATCTTAGCATGGGAGAGAATTTTAAAGCAAAATAGATACACAAACTCACAAATAACTTAATGGAAAAAGGCACATAGACAGCTTACATACATGTGAAAAGATACTCAGCCTTATCCATAACTAACTAAATAAAAACAAACACAATTTTTTAAATCAACTTTCCAGGCATAATAAAAGTGTTAGGAGGATTGTAAAGGTATAGTAACATGGGGGCCCTCATGTAGAGCTGGTGGGTCACTATGTTTAGTGGGGAGTTATTATTCCATTCTAGTACAGATAGGTATAAAATTCCAGGCTGAATTTTTTTATTTCAACATTTTAAATGTTTGACTGCATTCCTCTTTCTTGCATGGATTTTGACAGAAAACCTACTGTAATTCTTTTCTTTATTCCTCTATAGATAGGGTATTTATTTTTTCTGGCTTCTTTTGAGATTTATTTTCTTTGCCTTTGATTTTATGTAGTTTGATTATGATACTTCTAAATGAAGGTTTTCAGTATTTAATCTGTTTGATGCTTTCTGAGTTAGCTCGACCTGTGGTTTGATGTCTATTGTAACTTTGGAAAACTCTTGGCTGGGCATGGTGGCTCATGCCTGTAATCCTAGAACTTTTGGAGGCCAAGACAGAAGAATCACTTAAGGCCAGAAATTTGAGACCAGCCTGGGCAACATTGTGAGACCCCATCTAAAAAAAAAACAATTAGAGAGACATGGTGGTGCCCACGTTTAGTTGGACCTGCTAGGGAGGCTGAGATGGAAGGATTGCCTGAGCCTAGGAGTTCAAGGGTGCAGTGAGCTATGATGGTTCCATAGCACTGCAGCCTGGGTGACAGAGTGAGACCCTGTCTCAAAGAAAAATTTAATGAAAATTCTTGGCATTATAATTTAATATTTTTCCTGCTCTGTTCTCTACTTTTTCCTCCTGGTATTCCAGATATTCCTGGTATGTCTATCTCACATATTTGGATATTATCCTATAATTCTTGGATGTTCATTTGTGTTCTTAATTTTTTTCATTAATTTTTGGCATGTCTTGTACCTTTTTCACTGAACACTAGACATGTTGTATTGAGTAATAGTCACTAAAGAACACAGGCTATTAGTGTAAGGATTTGTGTTAATCTCTTTGGCCTCCCAAGAAGAAGGCTGTAACAGTTAAATCCACCCCAGTGTATTTACCTTTTAACTGCAGACGCTAGAGGCTTTAAATTGCTCCTCTGTCCTTATCTTTTTCTCCCCTCCTGACTCTGGGCTCTCCTGGATGCTTTTCTTAGGGGGAGTCTGTAGCTCTTCAAGCTGTAGTCCACTGTTATTACACAGGAACCCTGTTGGTGCAGTGGTGAGGAGTAGAGATGGGCAAGCATTGGAATCTATAATCCTATGACTGAGTCTCAGCCTTTTACTGTGTCCGTGTCCCTGGGCTGTGACCTTCACAGTCTTTTTTGTCTTCCTAGCTGAGACAGCAAGGCTGGAGGGGGCTAGAGTGGGAGCAATGCCCCTGCTCCACCTGGGATGATGCTTTAGCAAAGTTTTTCACCTTGGGGAGCAGTCTATTGTTATGGAGAATGCTCTGGGGTTATTTCACAATAATTTTACAGATCACTTTCTCCTGTCAGAGACATGAGGAGTCTTTTTTTCTTTTTAATCTTTACTATGGGAACCTCATGAGATGCTTGGAGGTAAAACTCAAGAAAGCTTGAAGGAGCCGTCACGCTGCAACATCCAGGACTTTAATCACTCTCCAGTAGTCCACAAAGCCTCCAGCAATTTGTCAAAATTGTTATTGAGATATTCCTACCAGTTTTGGCTCCAGCGCTTTCAGTGGCTTCAGAGATTTCAGATCTTGGCCAACAGGCCTCAGCCATGATTCTCTGGATTCCCCTGTTTCTTTGGATTTTGGGGGGGCAGTTTGCTCTACAGCTCATTTTGTTGATGGTAACAAGAAAAGTTATTGATGTTTAATTTGTTCTGATTTTTTTAATTGTAAGGATTAGGGTGATTAAATTCAAGCATTTTATAGGAACTGAAACCGGAAGTCTTCTATAGTTTCCTTTAAAAAATGTTCATGTCACCAATTTCTCTACAAGTTACATTGATAAAAGGAGGGATGAAAGAATTTTTTTTTTGTTGTTGTTATTTTGTTTTTGAAAATCAAGAACTAATATTTCAGAAGATCAGGTCTATTTTCCATCTGAATATAAGCAGGTAGGGAAATTGCAATAGCATAGAATTAACTTGTCTTTCACTTACAGAAGTTTGACATAACCCAAGACAACATGTTCGTTAAATTTCATAGATGCAAAAGAGAGAATGTGAGTTGAAATTATTTTTTTCTAAATGCTTTCTATATATTTGTTTCTCTAAGATCTTAATCATTCATTAATAATGTTTAGTTTCTAAGATTTCTCACTAAAGCTTGCTTTACTTTCTAAGTTTGTAATTTTAAATTCAGGCAGTTTAAATCCTTTGGAACATATTTATAAAAGTATCCAACAAAATCAATTAGAGAATGAATATTTTCATGTCCTGATCTGTAAACAGTTAAATGTCAAATTTTTCCAAAACAAACAAACAAAAACAAACAAACAAAGAAATCGCCTTTGAGTAAAAACTGACAATGGAAAATTTCAACCAAAGGAAAATTATTCATAAAATTCAAGTGTCTTCAAATTAAAGCTTATAGTGGAAACTGTTTCACAACATTAATTATATTGACCATCCTCCCCAATGTTTATAATGGGTTGCAATATGTAAACTCAATGAGAAAAGCCAAGTACAAAATGTCAGGCCTAAAACCACATAAAGGCTCTTAATAATTTTTCTAATTTCTGTTCCCCTGCAGGCTTCTGTTGCAAAACATAGAAGTCTTCTGCAAGCAGCTGCCACGCCCATATCTCAGAGCCCTAGTGAGTTGTAGAGAAGTTTCAAGAGTTAGAGTATTTCCTCTGTACAGTAACTAAAATAATAAAAGACCACAATTTTTATTCATAAAAATTGAATATAATAAATGCATTTTTATTTGGGAGCTCATTAGTGCCTTAGTCACAGATTGGATATACTTGTGTCTGTATCTGTGCCTGTGTTTGCCCTGAGGCTTATAAATCAAGAGATAATTATTGGTCCAAAGGAAAACAGTATGTGCACTGGGGAAATCTGTGCTATTCTCAACTGCTGCTATTCTCCAGCCTTTCCTCAGTTCCAGTTCAGATGGATGCTTGAGCCCAGAACTCACTTTTCTAGCTCTAGTCTGAAAGGGAATTTTGGTTTGCAAATGGAAAGGGCAATTGGATTCATAAGCCATAGCCACTTATCAGACACTTACTGTTTGCCAAAAAACAACCTCATTTGCTTTCCATCTTTATCCTTACTATAATTCAAGGGGATAAATATTATCCTTCCTCTTTTAAAGATGCCTACTAACTCTTAGGGACTGCTCTTAACTGATTCAACATCCTTCTGGTGGGGAGAGAGTGCCTGGGAAAAGCAAATGAAAGGACTGTAAAAGGGAAAGGGCCAATTCCAAAGAACAGATGGCTGGCCCTCCAGGTGTCTTCTTGGTGAGCACCTGTTACCCTGCCATAGCAGCCCAGTATAGGTTTACTCAACAACTCAACATGTAATCAAGACAACCCTGTGATCTTGCTGAGATGTTCTTATTTGTTGCCATGGCACTATTGGTCCTGAGGCAACTTTAATAAAATCAAGATGGCACTGACTTGTAGAAACTTGGGAAATTTCACTGTGGCTGTGAGGTTTGGCTAGAGTGTGTGGAACTAGGGCGTAGCTGTCTCCACTTCAACTCCAAAGTAGAGATCTGGACAAGAAAGAAAGCCCCTTCCCCTAGTGCAAAATTTTGCAATCTCTTCAATAGTTCACCCCACTCTCTGCCTCCAGATACCTACAAATCCACACCAAATGGCTTGGTTTGGAGCAATGTTTCTAAAAGACATATGAAAACTCAGTCATATGAGGCTGGATGATTACCCTGAGAGATCATCTCCTCCATGCTCCTCCTTGAAAGCTTTTAGCATTTCTTTTTTATTTGGTCTACTCTCTGTCTGCAAACACGAATGTTGTCTTTATTCATCATCTTGACTGCAATGGCACTGTTAGTTCCTCTACCAGCATTGATAGATTAGACAATATAAAAATTTCATTTGTAAGTGTGTCAACTCTGTAAACATGAGAACTATAACATTCTATTATAATGGAGAAGATTGGACTTTTATCACCACTATTCCAAGCAGGGGTGACAGTACCAGTTACAAGATTCTAAATAAAGGTGCCTCAACACATGGAAATAAATACCCTGGACCAGAGGAAATTAAAGCACAAGAAGAAAATCAGGTCAAAATAGGAACAATGAAATTATACACACTATATAGGGTGACAGTATTTGCCATAAGTGATTCTAAAACTTGGTTTCAAGCTTTATGAAAATCAAAAAAAGGCCTGACTACCAACATATATGTTTGTAAGTATCTGAAATAAGAAAGTATGCCAAATGATGAAAGGAGACAAAAACATACTCTTCTAATTTCTAAACAAAATTTCTAAAAAATTATTAAGTGATTTTTATATTGGACTCTGACAGAATATAAGATAAAGTAAAAAGAAGTTGAGCAAATGTAGCCCTAGTGAAGGAATTTTTGGTTGTTGTGTTTATTGGAGGGTGAAGTTTGAGCAATCATTTGTGGAAAATCTTCCCTAAGCATGAAAGAAAGACTGATTGAAACTGAAAGAACACTGGACTAGAAATCAAAATCCCAGGTTTGAATTCTGGTTCTGTAGGTAGTGATGTGTGACCTTAATTAAATCGTTGCCTTTGTTTCCTCATTTGTTTTCTATGTGTGTTACAACATAAATGCCACATAAGTTTTGCTCACTTCTATACCTCTAGCACCAGAAAAGTGCCTGGCACATAATAAGCGCACAATAAATATTTGTTAATACATTTGTTGAATGGGTGAAACAGCACAAGATTTACAAAGTAAAAAGATTCGGTGAATATAAAATATCTTATAAATATGGGGGTAAGTGGTGGTGGAATTAGAACATAATTATCTTATTTTCACATGTAGCCTGCTTGGGCTACTATAACAAAATCCCACAGAATAGGTAGCTTTAACAACAGAAATTTATTTCTTACAGTTCTGGAGGCTGTAAAATTCAAGATCAAGGCTCTTGAAGAGTTTGGTTTCTGGCGAGAACTCTTTTCTTGGTTTTCAGGAAGAAGTGTGGTGCCTTTTATAAGAACACAAATCCTATCATATCCAGGCTCTGCCTTTATGACCTCATTTAACCTTAATTACTTCTCGATAGGCCCTGTCACCAAATGCAATCAGTTAGAGAGTTAGGGCTTCAGTGTATGAATTTGGCAGAGTGCACAATTCAGTGCATAGCACTAATAATGCCAAAGAGAACTAATTCAACGGCAGCCTGGTAGCTTAGCAAATGGAAACATAAGTAGCCCAATGTCATTTCTCAAATGAGGCAGGATAAAGAATAATACAGGCAATAAAAATAGAATTGCAATGGTATTCTAAACTATAGTAAGAAACTGAATTTTAATTATTAAACCCCAAATACACGTTATCAGTCAAAATTCTTTTTTAACTCAGGTTGTATACTATATAATTAGAAGAGAGATGTGGTTATCTCACAGTAATAAAACATGTATAAGAGTGAGAATATATAATTCTAGCTTTGTTTTCTCATTGCTCAATGTTAAAATCCTTCAATGGTTAGCATATTTTGAAATTTAGAAAATGTTCTGAAAATTAAATGGGGCCATAAAGTCAAAACAGGAAAAGTCACCAATGCCAAGCCAAAACATTTGAAAGTTATGAAAAGCATAAAGCATTAGAAAAGATGAAAAACGATCCTGATTCTTTCTGCCAATCAGTATAATTTCCAAAGTAATTGCAAATCATATGACCTATCAAATCCTTGGTCAATTCTATTACTTAGACTCTCAGCAACAGAGATGCCCATTCCCTACTTTTAAAAAATGCTTTTCTTTTTCATTTGGTTTATGAGCCACAGTAGTCTTTATTTTTGCTATTTCTCTTTTTTTTTTTTAAATCAACACTCTTTCTAGTTATGCTCCTCCACTCAGAGCCTGTAAATACCAGCAATCCACATAGCTCTCATATTTATATCTGAAGCTCTAACCTCTCCTTTGAGGCCTAGTGTTACATTCCCAAATTCTCATTTAATACTTCTGTTTGGTTCTCCAATAGACATCCACATTTAGCAAGCTCCAAACTTATTCATGAGAGTAACACAAGTCACCTGGTTGCTGAGGCCCACAGCCTCAATGCCACACTTGGTCTCTCCTGCAAGCAAGCTTTTCAAACAGGCCTCGCATCAGCCACCTCTTATCTGGACTTTGGCAGTCATCTCCTGGTTGGTCCCCTGGGTCCACTCCAGCTTCCTAGTTTTCCTGCCCTTCCCCACTCAGACTACAGGGCCCAGAAACTTGTTGGATTAATGAGGTTGTAGAAGGAAGTGAACTGGGAGGTGACTCGCCATGTCATGGTGACCTTGGAGATAGTCAGAATAGAGAACAACTGTCCCATACCCAAGATGCCGTGATCTTCTACATACAATTTTGTTTCTCCTAAACAGTGAAGGGAGATATAAAGATGCTTAAATTGCCATCTTTAGTTGCCCTTTTTATGTGCTTTTGCTGACAATGACCTCTGATGGGTCACACATTTTCTTGGAATTCTTAACCTCTTAGTGGCTACGTTCCCCATGCAGAAAATAGATTTGTTGATATTCCCTTTTTCCTAAGGTTGATAGGAGGATTAAATGAGATGAAGCATAACAGAGTGCCTAATTCAGCTCATGCTGAAGGATTATTTCTAGTTATATGATTTTTTTTTTAGATCGGTTCCTATGGAGGTGTTCGGCCTCAAGCCACACATGTGGATATAATAGTTTAACTCCCAAGACTAATTTAATACTCTCATCTCCAAGTGCTTGTCATTCTCCCTTCATATTCCAGGCACCCAACCAATTATTAATACTTGTCATCTGCCTCCACCAATGTATGATCAAATTACCAAAGTATTTAAAAAGATAGTAAAAGAAAGGACACCTTTTAGCCCCCAAACAAGAAAGAATCTCAGAATAGAGATCAGACTTGTGAGTGGAACACACTGGCCTTGACATTTCTATATTAGATAACTATGATCCATTTGTGTGACATTTCCCAGAACCAAGGAGAAGGCTACACCACAGCTAGAATTTCTCTCCTTATTTTTCAAAAGACACATCTTAAGTAGGGAACCATCTTAGAAATGTCAGCTTTTAGTTCCTACTTTGACCTTTTCACCGATGTTTTTAAGATCTTAAGGTTGGGTTCCAGCTGGAACAAGAGCTTCAGGCGTTAGTCGTTCCCTGGGCCCAGTGGTCTGTGGAGGAAGGCAGGTGTTCCCCAAGTCTCCGAATCAGGGACAGAACCCTGGGAACCTGAAGCAGCAGGGTTTCTTCCTCCTTCTTCATCTCTATTCAGAGATTTCTGCATGCAAGAATTCCTGGTTCTTTTTTTTTATTGTTTCTCTACCAACTGATTTTATTTTTTCTGGCTTTATTGAGGTATAGCTAATGAATAATTTTTAAGGTACGCAGCATGATATTGCAATACAGGTATTTGTTGTGAAATGATTACCACCATCAAGCTAATTGACATATCCATCATCTCACATCTCACAGTTTCATATTTTTGTGTGTTGTGAGACTATTTAAGATCTATTCTCAGACAAATTCAAGTATAAAATACATTTTTCTTTCTTTTTTTTTTTTTTTTTTTGAGACAAGGTCTCGCTCTGTCATCCCATCTGGAAGGCAGTGGTACAATCATGGCTTACTGCAGCCTCAACCTCCTGGGCTCCAGCAGTCCACCTGCCTCAGTATCCTGAGTAGCTGAGCCCACAGATGTGTGCGACCACACGTGAATAATTAACAAAAAAATTTTTTTTGTAAAGTTGGAGTTTCACTATGCTGCTCACACTTGTCTCGAACTCCCGGCCTTAAGCAATCCTCCTGCCTTGGCCTCCCAAAGCGTTGGGATTACAGTCATGAGCCACTGCACCTGGCCTACATGATTCTTAACTATGGTCACCCTAATCTCCAGAACTTATTCATCTTATAACTGAAAGTTTATATCCTTGACCAACATCTTGCCAATCCCCCACACCAACGTTCAGCAACCGCCATTCTGTTTGGTTTCTATGACTTCAACTTTTTTAGATTCCACATATAAGTGAGATTATGCAGTATTTATTTTTCTGTGTCTGACTTATTTCACTAAGCATAATTCCCTCCAGGTTCATCCATGTTGTCACAAATAGCAAGATTTCCTTTTTTTAAAGGTGGCTAATATCCCATTGTGTGTATATAACACACGTTCTTTATCTATTTAGTATTGCACATGGGAGTACAGATATATCTTTGAGACTCAGGTTTCATTTTTTTCAGATATATAGCTAGAAATGAGATTTCTGGATTATATGGTATTTCTATTTTTAATTTTATGAGGAACTTTCATACTATTTTCCATAATGGCTGCACAAATTTACACTTCTACCAACAGTGTACAAGGGTTCTTTTTTCTCCATATACTCATATGTATAACAAAATATGGAGTATTTCTCTATATACTCGTATGTAAAGCATTTATCAGACGTGAAAACTTTAGTTTCATTATAATGCTGCTTGTATTGGGAGCCTGTAGTGAATAAAGTGAATTGGTAGTTGGAAGTAGAAAATGGAATATACACTTTTCCAGCAAAGACTTGGGATGAAGAGGAGGCTGCGAGAACACACACCCTCCACTCTGGCGTGGAATGGAGGGGGGGGGGGTTCTCAAATATGAGTTAGGAGGTCTTCCATGGGCTGCATGGCCCTGGGTATAGGGAAGCTGTGTCCTCAAGGCTTTATGTCTTTAGCTTTCACTGGGCCAGGCGGGCTCTGGAAAGTCAGGCCAGTCTGCAAGGAGCATCAATATCTCTGAGGCATATAATCAAAAAGGCTTTCAGTTATCAAAGGAAGTTGAGAAGGGAGGGATGAATGTAGACTGGCATAGTCAGGGGAGGGCCAACAGCAACAAGAGCTTAAGCCATCTTTAAAAAATAACAAAGCTTAGCCTGGCATGGTGGCTCATGCCTGTAATTCCGGAACTTTGGGAAGCCAAGGTGGGTGGATCACCTGAGGTCAAGAGTTCAAGACCAGCCTGGCCAACATGGTGAAACCCTGTCTCTACTTAAAATACAAAAATTAGCCAGACATGGTGGCACACATCTGTAATCCCAGCTACTTGGGAGGCTGAGGCAGGAGAATCTCTTGAACCGGAGATGCGGAGGTTGCAGTGAGCTGAGATAGCGCCACTGCATTCCATTCTGGGCAATAGAGTAAGACTCTGACTCCAAAAAAGAAAAGAAAAAAGAAAAAATAAACAAAGCTAATTGCAGCAACTTCTTAATGGAGCAAATATTCATTTACTGTCTGCCAGGTAAGCTGTTTGTGTTTTTAGAATCTTCCCCATAATCCTATGACATAAATGCTATTATATTCCAATAACTATTATTACTATTATATTATTATTATGGGAATAATGGTAGAATTTAATTAGACCCTCAATCTCAGAGGATGTTTTAGAGGGTGGAATAGGCTAACAGAGATATAAAGTATTCAGATGTGTTCCTGACCATCAGGCTAAATCCTACACAGGTCTTCACAGGCACTCCATTATTCTCCTTCCTCTAACCCTGGTGAGGTTAGGGAACTTTGCTGAAGATCGCATAGAAAGTAAGTGGAGGAGTAGCTTCCACATTCTATTTTAAGTTGCTGCTGACTGAGAAAGTTAGATCTACACCAAGGGGCCGATGACATTTATATGCTCCCTAAGCCTGGAGATCTGAGGAATGAAGGCTTCCAGAACTCTCTCGTGCTGTGCTGCACATCTTCTCCTGCACATGGAATTCTGATTGTGCATTTCAGCTTGGGAGCCTGCTTTTCCTGCACAGAGAGAGGCCCTCAGCACCATTGCTCAACGTGGGCTCAGCCCAGCCTTGGAAGCTGACCAAGTAAAAACAGCCTGTTTAAACATGACTGGAAATACTTCTACCTAAAGAGAGATGAATGTATAAAAAGAGAGGCTGCAAAAGGTGGGAACAACATGATTCAGGATATATTTGAGCATAGAGAATCTGTGGCCCTCACCAGACTACCCAGGAATCCATGTTGTCACGTGAATGAAGTGTGCGGCTTCATTTCGTCCCTGACAACCTGGTGGTGTTAGCAGTCCCACGTTACAAAGGAGGGAACAGGTTACGTGAATGTGAGCGACCTGCTCTCACGTCGTCTACTCTGGATAACCTCTCACTGCTTCCCCACTCCCCAGCCCCAGGGTTTCCACTGGGCACTACCTGGCTCCTGGCTCATCCTGGGAATAACTTTACTAGGCACCGTGACCATTTCTACCAGGTGTCACAGCAGTGTCATCTGGCAAATGGGCCTTTATTTTTAGGATACCACTTGGGCACTCCTTGGACATCATTGTGGCATCCACTGGAGGATGTTGCTCCTCTCGGTTGCTGTTTTCTTGTGTGCTGGAACCTTCTAGACGCCAGAGCTGCGTTTACTTCAGGGTCAAGAAAGCATCCATTCCCCCTTTACATGTTAGAGCTTCATCATTCTGGGTTCCAAAGGCACTGCTGATGGGTGGCCTAATGTGCCAGAGGGCTCAAGAAAGTCACCATAAGTTCTTTGAGTTCAGAACCACACTCGCCCTCTCCTTGACATCCAAACATAAACCATTTTGGCAAGGGTATCCAGGCTATGGTCATACCTGTGTAGCAGCTACCCCATAGGAACTCAAAATAATTGCTTCCATCTAATGACTGATGTTGTTTAACTGGGTCAACTGACCTTTTAAAGCTTATTTTACGTTAAAGAGCCTCTCAGTCTCTCCTAACCGTAGATTTCCACTACACCCATCCCACACTATTTGACAAATACGTCCAGACATGTCACATTCAGCTGGACAAGAAATAGATTGAGGATGTCCGTGGTGACGATGATGATGATGACAGAAAATGATGTACCACCTTCAGCTAAGTAGGAGCTGAGTTCCAGATACATCTGCCAAACATTTTACATCATCTTATTTCATCTTCACGACATGTGATTGAGGAAGCTGAGTTTTAGCAAAGGTAGATAATTTGTTCAAGGTCCCAGAGCTTGTGGCTTAGGCACACATGGTTTATGTGACTCTCCCCTACTTTCTGCTGTAGATATTTGTGTGTGGATAGATGTGTGTGTGTATGTGTTTATATAAATAGATAAATAGATATCCATTATCCATTTGTACATGTATATATGGGATTTGTTGGATCCTATATTATACTTTCTCTGTCCTTTTCCGGGACCAAATAAATTTAATTGTAATAGCTTTATGGTAAATTATAATTTATGAATAGAGTAGGGGTCTTTCCTCTTGTTTTCCTTTCCAAACTTCTTTCAGAGGGCCTTTCCATAGTTGCTGTCCGACTTTGCCCCGTCAGTCTCCCATATTAACTTTGGAGTCATTTTGCCAAGGAGCAGTCTTTCCAACCTACACACATTATTCTCTGTCACCCTATCCTAGTCACTGTCTTCTTGGTTCTTATTGTAATTATATATCTATATGTTTGCCCACTTTTTATTGTTTATGTCCCTTACTGGACTAGAAGCTCCGTTAGGGGAAGATCTGTGCTTGGTTTGTCTGTTTGGCCAGTATTTAGTACAGTGCCTGTCATGTAGTGTAGAGACTCAACAAATGTTTGTGCAATAAGTGAATGAACATACTTTTGAGCAAATTAATTTGGGAAGAAATTAATATGTTTAAAATATTTAGCATTCCAACTTAGGAGAAAGATGTAACCATTGGTAACTGACCTTTATATTTTTCAGTAATACTTTATTTTTCTTAATATAGATTCTACACACATTTCTTGTGGTTATGCTTGCATGTGGACTTATACGTATGTATATATGTCTATATTTATACGAGCATACTATTTCTACCTTCTCAATCTTTGTTTCTGTTTCTGTCTCTGCCTTTCTCTCTGTCTGTCTGTATCTGTTTGTGTATATGTGTGTCTGTCTGTCTGTATCTGTTTGTGTATATGTGTGTCTGTCTGTCTGTCTCTGTTTTGCAGTTAGCAATGGGCTATGTTCCATCTGTATTTTCTAAGGTAAGTACTTTTCGTAAGAATCTTTGTTTCCCAGCATGACTCCAGCCACATCTTTGGTTGTTTCAATATTTTAAGTCCTTCCAATGCCAAAGTTTTTAAATTTGTAGGCTCCGCTTTCGCATCCTACTCACAGATATCGATCTTCTGCACGTTTTCCTCTCTGAGTCATTTACATCAAGCTACAAGCACACCATTTTTTCTTTTTTTCTTAAAAATCAAAGGAAAAAGGCCCTTATTGATCTTATAAACTCCTCCAGCAGCCATCTCATTTATCTGTTTATCCTTTAGAGCAAAACCTCTCAAAAGAATGTTTGTTACTTACCATTCCATCATTCCCTTCTTCCAGTATCCTTGGACCCTGGCCACTCATGTTTTACTTCCCACTGGAGATGCTTCTCTTGAGGTCAGCAATGACCTTTGTGGTGAGGAATCCCATGATCATTCTTCATGCTCCTAGCTTAGCCCTGGCAGCTGCATTGTCATGCCTGATCACTGCCTTATTCTTTGTATTATTATTATTATTGTATTGTGGTAGAAACACTCAACATGAGATCTACCTTTGTAAAAAATGGTTAAGTGTACAGCATGCTACTGGTAGCTACAGGCACAATGTTGTATCACAGATACACTCATCTTGCATAACTTAAACTTTATCCCCATCAAACATCAATCCTCCATTTTCCCTCCCCAGCCCCTGGGAAAGCTTATTCAGTTCTCTGCTTCTGTGAGCTTGATGATTTTAGATTCTTATGTAACTGGCTATCTCTGTCCCTTTTGTGCTGCTATAACAGAATACTTGAGCCTGGTTAATTTATAAAAAACAAAAATTTATTTATCACAGCTCTGGAGAAGTCCAAGATCCAAGTGCTAGCCTTTTTACTGTGTCCTTACATGGTGGAATGCAGAATGGCAAGAGAGAATGAATTCCCTCTGTCAAGCCCCTTTCTAAGAGCCCCTAATCCCATTTATGAGGGAGGAGCGTGCATGACCTAGTCTCTCTCTCTTTCTTTCTTTCTCTCTTTCTCTCTGTCTCTCTCTCTCTCTGTCTCTCTCTCTCACACACACACACACACACGGTCTCACCTCTTAATACTACTGCATTAGCAACATCTGAATTTTGGAGAGGACACACTCAAAGCATAGCATAGGCAACCCTACTTCTGTATATTTATTCAAAAGAATTAAAATCAAGGCCACCAGGAGATATTTGCACCCCCATGTTCGCTGCAGCATTTTTCACAATAGTCAAGAAGTGAAAATAAGCAAAACGTTCATCAACAGACAAATGGATAAAGAATATGTGGTATATACATGCAGTAGAATGTTATTCAGCCTTAAAAACAGAAGAAATCCTGCCCTATATGACAACATGGATGAACGTTGCTGTTTATCCATGTAAGTGGTATTATGCTGAGTGAAGTAAGCCAGTCACTGAAGGATAGCCGCGTTCTTGAAACACTGCATTTTAATCTCGCTTTTCTTTAAGCCACTCTGCCTCTCTTCAATGGCCTCTTCTGGTTCTTCTCATCTTGCTGACCTCCAAATCTTTACTTTCTTAATGCCAGTTCTCAGACTTTCCTCCTCTCTCCACACTGACTTCCTAGCTAATAGCTTCCACTTTCATGACTTCAAAAATCCAAATATGTCTCTCCAGCCTTAACATCTCCTTTGAATTCCCGACCTTAGACTTCCCCTCTGACATCTCCACTTAGGTACATGTTTGACAACTCACACTTAACATGTCCAGAGACAAGTCCTTATTTTTTCCCAACACACAGAGTTCTCATCTAGTCTTCTCCATTTTCAGTAAAAAGAAGACCCATTTCTTCCACTTGCTCATGCCCACAGTTTGGAAGCATTCTTGACTTCTCTCTTTCTCTGAAACCCACATCTTATCTATTAGACATTCCTGTGTATTTCTCCATCAGTAACTTTCCCAATTTGGCCACATCCCACTCTTCTCCCACCTCACTACCTTCTTGCAAGCCATGGACATCTCTCATCCAGGCTATTGCAAAAATTTCTACATTGGTGTCTCTGTTTCCCCACTTGTTCCCCTGCAGCCTGTCCCTCACACAACAGACAGAGCAATGCTTTTGTATGTTCCATCATGCATTTTGTAGAATGTCCCTTAATTTAAGTTTTGCATAAAGGCAAAAAAGGTTATGCATCTTTGGCAGGAGTACCACAGGATCAATGTGCCCTTCCCAGTGCATCACATCAGGAGGTACATGACTTGATATGCCTCAGGATGGGTGAGGTTGACTTTGATCATGTGGTTCAGGTAGTGTTGGATGGGCTCCTCTAGTAAAGTTACCATCTATCTATCTGTCTGTCATTAATACACATCTTGCGGAGGGAGTACTTTGAGACTAGGCAAATCCTCTTTTTCCTCAGATTTTTACCTGTGAATTTTAACATCCATCCATTTATAATAATTATTACTGAGCTGTGTGCCTGATGATGATTTACCATATCCCTCTTTCCTGCTACATTTTTAAATTAGAGATGTAGCATAGAGCTGTTCCTTTCCTTTTTATTTATTTGATTATTTATTAACTTAAGTACGAACTTGTGGGTGTTTACTTTATTCTATGGATTAGAATCCTCCATTGTGATGACTTTTTTGCTCTAATTGTTCCAGTGTTGACCATTAGGATTCAAGTGATTCTCCCACCTCAGCCTCCCAAGTAGCTGGGATTACAGGCAGGGTTGCACCACCAAGCCTGGCTAATTTCTGTACTTTTAATAGAGATGGGGTTTCACCATGTTGGCCAGGCTGGTCTTGAACTCCTGACCCCAGGTGATCCACCTGCCTCAGCCTCTCAAAGTGCTGGGATTACAGGCATCAGCCACTGCGCCTGGCCAGGAGGCCAGGAAGTTCTTCCTTTCTTTCAATGCTATGGGATAGTTTATAGAGCATCAGGACTACCCGGCCTCTGAAGGACTGACAGAAGTTCCCTGTGAAACTATCTGGGCCCAGTGCTTTTTCAGTGGTAGTTTCTTCATATCTTTCTTAATTTCTTCTATGGAAATCATTCTGTATAAGCTTTCTCACTGTAATGGAAACATTCTGGTAATTTATATTTCCCTAAGACATTTTCCATTTCATTTATATTTTCTAGTTTCTTTGTATAAAGTTCTGCAAATTGGTCTGATTACTGTTGGCTGTTGTTGTTGTTTTATTTTTTTTCTGTTGTTTTATTTTTATTGTTTAAGTTCTGCTCTTTCAGTGATTATTTTCATCATGTCATTTTTTACCTGAGTTTGTGATTTCCCCCTTTGCTTCTTAATTAAGTTAGGTAGTTGTGTGTCTATTTTGTTAATTTAAAAAACATAATTTTAGTTTAATAATTCTGTTTTTTTAGTTTAATAATTCTGTTTCCTAATTAATTTCTGCTTTTTTTCTTTATTATTTCATTACTTGAGCCTTCTTTTGAATTATTTTGTTATTCTTTTCCTGTTTTTTTGAAGTGGATTTTAATTCACTTATTTTTATTCTTTTATTTTTATTGATAAAAAATGTTTATTATTTTTTATAAATTTACATTATTTTATATAAACTTACATTATTTTAAATTATTTTTATTTTAAATTTCGAGACAAGTTCTCACTCTGTTGCTCAGGCTGAAGTGCAGTGGCATGACCATAGCTCACTGTAGCTTCAAATTCCTGGGCACAAGTGATCCTTCTGCATCAGCCTCCTGAGTAGCTGGGACTACAGGCACATGCCACCACATCTGGCTAATTAAAAACAATATTTTTTTGTAGAGAAAAAGTCTTGCTAGATCTGGCCTCAAACTCTGGGCCTCAAGTGATTATCCTGCCTCCCAAAGTGCTGAGATTAAAGGCATGAGCCACCTTGCCTGGCCATGGTGCTGCTTTAAGGCAGGAAGTTTGTGGTGACTGGTCATGCGGCCATAGAAAACAAATACATATTTTAATACTTGGAAGTGAGTTACTGAAAATATGTGAGTAGCTTTCGGACTGGACAGTGGGCAGAAGATGGAAGAATTTGGCACAGCATGTTAGAGAAAGCCCAGATTTCTGTGATCAGACTGTTGGTAGGAATCTCAACTTTGAATACACTACCAGCGATGGCTCAGAAGGAAATGAGGTCTACGATACTGCATACTGGAGGAAGGGGTTTTTTGTTACACAGTAGCAGAAACCTTTGCAAAACTGTCTTCTGAATTTATGTGAAAAGCAGGAGATATAAGCAATGAATTTGGATATATATCTAAGAGATTTGCAAGCAAAATATTGAAAGTGCTCCCTGGTTTCTTTTTGCTGCTTACTGTAAGATGCAAGAAGAGAAAGATAAATTGAGGGAAGAACATTAAACAAAAAAGAACAAGAACCAGATGATTTTTGATAATTCTTAGCTCCTCCAGATGGCACAAAATCTTTAAAGTAAGAAATAACTGCTGAAACCTTTCACCAAGAAAAGGCTGAGTTTATGTGAGTGTAAAATTTTTTGCTAAAACTTTAAAGTCCAGGTGTGGTGGCTCATGCCTCTAATCCCAGCACTTTGGGAGGCCGAGGCAGGCAGATCACTTGAGCCCAGGAGTTTGTGACCAGCCTGGACAACGTGGTCTAACCATGTGTTTACTAAAAATTCCAAAATTAGCTGGGAGTGGTGGTATGCACCTGTGGTCCCAGCCACCCAGGAGGCTGAGGCAGGAGGATTGCTTGAGCCCAGGAGGCGGAGGTTGCAGTGAGCTGTAATCCGGACACTGCACTCCAGCCTGGGTGACAGAGCAAGACCGGGTCTCAATAAATAAATAAAATAAAATAAAAACATTAGAAAAATCAAAAGATTAGTGTATTCACTCACACAAAAGACCTTTTCAAGAGATTAAGGATGTGATCCTCTTAGGATATTTAATGACCTTGTCTCTCAATTACCTCAGCAGGCACCAAAGATTGAGTAAGGATTATCTTTTTTTTCTTTTTTTTTTCTTTTTGAGACAAAGTTTCGCTCTGTCGCCCAGGCTGGAGTGCAGTGGCATGATCTCGGCTCACTGCGAGCTCTGCCTCCCAGGTTCACGCCATTCTCCTGCCTCAGCCTCTCGAGTAGCTGGAACTACAGGTGCCCGCCACCACGCCCGGCTAATTTTGTGTATTTTTAGTAGAGATGGGGCTTCACCGTGTTAGCCAGGATGGTCTCCATCTCCTGACCTCGTGATCCACCCGCCTTGGCCTCCCAAAGTGCTGGGATTACAGGCGTGAGCCACCGTGCCCAGCCGAGTAAGGATTATCTTGAAAAAATCTGTGGATGTGGTTTTTTTTAAATGGAGTATAATCCATGGAAAACCTACAAAATTCTTTAGAAAATTGTTTCATCAGTAACACAGCCAGCTTAAACTACAAGGGACAGAGAGAGAGCAAAAGGGAGGAGGCTGTTGGACCTCTAAAACTCTACTAGCAAGAAGTAGGCTAATAAAACTCTTCAGCAAAAAGCACACACTACCTTTCATGAAAAAGGATGGATGGCTTAGAGAATGGGACCAAGAGCCCAGAGGGCAGAGATGAGAGCTAGAAAGAATTATTCTCAGGCTCTGAAACTTTTAGTCAAGAACTCCCATTTTTCCAGTTGGATTTCAGAACCACTGTGGACTAGGGAAACCCTTTTTATCATTGCATTTATTAAACTGGAATGTCTTTAGCTTTTGTCATATGCCAGTGTATGTTGAGAGTTTTGAGAACCTGGGACTTTTCTCTCCTTTTACATGTCAACAGATGGGAAGGACTTGTGTTTCAAGAGCTGTACTTAATAGATTATACCCAGGAGTCTCGCACAAATTGGATTGAGATGATAACAATCATAGGAATCTAGACTCTGAGCCGAGACGAAGAGATATAGATTAGATGATGAGATTTTGGTCATTTTGAGCTGATGCAGTAATGGAACCCAGATAACCCTTGCTTTGACTACTGACCCCTGATACTGTGAGATAATAAATAAGCATTGATTGAAACAAGTATGTTTGTGACAGTTTCCTATTCACAGTAGAAATAGAATACAAGTATTGGTATACATTTTTCCACTGCTTCACGGTTGTTTTTCCCCGGGGAAATTTACCTACATTGATTTTTATGACATTTTGTTTTCTCATTTTCTGTACAGTTCTCTATGGACTTTTGTTCCTTTAAAAAATATTGTGTATCTTATCAGGATCTAGCGTAACTAGTACATGTAGCATATCATGGCTTTTCAATCAGTCTAGCAAAATACAGGTATCTTAGGGAGTCTTCTTGGTTTGTTTGGATGGTGGGGACGGGTTGAGAGTCTCCCGATTTGGAGTTGTCCTTTTTATCTTGCAGGATCGAAATTTGTCTTTGCTCCTTCACCACTTCATTGCCAATAGGCACATCTTCCTTCTTTTTTTTTTTTTTTTTTGAGATGGAGTCTCACTCTGTCGCCCAGACTGGAGTGCAGTGGCACAATCTTCGCTCACTGCAACCTCCACCTCCCGTGTTCAAGCAATTCTGCCTCAGCCTCCCGAGTAGCTGGGAGTACAGGTGTGCACCACCATGCCCAGCTAATTTTAACATTTTTAGTAAAGATGGGTTTTCGCCATGTTGGCCAGGCTGATCTCAAACCCCTGACCTCAAGTGATTCACCTGCCTAGGCCTCCCGAAGTGCTGGGATTACAGGAATGAGCCACTGTGCCCTGCCTCCTTCTTATTTTATAAGAAGAGATAGGCATGAAAATGTTAACAATGATTGTTTCTGAGGGATGGGTTCTTATTATCATTTTTGCTTATTTTTATTTTAAAATTTGTCCACATGATCATGCTTTCATAATATAAAACCATTAGTAGTAATAACAATAATAATACCAGCTACTAGTTATTATTGGCTATTTTTACCTGATGTATCAAGCAAAATACTTTTTGTAAATGATTTTATATATTCTGTGCAGCAATACTTTTTGGTAAGCATTATAATTCTCTTTTGAGGTTTAGTTTACTTAGCTAGATGTCAATACTACAATTTGATATGTCATGAAACAAAACAAAATTTTGGTGGAAATTCTAGAAAACTTTATTGGTGAGAGGGTTTCTTCTCTTTCTACTTATTCTTCTCCTTTTCCTTCTCCTTACTATATCTTCATTGTGTGACTAATACTTACCTAGAGCTTACAATGGTCCAGGCACTTCACATTCATGATCCTTCATAATGCTCCCCAAAGCCATATAGAATCAATGCATCGCGATTAAATTTTTAGTCAAAAAATCGGTTTACAGGACTATTAGGTAGAGGATCTATATTTTGAGTGCAGATTTCCAGGTACTGCCGAGTATATTTGTAGTTATCATAAAAATTATGTGTTTATAAGTATTGTTATCCTTTCCCCTTCTTTGTCCATGTGCAAAAGAAGAGTCTTAGAGATATAATTTATCCAAGAATGCTCAGTCATACACAGATGGCAAGGATGTGAGCCCAAGTTACAGACGTTAAGAGCTCTTTCCCCGTACCACGGTTATAACTGTGCACAGTAGAAGAAGTGTATTATGTAAACTAATTTCTCAAACTGTTTTATGTTAAATGAGAGGCACTAGTGATCCTTGGCTGTACCTAATATTTTGTCTTATGACTTACAAACACTCTACTTAATTGACTGTGGATATGGTAAGTAATTTATCCACTCAATGAACCTCTTGGTCCCGTAAAACCAAATTATATTCAATTTTGGATAAGAAAATGTTTGATTAGGCTAAGTTTAACATTTCCTCTTCCTTAGTACATTCCACTCCTGGGTTGCTGTTACCACAGCATTAGAAAAAAAAAAACAAAAACCTTTCTAAGCAGTTCATTGGTCTGGGTCAAACCCTGTCCTCAGCCTCACACCTGGGTCATGGCTCACATTGAACCAAAATGCTGAAGTCTACTTTGAGCAAAGAATTATTTACCACTGTTTTGAGTCCCCCTCTCCCCCAATGGCCTGAACAAGACCAAATTATGTTTTCAAGATAATATAAATCTTTTCCCCCCTGTAAGATTGGTTAGGCACACACAATAGTTCTTTACTTTTTCTTTCGATGAAAGCATCACTGTCTTTTCTTTTAGGGAAACATTTTCCTATTGCCGCTCCAGAAAGGTAAATGTGAAAACATGGATGCAGAGAGATGTTGACTTTGCAGCCAGGCCTGAGATGGAGCCTTACTGTGAGGTTTGACCCAGCTCCAAACCAAGCTGCTGCAGTCCATGGTCTGCGTTACGGTTCCATGACTGTCTCCTGGTTACGCTCCGGGTATGTGGCTTCTTCCTGAGGAGCACTCAGCTAACTATTAAAACACTCCAAAAGGAACAGCCTAATTTCTTTGTGGTACTGAAGCGATATTTTAATCCTAAGTAAACAAGTATAAGGTTCAGTTATTGAATAATGGCCCAGCGATGTTATTACCTTGCCTCTCAAGCTCTTGAAACAATTCATACTTTCTCAGATCCTTTTAAAGTTACCAATGGCTTCTATAAATATAAATCAATCCAGAAATAGCTAGCTGGGTGAATTTGTCTCAACACTTTCCTTTTCCTTGCAAACTTTGGTCTAGAACTTAAAAAGATGGGAAAATATATAAACAGTTTTCTAAACAATTCTGCTATAATCTCAAATTTTGTTTAATACCTTAGAACTAAAGTGTAGCAATCTAATACGAGAGATTAAAACAGTCTTTTGTTCAGTACTATGATATTATCCAGGTAAGTCATTAAAAATCTAAAAGTAGCAGCACATAATACTGAGAATGCTTCAATCTTTGTTACTATGCATGAAAGACAAGGGGGACTAAAGTTATGAAAAACAGGGACAAATGATGCCGAATTTGAAATTAGAAGGCTTGTAGATTAAAACTAATAATGTAGCTGCCAGATTTTGTGAGGACCTTTTTTTTTCAAAAGGTAACATTTATCAAGCAACTAATAGGTGCCCACCCTTGTGCTAGTTTCCAAGGGAACTGAAAACAGAACATACTTTCTGCCTTTTGTGTGTTTAGTTTCCTGAGACCTTGTGAGGAATACACACTCTGCACACATATATTCTGACGCGCGTACCTACCTTAGCTTCGAGAGATGGTCCCTCATCCAAATGCATTTGTTTCCAAATGGAGGATCATTCATGAAGATATTTTATTGTGTTCTTAATGGACCTTTGAGAAGAATCCAGAGATTTATGTGGGCTTAACAACCTAGAGTTTCCTCTCTCAACATCCAAGACAAACATGTATCAAGGTCAAGGGTGTTGCCACTGAAATACCACCTTCAGCATATTAAAGCTTCAATTTCCAAAATCTGTTTAGGTTTTAGGAGGAAATTCAATGACATTTCTTCCTTCACACAAGATAAATTAAAAGTTTTTGACAAAAACATTTGTTTTGGTGACTCTAGTCAGAACAATATATTGCCAAACTTTAACAGGGCCCATTTTAAGAACATATTTTCTGACACTACAAAAACAAACAAGGCCAGCACTAACCGTGAAGAGGAGTTTCCTCATATCCCTCCTTTGGGAACAGCCTGAAGAAAGTGGGGAGTCCGATTACATTGGGGTCCTAAAGACTTAGTTCAGATGACGTGAAAAGTCTCAGAACTATGTTCCCCTTCAAGGATTTACAGGGTTAGCAAGCAGTGACCCCCTCTGAGTGTCTCCGGAAGAAATAATGTGTTTTCACTGACTGACTTTTTCGGACTCGGTATGCAAAACTGTGAAGAGATGAGAGACATGTCATCCAGAAAGCATGATTGATGACAGGAATTCTTATCAGAATGGAACAATTCATTCCTAATATTAGATCAAATTCCAGAGAAAGACACCTGTTGTTTGAAATTGTGCAGTGTACGTTTGTTCAGAAAATTCACTGACATGTTGTGAAAGTCTTTCATCTGTGTTCCCTGTGGGAAGTGTCCTTTCCAGGCCCAGTTCTCATTGGACTGATGAGTGAAGTCAACTCTATTTTGATTTCCCAATTCTTTTTGGTCCCAGAATGGACACTAACCCATAAGGAACGCAGATCCACTGACACCCGTTTCTTCTCTTCATCCCTAGGCTTGGTAAAACAGCTTTCT
This sequence comes from Homo sapiens, assembly GCF_000001405.40. Lineage (NCBI taxonomy): Eukaryota > Metazoa > Chordata > Mammalia > Primates > Hominidae > Homo > Homo sapiens. The sequence goes on along the minus strand of NC_000007.14, from coordinate 46,981,296 downwards.
ACTTTTGCAAGTCTCTGAAAGTTTCATCTTATCTTAACCTTGCCCATACCTCTACCAAGTAGATCCTTTAATCCTTTAATAAATTCCCCTCATTTGAACCTTTGGTGACCAGGTTTCTAGCTTTGGAGATGAAGGAACTATTGGTTGTAACAACCGAAATAAAGAATGTCTGAGAAAGTTCACGTTAAAGATTAAATGAAAAGTTTCCCTTTTAACACATTGAATTTTGGGGAACTTCAGAGCACTTACTTGCAGTTATTCAGAGCAATTTGTTCATAGGCTTCCCAAGGTCAGGAGGGAGGTCCATGAGAAAGATGTGCATTAGGGATTTATCATTCATATAGAAAGGAGGTGGGACAGAGTTGATTAATGAAATTGTCTAGGAAAGTGTAAAGAACAGGAGAAGCAATGGGCCAAGGGGCAGGAGCATTTGAATGACAGAGGAAGAAAGACAGTAACTCGTAGAATCAAGAGTTACAGTTAAGAGTTTCAACAAGGAAGGAGATGTCAGAACAAGAGCTGCAAAAGAGAGATGCACTGCGATGTGGTTGGATAACTGCTCACGGGATGTATCTTGGGGGAGACCGTAGGGTTATTTGCAGCCTCAGGGATTCCATTCTCAGTGGGGTAATAGGAACAGACACTGGACTTGGGCGCTGGGTGAGGCAAGTTGGACATGGAGTCATGGGATTGGTGAGTGTAGTCAGCTCTATGTCAGTTTCCACTATTCCAATCTTTCTACGTAAAGTTTGTGAGGTAGGATTCTCAGGATTCTATCTGTTTCCTGTGATTTTGGATTTACTCTGGTTTGTGTGACCATGGTCAGAGAGCCTGGAAGATGTTTTGTGAGCAGATCCATGAATATCCAGTGAAAACCTACTAGGTACTAGCCACTAAAAATGATGCTTTCCACTGCACTGTTACACCACTATATCAAAAGATTAATGTATACTACAATGCAACCCTCTCAGTTGTGCTTTCACAGGCTTTCTCCTAGAGATGACATGCATCTGGATAAATGATAATTCACATCTTTTTCCAGATGTTTCAAATGTCTGGATGGATCATGCCATGTGGACAAAAACCTATATAATTAACCTGAATGTTCATATTTCATCATGTGATCTTGTTACACTAAAGGTAAAACAATAAATGCTTCTAAATCTTGCCAAATGAATGCAATCATGTGCATCAGATAATTTTGATTAAGAAACAATAATAATTGTCCCTTAATGTACTATTTTAAAAGCCTCTCTCACTAAAATTTAGAAAACTTGTATCACATATGAAAAACTTTAAAATAGCTTTGTAAGTAGTTATCCACCAAAGTAATGTTAAAGATTCAATTTATGTTTAATAGTAAAAGTATGTGTGCTAATTCATTTTGCTACCTGTGAATCTGGCTTGAAGCTACATTTGTAGGTTAATAAATACACTTATTTGAAAATGATGCTTTAATTGAGTCATCTAATTAAATTTTCATAACATAAAAGTTGATGGTATTTGTTTCTATTTTATAAGCAGGAAACAGTCATTATATGGAAATGCCAGGATTGCAACTTAGGTCTAACTCCAGAACTTCATTTTCTTTCCATCACATCACACCGTGACCTTGATGACAAGTTTCACAAATTGTTCTCACTTTGCAGATGATGGATCTAGTGTGTGGTCTAACACATTTAGTGGCAGAGACAGGATTCTGGCTTGGAATGAGAATTCTAACTGTTGGCTCTTTGAGCTCCACTGCTTTGACTGTTTTCAGACAGCAAATAGTGCACTGTGCTTATACTTGAGGAGCTTATACTTGAGGAGCTTATACTTGAACTGTACTTGGAAGGTGGATTAACTTTGTTAAGCAGAAGTAACCTCTAGTTAGAACTATTTTTGACAGTGCAGCAATGGGCTTATAACTTAATAAAAATATTATGCAAACCCTATCAATTTTACTGCTTGTAAGTACTATCAACAGCTAACTAAATTCTTGAAACACATTAAGCTTTTAGTCATAAGAAAACACAGACTTTTAAACTCATAACTCAGGAAAGCATTAATGGCATTTTTATAGGAACAATACAGAAAATCATGGTACCTACTAAGTATCTGGGGGAAGGGAGAGATCACATAATGGTCTATATTCAAGAACACTGTCTTTAGTTTGATAACAGTTCAGTCCCTTATTTCCATTTGGTCAACATATGATTTCTATGTTACAGTATGATCAAACATTGCATCAAAGTATAAAAGTATAGTTTTCAAAAGTTAAAAAAGTTTTAGAGTGAGAAGAGTGAAAGGTGTCAAGATTCCATTCAAATAATAAATAAGAGAGTCACTAATTGAAAAAAAAAGATTTAATGAGCATTTTCAAGAACTGAATATTTATCACTTTGGAAAAAATTAGAGTAAGATTGATAGGTTAGATACAAACTTATTGATTTCCCACAAGATAGAAAAACCTTTAATGTTAAATTACATTCTTTGAGACCAGGAGTTCGAGACCAGCCTGGGCAGCATTGTGAAACCCCGTCTCTACAAAAATATAAGAATTAGCTCGGTGTGGTGGTGCATGCCTGTAGACCCAGCTGCTTGGGAGGCTGAGGTAGCAGGACCACTTGAGCCCAGGAGGTCAAGGCTACAGTGAACCAAGATTGTGCCACTACACTCCAGCCTTGGCAACAGAGTGAGACCCTGACTCAAAAAAAGAAATTATATTCTGTTCTAGGCAGAAATCTACAAATTGACTAGCTTTACAGTGTCTGAGTTCCAATCAAACAGGAAATAGCAAAGTTATGGCCAGCTACCATTTTCTGATCTCCAAGTTTTGGATGCTGCTTTCAAAGTCAAATCCTAAAACTATCTAATGATCTATTTAATAATTTTGAGTATAATTACAGGGCCTGAATATAATTAAATGAATGTTTATTTATGCAGCAAACATGCCACTAAAAAGACTGAAGTGATATGTCAAGTGTTTTAAATGTTGAAAATACTCACTTTTTATTATAAAACTGTTTCATATTTTTTAGGTCTTTAGACTAAGGCTAATATATATACGCATATATTTTAAAATTTGCCTTGAATAACCTTGACGATTTAAAGCAAAATATGTTTCCGATGGAAAAGTACCGTGATTTTCCATATATATAGAATTAAAAGCAATAATAGTAATGTGATTCTTTCATTCTTGTCTCTGCAACTGAATATCTTAAACTGAAGCATATGAGCTACTCATTAAGGGTGTGCCGATGGATTTCTGAGTGTTTATCTATTCATGTGCAGTTGCAGTTATTTTCACATACATGTATAAAATTTAAATAAAAGATATAATTTAAATAAAAATATAAAATATTTTAAAAATAAGTGTTATTTTCAGAATAAAACTCAGAGATGAACAAAAATCTTAAAATTGTTGAAGGAGTAAAAGGATTGAGGTAACTCTTAAAATAACTGTTAGCTGTTTTTATCTAAGTCAATATAGCTCAAATCTCCTCAGCTGTAATTCCTTGTGAAGAAAAGAAAGAAATAAAGAAATATATAAAAAAGAAAGGAAGGAAGGAAGAAAAGAGAGAAAGAAAAAGAGAAAAAGGAAGAAAGGAAGAAAGAAAAGGAAAGAAAAGGAAAATAAAGAAAAAAGAAAGAAAAGAAAAAAAGAAACAACAGCATCCTTTTCTTCATGGGTACTTTAGAATAAACTGAGCTTTGAAAACTTATCTTGTTATCTCAGAGTTAAGGAAAACATGAGTCTGTTAATGGAAGAGAAAATAAAGGATTTTAAAAGTAGGAGGAAGACAGAAACAGTTTTTGGATGTGTATCATTTGCCATTGAGTCCAGCTGATGAAGATCCACATATAATGGCTGCAAAGTTTGGTCTTGGTAGTTTGACACCCTGTCATGGTACCTACGATGAACATAAATTTTCTCTTCATTTCACATGTTAGAATTTCTGAACTAAAATAACTTGAGTACTATACTTGATAGCTTCTGGCCACATCAAAGTTTATTTGCCATTGATATTCCAAATTTGCATTCAGTATTTCCACACATTTGGTGTGAACTGCCTGGATCAGACTGGGATCATAGGCCCCTCATTTCCCACCAGGCTGTGACTGGTGGTCTTGAGCTGGTCAGCCAAGCACTGGAGACCGTGAGCTCGTCCCTGACACTGGGCACACACCTCCCACCCCTTTCTCGGTGTGCTGGGCTAGCTGAGATGTTTGTCTTGTTTATTCTACCAGGTGTCTTTATATTAGCTTGCTGCTTTTTGAGGATGACTTCCAAATGACAATTTAACTGTTTTCCACAGAATAAAGTATCTGTGAAATGGTTTTCATGTTAAAACCTGCTGTCTGTTGAAAAGTAGATTTAACCCAGGCTCTACACTATGCAGGAAACCAGAGAATGGAGCTCAGGTCAATCTATTTCCAGACACCACTAGAGGATGCAGAGAAGGGAAAAAGACCTCAGCCCCTAACCCCATTTCCATGTTATTGCACTTAATAAATCAGGGTGATCTTAATAAGTAAATGACTGGACTAAATACAATGTTGTACTTTTACAACTGATTCTTTAGAGCCAAGATGTTCAATACAGTAATCACTGACCACATGTGCCTATTTAAATTGAGTTAATTTAAAGTAAATCAAACTAAAGTCCAGTTTCTCAGTTACTCTAACCCCATTCCAGTGCTCAATAGCCCCAGGTGGCCAGGATTAGGCAAGGCGGGGATGGAGCCTTTTCATTATTCTGGAAAGTTATCTTAGTATTCTCTAGAGTTGTTTAGGTGTAAGAAGATCCACTGGGTTAAAGAATCATGCAGTTGCAGCCATAAAAATGAATGAAATCATGTCCTTTGCAGGGACATGGATGAAGCTGGAAACCATCATCCTCAGCAACCTAACAAAGGAATAGAAAACCAAACACCGCATGTTCTCACTCATAAGTGGGAGTTGAACAATGAGAACACATGGACACAGGGAGGGGAACATCACACACCAGGGCCTGTCGGGGGGCGGGGGGCAAGGGGAGGGAGAGAGCATTAGGACAAATACCACCTAATGCATGCGGGGCTTAAAACCTAGATGATGGGTTGATGGGTGCAGCAAACCACCATGGAACATGTATACCTATGTAACAAACCTGCACGTTCTGCACCTGTATCCTGGAACTTAAAGTAAAATAAATAAATAAATAAATAAATAAAAATAAACAAAGTTGAAAGATGGGGCAAAAAAAAAAAGAATCATGCAGTTGGTAATTAAAAATACATATTTTACGTACAGACCTATTCTAACATGTTTTACTTACAACTTAATTTGCTTTCTCAATTGAGCTCCTTAGAAAATCTCCCAAATAGAAATTTGCACAGACAATATTTTCTGAATCTGCTCCTGACATTGTAATATCAGTGGAGACTGAAATTAGTCAAGTTTAATCTGAGAGTTAATCTGTATGTGATTTACTAAGTGAAAATCAAAATTGAACAGACTGGGAACACTGTGAAGGCTTCATCAGGGTATTTTGGAATCTCTTTGTTCTAGAGGAGACATGACCTGTGCCCGATTTTTCTCCTACCTGGCCTGTTTTTGATGGCCAGTGGCCATATACATATTGTCACGTAGGACCATGACTTGGGACAACAGCCAAGCTGCCTCAAATAATTACCATGCTTGGATTAAGTTCATCTTGTAGATCCAATATCTGAGTTTTAGCATAAAGACAATAAGTGGAGAACCCCACCAGCTGTTGAGCAAACTCCAATTAAAAAACTTCCTATGAGTTTGTAGACAATCTTTACTATTTGGCATTAGAATCTCTACTATAAAGAATTAGAATTTTATTGAAAGAAAGGAGTTCATTAGTTATTTGAATTTTTAGTTTCAGTAACAAGTGAAAGACACCCTGTTGAATTTGGTTGTTGCAGAACACTGAAAAAATATGACTTTTGATTTTAACGAATATTAGACATGATATAACTCTTTCTTTAATGCGCAAGAGGTCACTATCTTGAAGACCAAGTCTTATTGCCAGCTGAGCATTCACTTTGCAAATTAACGTTTAAATGTCTCTTTCTTTTGTACAAAATCTTGGGAAAAGCTTACAATATCTAAAAGATGTTAGACACCAATGTCTAAAAGAAAACGTTTTGGTGAAGACTGCAGAAACAAAAATTTGTATTAGTGTATTAGTGTGTTGGCCTCAATATCAGTGCTAGGCCATATCAAGGAAGTTATTTCTGTTATGCAACTTGTGTTTGTATACACATCTACACATATACATATCTATATTTTTTCTTATTGTTATGTGGTATGTTCTCTTGGGAGCAGGGCATTTCTACCAAAAGGAAAGTTCACTTATGTATTTTGAATTTACTTTTTTTGTTTTTAGACAGAATCTTGCTCTGTTGCCCAGGCTGGAGCACAGCGGTGCAATCTCGGCTCACTGCAACCTCCGCCTCCTGGGTTCCAGTGATTCTTGTGCCTCAGCCTCCCGAGTAGCTGGGACTACAGGTGCACACCACCAAGCCTGCGTAATTTTTGTATTTTTAGTAGAGATGGGTTGCACCGTGTTGCCCAGGCTGGTTTTGAACTCCTGGCCTCAAGCGATCCACCCATCTAGGCCTCCCAAGTGCTGGAATTACAGGCGTGAGCCAACGTGCCAGGCCAGAATTTATATCTTTGCTTGTGTAAATCATGTAAATGGTTTCTAACCCTTGCTTGGTCTCTACCTTTTTAGGCAATGATGAAAGCTTCCCAGAACCATGTCATATCCCAGAAAACCTTAAATACACTTTCAGGAGACTCTTGAATCTTATGGAGACATGTTAGTGAGTCTATGGGCCCCAGGACAAGAAGTCCTTAAACCTAAACACTCAACACACTTTTTTTTTTTTTAAAAGGCTTGTGCTTTTCTGACATTTAATAAACCTAAATTCAACATGATGGTGGCGAAGTCATAAAATACTTTGCCACCATGCTAAGTGTTCTTAAAATAAGACACATTCTTCTAATGTCACATTGAGAAATAGAGAACTAACATCATCATATATTGGCTACTGCATAGTAAATAACAAAATGTTGTAGAGCGTTAAATAAAAATCATCACAGTAAAAATATGCTTCTGTGCTTTTTTTGCCTTGTCCTGAAACAAAATTATTAATTAGTAAAAATTTGAGTTTTTAAAATCTATCTGGCTTTTCAAATTTTAACATTAATATAATGTAATATAAATTGATGTATTTTATATTACATTGTGAGTTAAACATTTCTAAGTATTTGGCCATGTTATGAAATAGTAAATAGTAATATAGCATGTATAAAATGAAATAGTCACATTTTCTCTTTTGAAAATTTCAAATTTTCATAACCTTTTTGTTCAAGTAGGTTTTGTACTTAAAATATATATATATTTAAGTACAAATATATATATATATTTAGGTACAAATATAAGTGTTTTTGGTAAAGTCAGGATTTCACCATGTTAGCCAGGCCAGTCTAGAACGTCTGGCCTCAAGTGATCCACCCACCTCGGCCTCCCAAATTGCTGGGATTACAGGTGTGAGCTATTGCACCAGGCCAGAATATTTAGATTAAAAAAATTTTTTTAGTACTTAAGTTTTCTTGAATATCATAAAGAACTTTGTTATAATTTTTAGAGTATTCATGGAATGATACCTTCTAGTATTATTTGCCATATATAAATATTAAATTATTTCACAAACAGTTTGAGTTAATTAATAACTTCTTATGTTTTTTAGAGTATATTCTTCAGAACACCAGTTCCTTAAAATGCTCCAAGTAAAACAGGTTCCACAATCTAAATAAGTTGAGAAATTCTGTACACTATTTCTCTTTTCAAGATTTATTGTGTACTTTCATAAATTGGGGGCTCTGAAGAGTCTTAAGGAAGCAAACCTGTTAAATCTATTACAGTGTTTTCCAAATTGTTTGCACAATGAAACACATAATAATAGCAAAATAACTATTTAGAAATAGCATGCTCGAAACTTATTCTAAAGGGCATAGACTTATAAGTTGAATTCCTTTTTGCCGTTTTCTTTGTAATTCAGGTTGTTTGTGTGGATTTTTGAAAATAGCACTGAAGTAGGTGTCACCAAAACTGAATTACATTATGTTCTGCTGCCAAGAGGCAGTTTGATTTGAAGTTATCCAATCCCTATGAGTCTCAATGCACTCACTTATACAACAAGTATATTATAAAATACTCTGGAATTCTTTTCTAAATCTCTGTTTTGTTATTCCTTAATGTATATTTTATCCTGCTTTTCAAAGACATGGGCTTTTTCAAATTTCCTGCATCTCAGTTATTATTATAAGGCAGGGAGGGCACAATGTTTATTCAATGTAAATAAAAGGCTCCTAAAAGTATGTGAAAGAAACAGAAATCAGTTTCAGAATTTTTTGTTCTGCTTATTAAAAATAATACCTACATTAGTGTTACAGCTCTTTTAGAATTTGCTTAGTGGTCTTTCTGTTTTTTTTTTTTTTTTTGCTGGAAAGCCTCTAAAAATAAAAAATTGTATATATATATATATATATATATATATATATAAAACCTACATAATCATGGCTTTCAACAAAAGATATAGATTGGTTTTTCTCTTATATGATAAGTAATGTGGAGACAACTCATCCAGGGCTGAATCACAAGGCCAAAGTCTCCACAATTCCATCAGCTTTTCCCTCATGTTGGCATGATGGCTGCTGCAGCTCCAGCCATAATATCCACCCTTCCAACAAGAAGAAAAAAGTGTTAGTGAAAAGCAGGGGATGCCTACAGGAAGAAAGCGATAATTTCTCAATTATCCTGAGCAGTCTTAGTTTTGCTGTCTCATTCAGCATGTAAAGAGTATCTAGCACACTGTAAAAACTCAGAAATATTTGTTGAATGACTCACGCTCATAGGCCAGCTCTTTCTTCCATGAGTATGCTCAGACGTTACCAGGTTCAGAAATGTAGATTTCTTTCTCCTTAATCTAGGCCAGTTGATGAGTGAAATCCTGGTCCTATTGGTAAAGAAGGGAGCATTGTAGTCAATAGCAGTGTCTGCCACAAACTGTAGTTTTTTTCTGAGGACTGTGCTAATACAAACTACTTTTTCAAACAAACCGAAACATCTATGGTGAAAAAGGGCCACAGATACTGACTCAGCCTCTTTGAGCAGTGTAGAAAGTTTTCTTCACCAATGTCCCTTGTTAACTGCCAAATCGCCTTCCTTTTTAAAAGTAATCATAAATGACTGCAGGTAATATTAATATGACTTCAAACACCCTATGAAAGCATAGTGTAAACCTCAGTGTGTAAAAATGTCCCAAACTTAGAACAAGATCTGTGAATGGAAAATATCAAATAGACTTTACTGCATAAGTAGACCAGTAAAATTTCATTATAAAAAGATGACAACAGGTATCCACATTATAATTGAAAATAGTGGTAAAAACAAAAATATCTCATAGTTACAGAAAATGGGATTTGGGAATGAAAGAAAACTCACACTAAAAATCTCTCTAACAAAGGAGTAAGTCATATCCACTGATAGTAGCAGAAAGTGGTCTGAAATGCTACAGGCCTTAACTAATGAATTATATTTTACAATAACTTATGGTCAGCCAAGCATTTTTTACATATGCATCTCATTGCATTTAATCTTCCCAACCACCTACAGAAGAATGGCTGTAATCAGCCCATTTTGCACATGGTAGAAACTGAGGAAATGGGACAACTTGTCTGAAGTCAAGTGTGTTCAAACAACTCTCTGTGATTCCAAAATAGATACAGAATAATACTGATAAAAAGGCTGTAGTCTTTTTCAGTTCAACTTAATACTAAAATGATGTTCATTTGCTCCCATCATTGGACAGTTCCTCCAAAATATTTTTTCTTTCCTTCAAACTTACCTAGAATTTCCCTGGCTCCACTTTTTTGGCTAAGCATTGGTTTTGGCTTGGGTCACAAGGTATAACCATACTCAGACTGTCCACATGGAGAACCTGGTTTGGATGGCTCTGCCAGTCGTGCCTCTCCTGGGTTTGAACATAACAAGAAGGAGTGGACCCAGGATATCACACAGTTACCCAGTTTTAAATCTGTGTCCTCTTTACTACATCCTTCTCTTGCCCCAGTGTAATATTTCAGCAATCTTGTTCAGGCTATTTGTTAACAGGATTAATGTAGACAGTGATTCCTAGGACATGCTATCTAAAATATTATGCAAATGTTTCCAATTCTGAATTCATAGCATAAATAAAAAATTATCCAATTAATTTAATTTATGCCTCCAAAATTTATTAGAAATCTATTTTACTGCAGGCACCTGGTCAACTTCTGACATCCCAAAGATGAATAACACCCATCCCTTCCCTTGAGGAATTTTATATTCCATCCATATAAAAATTGCACTGTTTCTGGTTGATGGTTTCTGGTATTTTTCTGGAAGTTATTATTAATATTTCCTCTTTTCCTCTTGCTGAGAATTTTTATTTCTTAGTTTGCTGATAAATATGTATTGCTTGTCTGAATATTTGCGGCCACTAAATTCCTTCAGTAGACCCTGGAAAACACTGAGCAAATAATACACAGCAGGAAAACCACAAAGTGGGCAGTGCATGGGGCATTCCCCAGAGTAGAGCCTCTTGAATTATTCAGAAGAGCAATTTCTTGTGAGTGCTATTGGAGAGATGTAGTAGAGTTACCATATTAAAGTCTATATTCCTAATTTTGTAGATTAAAATTTGACACAAGAATAAGTAAAGTTTGAAGTGAAACCTCACAAAATACAATTCACTGTGAAACATTAAGCAGAATTGCCTAGAAGTGTTCAATTAGACTAAATTTAGTTGATTCGATAATTAGACAGCTAGAAGGAGGAGCTGTTTGAGCAGGATTGGGTGTCTTACTTGGAGGGCTGCAATAAAGCTCAGCTTCCCTGGAAGTAAGCTTTTTTCCTTCTTGTGATAGCGAGGTAGGGCGTGGGAGTTAACTCCAGATGGGCCCTGGACACGAGACCAAATTGAGGACTAGATAAAACAAGGCTGGGGCAGAAGCACCTTTCCATAAGACATGCGCACGAGTGTGCCATGTCACTTTACCATTACCACAGCAACACCCAGAAGTTACCACCCTTTCCCTAGAAATTTCTACATAAATCATCCCTTAATTTGCATGTAATTAAAAGTGGGTATAAATATGACTGCTGTACTCTCTGTGAGCTGCTATTCTGGGCACCCTGCCTAGCGGGTAGCCCTGCTTTGTAAAGAGCAGTACCGCTGCTGCTCCTGTACACTGCCGCTTCAATAAAAGTTTCTGTTTAACACCACTCACTAGCCCTTGAATTGTTTCCTGGGGGAAGTCAAGAACTTTGGGGTCTTACCGGTCCTGCATCATCAGGGGAACTGTAATTTCCCGTGAATCCCAAAGTTCTCAGGGTTGGGCCGTTGTTTTTTTCCAGATGAGTCCTGTGGCTAGCTGGCACCCCAAATGCAGATTGCATGGCACCAAGCAGAGCCTTAATATCACTATTGTCAAAACTGTCTAGTCGAGCTTGCACTATAGAAAGGGAGACTGTGAGGAGGTCAAGTAGATGTTTCTTTCATTCAGGAAGCATTGCCAGTCACCGAAGAGTGAGTTAGTTTCTCTACCAGGAAGCTGTTATATTTTCTGTTGTTTTATGACTTTAGCACATATCACAGTGTATTTTAATTACGATTTCACTTTTTGGCCTCCTCCCCATTTTGTTAAGTTGCACAAGGGCAGGGCTTGTGGTTAGGTAAGCATTGACTCCCAGATTCCTGGCAGTGTTTGTCATGTGAAAAATGCTCTATTAAGTTTTAATCAATTATAAATGCAATGCACCACGGCATTTAAGGGTGTGGGTTCTGCAATACAACTAACTGCCTCTTGCGTGCTGAGTAACCTTAGGCATGGTTAACCTCTTGGTACATCAGGCCCCTCATCTGCGAAATAAGTACAGTAATAGAAATGATCTCGTGATGTTGTGAGATGAATAAGTTAGTAGGAAGAATGACTTAAAGAAAATACAGTGTGTAGTTCAAGCTAATGTATGAGAGACAGCCTTAAGATGAAAGCAACATACAAATGAGGAAACCAGAGAAAAATGGAGCCACAACCAATAGATCAAGAAGTTGAAGCTTGGACTATCTTGAAACTTCCAATTCTATAAGACATTTCCTTTCCAGCTGTTAAGTCGATTTTCTTTTAATTTTCTATTAAGTTGAAAGAATTCTGACTTAATAGTCACACTTGTTAATATTTTCAATCTCACAGTTAAGAAATTAAAGTTCCTATAATTTAATTAGCATTTCTCTGCTAAATTAGCGAGACTGAAATCTCCACGTTGCTCATTTTTGTTCTGTCTTGGGTAAATTTTTAGAGCTTTAAACCCTTAAGAGCTTAAGCTTCAGTCTACAAGTCTGAAGCTTAGTTTTAAACTATTTATGGTATAACGTGTTGTGCTCTTTTAATGAGACTTTTTCCCTTATTATTGCTTCTGGGGTCTCATTTAAGAATTCTGGCTCTTACTTTATGAAGATATTCTTCAAAGACTTTAAAAGTGTTTTCTCTTGATATTTAGTCTTCTGTAACACACCTGGAACTAATTTTGAGGTATGGTGTTATTGCTGCAAATTTATTGTTTCCATTATGGAAAGCCGATTGTCCCAAGCACTGTTTAATAAAGGAATTCCTCTTTGTGTGATTTGTAATGCCTTTGCTATTGGGCACCAAGAACCCATTATTTCATGGGTCTATTTGTGTGTCATTGATACATTTGTCTATTTCTATACCATCTTCATATTGTCTAATTAATATCATTTATATAATTAACAAATTTAATATAGCATATAAATAAACTTTCATATTCACTAAGTCAAGGCATCTTATTTGTAAATCTTCTCTATATGTTAATTGGCTCTTCCAGTCAATGCATTTCAACCAATGTATTAATTTTTAAATGCAGGTAAAATTCACAGAATTTCACCATTCTAACCATTTTGAAATGTACAGTTTAGTGCTTTTGGCACATGCACAATGTTGTATAATCACCACCATTACCTAATTTTAGAATATTTTCATCACCCCAAAAAGAAACCCTATACCCATTGAGCAATTCCTCCCTATTTCCCTCTCTCCCAGTACATGGAAACCACCAATATGTTTTCTATTTTTATGGATTTGTCTATTCTGAACATCTCGTATAAATGAAATCATATAATATGTGCCATTTTGTGTCTGGGTTCTTTTACTTAGCAAAACATTTTCATGGTTCATTTAGCATGTATCAGTACTTCATTCATTTATGATGTAGCCATTGTATGGCTACACTACATCTTATTTATTCTTTCATCAGTTAACAGACATGGAGATTCCTTCTACTTTTTGACTACTAGGAATGATGTTGCTATAAATGTTCATGTACAGGTTTTTGTTTCAACATTTGTTTTCAATTCTCTTAGAAGTGAATCTGCTTTGTCATATGATAATTCTGTATTTAACTTTTTGAGGAACTACCAAACTGTTGTCCACAGAAACTGTACCATTTTACTTTCCCGCCAGAAACATATGAGTGTTCCAATTTCATCACATTCTTGCCAACATTTATTATTTTATATTTTTTGCAGCCACTCTTGTGGCTGTTAGGCAATATCTGGTTGTGATTTTAATTTGAATCTTACTAATGGCTAGTGAAGATTAGCATCCTTTCAGGAGTTTAATCAGCTATTTGTACATCTTCTTTGGAAACATTTATATTCAAGTCCTTTGCCACTTTAAAATTGAGGTGTTTGTCTTTTTGTTGTTAAGTTGTAACAGTTCTTTTTATATTCTGGGTACTAGACTCTTATAAGATACTTATTTGCCAACATTTTTTTCCATTCTGTGAGTTGCCTTTTCACTTGCCTAATTGTGTCTTTTGATGTATAAATTTTTAGTTTTGATGAAGTTCAATTTATCTTTTTTTTTCTTTACTTGCTTGCATGTTTGCTGTCTTATTTAAGAAACCATTTCCTAACCCAAAGTCACAAAGATTTATACCTATGGGTTTGAGTCCTCAAAATTGTTTTTTCTAGATCATTTGGTTATTTCAGGTCCCTTGAAATTCCATGTGAATTTTAGGAAGAGTTAGTCAATTTCTTCATCAATAAATTGTTGGAATTTTGATAGTAAATAAACTTGGGGAATATTGCCATCTTTCAACCTATGAACATGGATAACTTTCCATTTACTTAGGTTTTACTTATTTTTTCTTTCATCAATGTTTCATAGTCTTCAGTGTAATAGTATTTTAGCTGCTTAAAAATTCATTTTTAAGTATTTTTTAATCTTGATGCTATTTTAATTTTATAATTTTATTTTTATAATTTTATTTTTAAAGTGTTCATTGCTAGTGATTAGAAATACAACTTTTACATGTCACTCTTGTTTCTCTTAAGTATGCTGAACTCATTTCTTTCCTCTAATAGTTTTTTACTGTGTATAAGTTAGTTGTTCTTATAAGTAATTCATCATCTGTAAAATGAGATAGTTTTACTTCTTTCTTTCCAATTTGGATGTCTTCTATTTCTTTTTCTTGCCCGGTTAGAATTATTTCCATGCAATGTTCAATAGAAAGAGCAAGAGGAGAAATTCTCTAGTTGCAGATATTAGGAGGGAAAGCTTTTGGTCTTTCACCCTTAATTATAATGTTAGCTGTACATTTTTGAGTAGATGCCCTTCATTAGGTTGAGAAAGATTCTTTCTATTCTTATTTTTAAAGTATTTTTTATCATGTAGGGGTGTGAGATTTTGTCAAATGACTTTTGCCTCAGTTGAGATGATGGTATCCTTTTTCTTCATTCTATTAATATTTCATATTATAATGACTGATCATTTTGTGTATTGAACTATCCTTGCATTCCTAGGCTGAATCCCACTTAGTCATCATGGTGAATAATTTTTGGTGTCGATTTGGCTAGGTCATGGTATCCAGATGTTTGATCAAACACTGGTATAGATGCTAATGTGAAGGTATTTTTTACTTGAGATAATATTTAAATCAGAAACTTGAGTAAAGATTACCTTCCATAATGGTGTGGGCCTCACCTAATAAAGTAAAGGCCATAAGAGAAAAAAGGTTGAGATTTTATGAGGAAGAAGAAATTTTTCTTCCAGAATGTCTTTGGACTGGAGCTGCAAAGTTATGTTAACCTCGAGTCTCCAGCTGGTGGGCCTATTGGGCAGATTTTGAACTTGCTAGATTCACAATTATGTGAGTAAATTCCTTAAAAATAAATATTTGTTTCTACATATACCCACATCCTATTGATTCTAGTCCTCTAAAAGGCCCTGCATAATACATTTCATAGTCTACAGTCTTTTTAATAAGCTGCTGGATTCGACTGGCTAGTATTTTGTTGAGGATTTAGACATCATATTCATAGGAAATATTGTACTGTGATTTTCTTATAATATCTTTGTCTGACTTTGGTGTCAGGGTAATAAAGCCCTTATGAAGTGAGCTAAAAATGATCCCTCCTTTTTTATTTTATGGAATTGTTTAATAAGGATTGATGCTAATTTTGTCCTTGACACATTTGGTAGAATTCACTAGTGAAGCCACCTGGTCCTAAGATTTATTTTGTTATTTTGTTGGATTGTTTTTTTTTTCTTCGTTTCTTTTCTTTTTTTTTCTTTTTATTGCTAATCGAACAACCTGCTGTAATAACAGATTTTCTGTTTCTTCTTCAGTCTGTTTTGGTAACTTGCATGGTTTAAAAAATTTGTTTATTTCATGTAAGTTATTGAATTTTTTGGCATTCAGTTGTTCATAGAATTCTCCTATAATCTCTTTTATTTTTATAAGGTCTATAATAAAATCTCCATTTCCATTTCTGGTTTAGTAATTTGATTCTTCTGTCTCTCATTTTTCATCAGTCTAGTTAAAGCTTTGTCAATTTCGTAGATTTTTTTCAGATAACTAGCTTTTGTTTTTACTGATTTTCTTTATTGATTTCAAACAACTTAGTTTGCTCATTTCTGCTCTCATCTTTATTATTTTATTGATTTTTTTTCCCTTTGGGCTTAGTTTACTGCTCTTTTTCTACTTTTTTAAGGTGAATGGTTAGGTTAGTGATTTGAGATCTTACCTTTTTAATGTAGGCATTTACAGATGTAAATTTTCCTTTGTGTACTGCCTTCACTGTATCCCATGAGTTTCTTGTGATTTCTTCTTTGGTTCATTGATTATTTAGGGGTGGATTATCTTATTTTCAAATATTTTAAAATATCCCATATTGCCTTCTGTTATTGATTTCCAATTTCATTTTATTCTGGTCAGAAAAGATGCTTTGTGTGATTTCAATCTTTTAAAATTTAGTGAGACTTGTGTTGTGGTGTAACATATAGTCTATCCCAGAGAATGTTCCATGTGCATGCATATGTGATTTTGCTTGGTGGAGTGTTCCATAGATGTCTGTTAGGTTCAGTTGATTGATAGTGTTGTTAAATGCTCTATCTTCTTATTGATCTTCTGTCCGGTTGTTTTATCTATTATTGAGAGTTGTGTATTGAAGTCTCCAACTATTACTATATGACTATTTCTCCCTTCAATTCCATTAGTTTTGCTTCATGCATAGTAGCGTATTGCTATTTGGTTTATATATGTTTATAATCATTATATCTTCTTGATGAATCAGTTTTTTCCATTATAAAATATTTTTCTTTGTCACTCTGGAAAATTATGTCTAATGTCTATGTTACCTCTTTTGGTAATTGTATGAAATATCTTTTTCTATCATTGTACTTTTAACCTATTGTGTCTAAAATGAGTTTGTTTTAAATAGGACATAGTTTGATTTTTCATAGTGATCTTTGCCAGTGTTTATCACTTCTTTGTGTGACTTTAAGTTAATGTCTGCTATCCTTTCATTTCATCCTAAAGAATGTCCTTTAATGTTTCTTTTTCCTTTTTTTTTTTTTTACAGGTAGTCACTGTATTTTATTGAAAAGCATTGATATATATTTTTCTTCTCTGCTTGAACTGAACACAGTATTGCCCAGTTTTAAAACAAAACAGAACCAAAACATTCCAAAAATGTCCACAGACTCATGCCTCCCACTGTGTGCCATTTCTTTCTCTCTCCCATTAGTGTTTCTTTTCATACAGTTCTGCTAGCAATGAACTTTATTGTATTTTATTATTCTGGAAATGTCTTTATTTCTCTTTAATTTTTGAAGGATAGTTTTTTTTTTCTGAATATAACAAGCTTACCTGACAGTTTTTTTTTTTTCCCCACAGCACTTTGAATATGTCATCCTATTATCTTCTGGTCTTCATAGTTTTCAAATGAGAAATCAGCTGTTAATTTTGGGAGAATCCCTTGTATGTGCTGTGTCATTTCTGTCTTTGGTTTTTGTCAGTTTATGATGTGTGGATCTTCTTCATTTGGTACTACCTATAGTTTTTAAGCTCCTTGGATGTGTAGATTAGTGCATTTCATCAAATTTAGGAATTTTTTTTGACAATTTTTTTTAAGTATTCTTGTTGCACCTTTTATTCTTTTCTTTGATTCTGGAACTTCCATTATGCATATGTTGGTATGCTTAGTGGTTTTCTACAAGTCCTTTAGGCTCTGTTCAATTTTTTTTTCTGTTCTCCAGACTAGAAAATTTTCTTTGCCCTATCTCCAAATTTACTGGTTCTTTTTGTCTTCTCTTATCTGCTGTTGAACCCCTCTAGTGAATTTTCCTTTTCAGTTATTCTTAAGATCTGTAGTCTGGTCCTTTTTATAATTGCTATCTCTTTCTATTTGTAAAATATAGAAATTTCTGTAATATTTATATCTCCTTATTGATATAACTCCTTTTTGGTGAGAAAGGATTTTATAGTGTAGGTTTTTAGACATGTTTTCAGACATATTTTCTTTTTAGTACATTGAACATATTTAAATTAGCTGACTTTAAGTCTTTGTCTAGTAAATTCACTCTCTGGTCTTCCTCAGAGACAATTTCTATTAATTTTTTTCTAGACTGAGGAGGTACATGTGCAGGTTTGTGATGGGTAAATTGCATGACACTGAGGCTTGGGCTTTTAGTGATCCTATCACCCAAGTAGTGAACATAGTACCTGATGGGTAATTTTTCAATCCTTGCCACCTTCCCCCTTCCCTCCCTACTTTTGGAATCTCCAGTGTTTTTTGTTCTCATCATTGTGTCCTTGTGTACTCAAAGTTTAGTTCCCATTTATAAGTGAGAACATGTATTATTTGGTTTTCTGTTTCTGTGTTAATTTGCTTAGGATAATGGCTTCCAGCTGCATCCACCTTGCTACAAAGGACATGATTTCATTATTTTTATGTCTGCCTAGTATTCCATGATATATATGTACACTTTCTTTATCCAGTCCACCGTTGATGGGCACCTGGGTTGATTGTGTGTTTTTGCTATTGCGAACAGTGCTGTGATGAACATACAAGTGCAGGTGTCTTTTTGGTAGAACAATTTATTTTCCTTCAGATATATACCCGGTAATGGAATTGATAGTGAATGGTAATTCATTTTTAGTTCTTTGAGAAATCTCCTCAGAGATTTTTGAAAACTCTACAGGGGCTGAACTAATTTGCATTCCCACCAGCAGTGTAGCATTATCTTTTCAACTAATAAGCACTCTCTTTTTTCCCAAACCTTGTCAATATCTGTTATTTTTTGACCTTTTTTTTTTTTTTTGATAGTCTTACTCTGTCACCCAGGCTGGAGTGCAGTGGCGCAATCTCAGCTCACTGCAAGCTCCGCCTCCCGGGTTCACGCCATTCTCCTGCCTCAGCCTCACGAGTAGCTGGGACTACAGGTGCCCGCCACCATGCTTGGCTAATTTTTTTGTATTTTTAGTAGAGACGGGGTTTCACTGTGTTAGCCAGGATGGTCTCGATCTCCTGACCTCATGATCCGCCTGCCTTGGCCTCCCAAAGTGCTGGGATTACAGGTGTGAGCCACCATTCCTGGCCATTTTTTGACTTTTTAATAATAGCCATTCTGATTGGTGTCAGATGGTATTTCATTGTGGTTTTGATTTTCATCTCTCTCATGATTGGTAATGTTGAGCATTTTTTCACATTTGTTGGCTGCTTGTATATCTTTTTTTGAAAAGTGGTTATTCATGTCCTTTGAGGGGCAATGTATATTAATAGATGTTTTTCTGTTTATGTTTCTTATTTCCTTGCATGTCTTGTAATATTTTGTTAAAAACCAGCATATTTTGTATAATATAAGGAGGAAATTCTGACAATCAGGTTCCTTGTTTTTTTTCATAAGAATTTGTTGTTGCTGCTTATTATAATTATTATTTTTCTGCTTGTTTGTTTCATGACTTCTCTGAAGTAATTTTGTATAGACTGTGTCTTTGTTGTGTGTGACCACTAAAGTCTCTGTTACAGTAGCTTAGTGGTCAACTAATTATTGAGCAAAAGTTATTTTGATGCCAAAACAAAAACTAAACCAAAAACTTATCATATTCTTTGCAGAGGGGCTTTATGTGTACAGTGGGCATGCCCTCAGCCCGTACTCAAGAAGACTACAACCATGCTTTAGGCTTAACTTCCTGCTTTTACAGCCCAAAGGTCAGCAGAGATGACAGATTAGAGTCTTCTCAGGTCTCTCCTGGGCAAGTGCACAGCTCTAGGCATGTATGTGGCCTTCTAGATTTATATATATGTATATAAAATATATAGAGCTTTTCAAAGCTCTTATTTTTCAAACCATTTTATTCCCCAACCCTTACTTCCAAATTTTTAAAATATTGTTTTTTTTCTCAATTTTTATCCATTGCCTTAGGAAAAACAACCAAAACATAAGTTTTTTTTTTGGTAAAATTTTGAAAAAATATTCCTTAAGTAACAGTTACAGCACTGGGTGAGCTCTGAGTTAGGCAAGATCAAGTTGAGCCTTTTGTGCTAGTTTTCCAGGAAGCTACCAGACAATTATAATTTATTTTATCTTATTTTATTTTGAGACGTGGTTTCACTCTGGTCACCCAGGCTAGAGTGCCGAGACACAAACATAGCTCATTGCAGTCTTGACTTCCCAGACACGAGAGATCCTCCCACCTAGTTCTCCAGAGTGCTAGGATTACAAACCTGAGCCACATGATTGGCCAACAATTACAATCATTTGTGACTGAAATTAATTCTGCCCTCTCTAGTACTGGTGCTGTGAATGCAGACTGTAATTTTCAAAGCTACTGCTAAGCTGGGGAGTGGAGGCTGAGAGTAGGAGAAGTTAAATTATCACAAAGCTCAATGTTTTTACTGAAATAAGATCCATGTTTCTTAAATAAGGGTTCCTCTGGTTTCTGAAGTTTTAGTTAGTTTCCAAAGTTACTAAAATTTGACTGACACTTTTGCCAGTATTTTTGTTACTTTTTAAGAGTCATTTTTTTTCAGTTTCTTACTCTGCTATTTTCAATGCCATCACCTAGAAATTCCCTTGAACTTCTAGATAAATATCCATATCATCTCATAATAAAATCAGGTGTTCTTTGCTTTTATGTATTGCTTTACTGCAATTGCTAGCAACTGAGCACCATCAAAAAATTAGCTGTGATAGTTGTGATTAAATGGTTATTCTTCTGGAATGTCACACTCAGTTTTGATGTGTGCTGTAAGTCTAACTGAAGACTTTGTATCAAGTCAATAAAGCTCTCTTCCACATCCAGTTTATGACTGTTTCTAATCATGAAAAACATCTTAGGAGAGGTGCTATGAAAATGGACTCTTAAACCAAACCTGGCTTAAATTTTGGCTCTCCCATTGTTATATGGATGACCTGTGGTAAGTTACATAAATTCTTTGTGCCTCAATTGCTTTATCTTAAAAAATATCATTTCTTTTCAAGTATTCTACT
Source organism: Homo sapiens (assembly GCF_000001405.40). Lineage (NCBI taxonomy): Eukaryota > Metazoa > Chordata > Mammalia > Primates > Hominidae > Homo > Homo sapiens. Next base: position 46,960,395 of record NC_000007.14, on the reverse strand, counting down.
TATTAGAAATTATAACTAGGTGCAGCCCGCATCAAAGGGATGTGATCACAAAAGGGTGTGTGTGTAGCAGGAGGTATAGATAATTGAGACCCATTTTAAAGGCTGCCTCCCACACTAGGTTACATTTTTTCATTAAGTTTCATATTTCTTTAACATTCTCCTTCGTATTTACACTTTTTTTCTCTATGCTTTAGATTAGATATTTTCTACTGGATATTGGATAGTTTCTGATTGTTTTTCACTCATATGTAACCCTATTTCTGTTTTGTTCATCTGCTGTTAAATCTATCTTATAAGTTCTTATTTCAGATATCATGTCTTCTTGTTTTTTTTTCCCTAAAGTTATTTGGTTATTTTTAAAGATTACAATTCTCATTTGATTAATTTTCCATTTTTTTTGGCTAATTTTGTTTATCATTTTTTTGAGCACATTAAGCACAAGTATTTTAATATTTTGGCCAGCTAACTTCCACATCTGGTTGGTCCATGGGTCTGTTTGTATTATCTATTTTTGTCCTCAACTATAGCTTATGTAATCCTATCTTTCAGACTAAATAGTATTTTTTTGAATGCAACTTATTGTATAATTTAAAATTGGAAAGTCTTCAGATAATGTATTCCTCTAAAGAAGATTTACTCTTCCCTTCACTGGTCAGGTGGTAAATGATTATTTTAATCCAATTAGGGATTACGCTTAGTACAAATGGAGTTGCATTTCCAAAGGCCTCATCACCACTGGCATTCAGGGTTTTTAATGAAGAATCTGTGAATTCCTTTGGGCCATTACCCTGGACCTTTTGAATTATAATCTTTATGTCGCTTACTGCCAAACAAAACAAAACAAAACAAAAGAAAACAAAACAAAACAAAACAAAAAAAACTCTTCTAACTCCTCTCTGCCTCTTAGAGTGTTTCTGCTTATGTTTTTAGATTTCTAATTCATCTGGTAGTGCTTGTCTGTAATCCCAGCTACTTGAGAAGCTGAGGTGGGAGGATCACTTGAGCCAAGAGTTTGAGACCAGCCTGGGCAATATAGAGAGAGTCCATCTGCAAAAACAAAACAAAACAAAACAAAACAAAACAAAACAAAACAAACAAAACAAAAATTCCTATAGATTTCTACTTCACATAACACCATTGTTTTGTATTACAAACAGAGAGAAAAAATTGTACAGAAATAATATGAGAGAGTAAGTAAAGATGAAGGAGGGGCTACAATGCTAAATGCTGTAGCCACGAAGTGGCCATATGGATGCTTTTACCATGTAAGTTAGATCATGTCACTCCCCTGCTTGACACCATCTGACGGTTTAGGAGAGAATCCAAAGTGCTGACCGTGTTCTACAGGATCCTGCGTGACTGACCTCAGATTCACTCCCCAGACAGGCTCCTTCCACATTTCCCTTCACTCCTTAAGCTCCAGCCCTGCTGGCCTCTTGCTGCTGTTCCTTGAAACAGGCTATGTACAGTTCACCTTAGACACTCTGAATTTGTTCTTTCCTCTTCCTGGGACAATCTTTCCTAGAGGGTGACAGAAGTGTCTGTTTAAACTTCACTTTGGCCAGGCATGGTGGCTCACACCTGTAATCCCAGCACTTTGGGAGGCAGAGGTGGATATATCATCTGAGATCAGGAGTTCGAGACCAGCCAGGCCAACATGGTGAAACCCAGGTCTCTACTAGAAATACAAAATATTAGTGAGGTATAGTGGCTGGTGCCAGTAATCCCGGCTGCTAGGGAGGCTGAGGCAGGAGAATTGCTTGAACCTGGGAGGCGGAAGTTGCAGTGAGCTGAGATCATGCCATTGCACTCCAGCCTGGGCAACAAGAGTGAAATTCTGTCCCAAAAACAAACAAACAAAGAAACAAACAAACAAAAAACTTTACTTTATGAGGCCTCATCCCTGATCTTTCTGAGTATACAGCCTACCCCTGCTTTACTTCTTGTAGGTATAAGGTGTGATGTTATAGATGTGTTTATTGTTTGTTTGTTGGAACTCCAATGTAGCTTCCATCAGATTGAGGAGTTGCTCTGTCTTCTTACTAATCTCCCCTTAGGCTTAGAGCAGTGCCTGGTACATGGCAGGCAAGCAATATGTAATTTTTTCATACTGGTGATTTTTGTTGAATAAATGAAAAGTCCAGATTGCTACTATAAGACCACAGCTGTCTTAAAAACTTATAAGATCCCCATTTCTGTCTGAAGAATTGGAGAAGATTTCTAAAAGAGGGTAAAAATAGAGGTAGCCAAAGCTCCTGATTTCAGCGGGCAAGAGAAGGAAAGAATATTCCAGGAAAAGGAAAGAAATTTTTTAAAAAATGAAAGGATTCAGCCAAGAGCCCAGTTATTATTCCTACGATTCCTATAAAACCTGCTAAAATGCCTAGAACAAAGGGACGTGTGTAAATTACTCACTGACAGACTGAAAATATAAAAATTCTAAATCAAGGCACATTTTGAAAAGAAAGTCCACTCCAAATTTAGATCCAAGGCCATTTCTAAATCTTTCTTAGCATTTTTATTTCTAATTTTTAAGAGGGAAATTTTTTTTTTGTACAGCTTGTGGATAATTTTGATTTATAGGAATGTTGTGCCACCAGTGAGCATTTACACAAGGTCACATAAATTAAAAAGCCTAAAAGAATTGGGAAGATGTGCAACATAAAATTGCCAGTAAACACCTGAGGTTAAAACAGTTCGACGTGTCCAGGAAATTCACCCATGGAAACAAAGTCCAGGGCTGGAAGAGGGTTTTAGTACCTCATTGATGAGGAAGATGAAGAAGACGGTAGGGTCACTCTGGCTTCATTTGGACCTTAATGAGCCTCAGCAGCGGGTCTTCTACAGGGTGTTAGGTAAAGACCGACTATAATCACGGTATTTAGTGGAGATTTTTTTACAATTCAAAGCTTAATGTTTACTGAAGTTAAAACTTATTAACAGTAACTCATGAGACGAAACTGGAAGGTACCTGCCCTTTTCTGATGAAAACATTAACCAAAATTACTGGACCACACAGCACTTCTGTTATCACACATGCAGGTTACAGCATGTTGCAACAGCGCACAATAAATTTATTTAATGGTGTTTATTACTTCAGCTTGCCAAGGAAGACCAATTTTGGATGGGTTGCTTTCCAATTCCTATCAGAGACCTGGTTGAGGAGACTGATATTTGAGAGAGATAAAGGCAGGAACAGGTCAACCATCTATTCTTCCATCTTCTCTGGGGCACATTTTTATGAACTTTGAGTTTCATTTGCTCAGTCTCCCTCATTCCCCTAACATAAGCAACGTACTTGCATCGTTTCTATGAGTGTTTTACATAAAGTTAATACAAGGAAAAGTCACTACATTTTTGAATAAATGCTATCACCGGCATTGCTCACAGGCTGGCCAATGTCCTGGGATAAGGTCCTAATATTAAACTGAACTTTGAATTTATTATAAGCATAGTGGAAAGAGATTGAAATTTTAAGATCTCAGTGAATCTATGTTTGAGACCTTGCTCGGGCACTTGGAAGGTGAATAATTTTAAGTAATTGTAATTGGTCTCTCTTATCCTCAGTTGTTTCATCTGTAAAATGATAATACTTTGGTGTTTAATTGAAAGCGTGTTGTATTAATAAGAGTATGTTTTTAGATTTTGTAAGCTTTATTTTTTTTTCATGACAACCCTCACTTCAGCAATTTATCACTACATCTTTGATCTTTGCTCAGAAGTTTGCCAGCTAAATTTTATCAAACAATTAAGTTGGAGAGTCCATAATGTTTTGTCTTTGCTTCTAGAATAGTCAAACTGAATGTAATGATTATTATGGGCATTGTCAGTTTGTTACCATATGGTAGCTATATCAATATGAATTTTGGTGTATGTTACCTTTTTTGTGTTTTAAATTCTAGTAAATGTATGCAGAGTCTCCAAACCTTTTAAATGTGGTCAGAGTATATATTATGAATAGTGAATCATTTTTATAAAAAAATTTAAGTTGTGAATGTTACACATCCAGTAAATAACATACAATAATAGTAACCATTAACACCCAACCACCTGGCAAATCCTGGGAATGGAAGTTCTGAGTTAATAAGTCTAATTTGGCTTTCAATTACAGGATTATTAGATTGAATTCATTTGTAATAAGAGACAATTGAGCTAAGAAGAAAACTTGTAAGTTACTGAGTACAATGCAACTGTTTTGCAGGGGAAAACTGAGAGCAGTGAAGTGAGATGCGGAGTCAATCAGGGGAGGTGCTACCTGGTGAACCACAGGCTCCTATCTTTAAAGAACTCTCAGTTATAAAGAAACAAAAGCAGACACTACTGAGGTTGATCAAGTTATGTTACTCTAGCAATTATTTTATTTTTATAACAGAAATAGTGAAGAATATAGAAAGAGACTATATCGAAATAGTGTAGAATATAGAAAGAGACTGAAAACCATTTGAAATGTTGATAAATGATGATATGCTATGGCAGTTCATTGTCTAAAGGAAGAGCTACATAATGTATGCAGCTAAGAAAATGTCTTTCTACATGGAATTAATTAAATCAGTTTCTACCTCTCACTGTAGAAAAATTAAGTCCAGATGGATTAGGAATTTAAATGTCAGAAGCAAAGCTTTAAAATTGGTAGAAGCACTGTAGATGAAAATCATTCTGACCTTAGGGTTAAGAAGGATTTCATAAGCAAGACACAAAAAGCGCTAAATCACAAAAGACGTGATTGATGAGCCCACTATGTTGAGATTACAAACATCTGGTTATCACAGACTGTCTTAGAAAAAGTAAAAAAAAAAAAAAAAAAAGCTAAAAATGTGGAGAAAATATTTGTAACACATATTACATATACTACAATGTGATCAGCATCTATCTATCTATCATCTATCTATCTATCAATCATCTGTCTGTAAAAATAAAGAGCAAAAGACAAACCACTCAAAAAAGTGGACAAAAACCACAAATAACACTTCACTGAGGACGAAAACATGAATGGCCAATATAAAAATGAAAAGTTGGTCTACTTCCTAGTGATCACAGATATGTGAATCAAACACCATGAGATAAAGTTTTATGCTGACTTGATTGGCAAAAGTTAATATGGGCAGCAGTGCCAACATGGATCACAGGAACTTCTGGTAAGATGCAACAATTTGGAAAATAATGTGGCATTTGACTAAAAGGGCCTGGATTCCAGCCCTGCATGTGGCCCTTCTCCCAATCTTAATCTGCATGCACCAGGTTTTGGCCTCACTAGGTATGGAGTAAGATGTCAGAAATGATGCTGAGAAAGGAACTGCCTTTACCATCAAAGATAATAGCAAAGAGAATTAGGAATAGATGAGAAGAATCAGGCCCATTACTCTCCCCCTCCATTAAAATCCTGTTTTTTTGTTTGTTTGTTTTTGTTTTTGTTTTTCTTTCTTAAGATCAAAAGAAACAAAAAAAAAGGTGTTAATGTTATCTCTAGCTTCAAATCTCACTCCACTGCTGTGCTAGGGCTTGACTATTACAGTATCCTAGTGATAACAGAGGAAAAGGTAGTGGGCATTTTGTCCTGCGTTCCTTGGAAGCTTGCCTCAGTGTTTTGTAAATGGAGGTTAGCTGAGGCATGGCTGAACAACAAACACAGAAAATTGGGAGTTTTATGGGCAACATGGAAGCTGTCAGACAACTATTTTAATTAGTGGTGAGGAAATTAGCTCAACTGAAGGAAACACAGAATTTAGACTTGGCCTCCAGATAGCCCTAGATATTAGGACTCATTTTGATGCCTAAAAATTGAAGTGAATATGCCCTCTTTCCTGCCCCTCTTTACTTCTTATCATAGCTGAGTGCTCCTGCGCTACAGTTTTCTCTACATTTATAAGCCCATTTATAGCAAGTGTAGATAAAATTCCTCAGCCGAATTTTTATCTCTCTGCTTTGAACAATGCTGTCATGTGGCACACCAATGCTTGAATGATTTTTCTCTCTCTGTCTCGACAGGGTCAAGGGAGCTCCGTCTTTGAAGTTTCAAATTTGACTTCCTTCCAGAAAAACTGAGCAAAAAACTAATGTGAATTTTCTGGGATAAAGCAACAAGTCAACCCTCAAGTTAATTTGAGACATAAATTATTATGAAGCCCAAGGAAGGGTTTGCAAACTCTGGTAACCTACTGGCTACATCAGCAGGCCTTTGTTTATGAAACGCTTGCTCTACACCAGGGACTGCCCTGGGTGCTGCATCAATCTGGGTCTGCAGATATAACTGGGAGGTATAGATCAGAGCATGAAATTCCTCCTTAGATCCCATAATCATTTATACCTCAAATGAACTTGACGATCAACTTGTTTCTCAGTTGATCTGTATTCTCATGAAATACAGACTTGTTAAAGAGATTAATAATAAACATACTAACACACACACACACACACACACTCATACAGACTATTAACATATAGTAATTGTCATGCAGAGAATTTAAAAAGGAGATGTGATAGTGACTTGACACCAAGCTATATCTGTCTATATGCATATAACATCAAAGAGATTTCTAACTTTTAATAATCTGTGATAGAACCAGCTTGTGTTGAATGTGTTTATATTCCTCTGGGTCTTCTTACATTAGGATATGGTGACAATTAAAGGGCAAACCAGATGTGATCCTTTTGATGTGTTCCTTTTGATGTGTTCTTGTATGTATAGAATGCTGTGCATGTAAGTTTGCTATCTGTCTGAGAGACACAGAATGGTTCCCATTGCTTCTAGAATGAAATAACCTCCTTCCAGATCATATCTTTTAAGAGATAGTGCCATGTGGTATTCTGTGCCATACAGGTGGGAGGAGGGGACTAAAAATGTGGCCCGAGTAGATAATGAAGGCTCATAGTGATACCTAACTGTGTTTTCTCCAGGCTTTGCCTCAGGTAACCTTCATTTAAGCAAGTTAGGAATATTGCTGGAATCAAATTTTTAACCCTAGGTTGTCATGCTCCAATGTTTTAAGATCTTTTTCTACTTTATGAGTCTAAGTTTGTTCATAAAGGCAACTCAATGAAAGGATGCATCTTAAATGGACAAGTAGTTCCTTTATCATTCTAAAATTAGCTTTCTAGTTTTTCCAAAACATTTTTCAGTGTCAATTCCATGAAGACTGTATTAGTAAATCATGGCATAATGTTATTAACATGTGCTTAAAGGAAAAAAAAAAGAAGAGCATGTGGCTTAGAGAGTCAAGACATAGGAGAAATAATGAGGACATAATGTTCATATGCCAATGACTTCATTGTCCCTTGTTTCCTCCAGGGACCTAGGGAGATGTCAGCCATGGCCGGAGAAAAGTAGCCAGGTTGGAGAGATGCAGGTCTATTTCATGCCACACCTGGGCCATTCTTTGATGCTGAGCATAGGCCAGTAAATCATGTCCACAATCTTATTATGTGCAGAGAGATGAACTTATGTACAATGAATGTACAATGAGTGTACTGAGACGGTCCATAAGTGCTGATTCCTTCTGTCTCGGACCCTGCAGTGGCAGGTGAGGCCTAGTGGGGCAGTGGCTGCCATCTTTGTTCACATTGCCCATGGGGAGTAGAGCTGGGAATGAGCCCAGGTCTTCAGACTGCTAGAATAATCATTTATGAATAGGATCAGCTGTGGAGAAGCTGTGCCCAAGTACAAGTTGGAACTGGTCACTACGGCAAGAATGGCGTAAAAGGAAGATAGTTGAGATGATGCAGAGAATGCATATAGTTCTGATTAAACACAGGAACATCATGGCTGAACTCTTGCTCACTCCAAGAAACATGCAAAAGACCCACAAGAAACCACATGTGTGGTTGCAGTTTTGGTTAAGCAGTGATGATTGAGGGTCTAACTAAGTAGAGGGAGTGAATAGATTTTTACTACAAAACATCCATATCTCTGAAAAACTTAAGTACTCCTGTATGCCCAGATAGAATTTAAAATCTAATGTCTTGTTTCCTCAGATTTCAGGAATCAGCAAAGTTCTTAGCATAAAATATGAAGACATTAAAAACAAGTCATTTGTAGGCTGGGCATGGTGGCTCATGCCCGGAATCCTAGCATTTTGGGAGACTGAGGGGGGTAGATCACCTGAGGTCATGAGATTGAGATCAGCCCGGCCAAGATGGTGAAACCCCATCTTTACTAAAAAATACAAAAATTAGCTGGGCATGGTGGCAGGTGCCTGTAATCCCAGTTACTCCGGAGGCTGAGGCAGGAGAATTGCTTCAGCCTGGGAGGCGAAGGTTGCAGTGAACTGAGATCACACCACTGCACTACAGCCTGGGTGACAGACTGAGACTCTGTCTCAGAAAAAAAAAAAAAAAATGTCATTTGTACCAACCTGACTGTGCCAAAAAACACGAACATGCTCATGTGTTTCTTTCTTTCCTTTCCTTTCCTTTCCTTTCCTTTTCTTTTCTTTTCTTTTTTCTTTTCTCTTCCTTCCTTCCTTCCTTCCTTCCTTCCTTCCTTCCTTCCTTCCTTCCTTCCTTCCTTTTCTTCTTTCTTTCTTTCTTTCTTTCTTTCTTTCTTTCTTTCTTTCTTTCTTTCTTTCTTCTTTCTTCCTTCCTTCTTTCCTTCTTTCTTTTTCTTTCCCTCCCTCCCTCCCTCCCTTCCTTCCTTCCTTCTTTCCTTTCTTATTTTTTTTTTTGTGATGGAGTCTTGCTCTGTCGCCCAGGCTGGAGTGCAATGGCATGATCTTGGCTCACTGCAACTTCCCCCTCTCAGGTTCAAGCAATTTTCCTGCCTCAGCCTCCCAAGTAGCTGGGATGCCCGGCTAATTTTTGTATTTTTAGTAGAGGTGGGGTTTCACCAAGTTGGCCATACTGGTCTCAAACTCCTGACCCCAGGTGATCCGCCCACCTTGGCCTCTCAAAGTGCTGGGATTACAGGCGTGAGCCACCACGCCCAGCCTATGAGTTTCTATATATGCTACTGTGATTCAAGGAAAAAGTAATTAATTTTGTGTTTGTGATGTAGTAAGCCCTTGTCATTCACTGCATCATCCTTTACACGAATATGTATTAAATGTTTTGTGTGTGATTGGCAGAAACTAAAAAATAAAACCTCCATTTGTAGTTTGTAATGTATGTAGGGAGATGGCCCACAAAGCCTCAATCTTGCCAAAGTGGTGTGGAGAAGCTGGTTAGCAGAAGGTCTCAAGTACCTGGACACTAACTAGCCCAAGTATGGATGCTGAGCCAAGCAATGCTTGAAGACCTTAGATACTTTTGCAAGAAAATCTGAACCAAGTTTAATCAAAAGTGACCTGGGATGGCAACAGAAGGGGGCCAAAATATGATGCATAACGGAACATCTTTACATTTCTTGATTTGTCCCCGACACTCAGATGGAGTGGCACTTGCATCTTCCTGGGAAGTCTTTTCCTTCTCACCTCCTGCTTTGATGTTGGTCACACCCTGCTATTTGCTTATACGATGCCTTATTTTTCACATAGCTTTTCCACATAACTTACCCTCTTTACAAAATAATAGCTACCATTTCTGGTGTGCTTACTGCGTGCCAGCATGTGAATGAGCCTGTGAATGAGCAAAATGCTGACTCTTATCCTTTTTCTTTTAGATAGGTGCGTGATTTGAGCAATGAATGAAAGTTTGGGTTCTGAGCCAGGTCTGCTGGCTCCAGTGTAGATGCCCCTTAGATGCCGCACATGCAATCTCACCCTTTGCTCTTCCTTCAAGTCTTTCCATCTTTTTAGTCACCACTAGCAGGTGAACTTGGTGTTTCCACCAAACAAATCAATTATAGTAGAAATATTAATTTGTTCAGATGAACATGCCATCACATTGCTCTGAGGGAAATAGAAGGGTGCAGATGTGTGTTCCAGTGTGTAATCTCTGTCTCTCCTCTCTGCACACACACATGCACCTAGACACCTGGTTTTGACTTTGTTACTACACAGAGGATAATACTTAAGCTATAGCGACTATTTGGTCACATTCTTGAATACCCCCAATATCTTCTCTAGTATATTCTGACTTCAGTGAGAACATTTTTTCCTTGTAAGCACACATTGGTCAAAATGGAGATGCACAATTTTCTTGGTGTTAGGAGCTGGGATGTTGGTGGTTTAGCTTTGATATTTATGCAGTCACTGTACAGTCAAGGTCCACATTATTTAATATGAGTTTTAAAATTTTGTCAATGCGTGGAAAAAAGAAAATAGAACAAAGACGCGGCAGTTTCTCCAGTTCCTGGGTGTCCTTTGGCACTGATTACATGGATGTATCCTGCCATTACTTTTTGCAAGTGCAACCTTAAAACGTCCAAAGAAAAACGGAGTGTCACGTAGTAAACTCGGGATGGCAAATGCTTTAAACTCCAGCAGGTGCCTCTTCTATCTTCCAGCCACATTCACCCATTCTTCTCTGGAAATAAAGGACATTCTCTTTTAAATATGTCAAATAAAAGTGTTTGTCAGTGTTAGAAAATCACTGAAGAATAACATAATGCTCAAATAAATGGACTACCATTTTCAAGCTCTATGCACTTATGTGTTAATATAAACCTACACATGTGCATTTAAATACTACTCTGATTCCTGAATCAAAACTCAGGGCCACTTTGTTCCAAGAAGGCAGATAGGGCCCCACTTGAAGCTCTGCTGAGAACAGGCTGTCTCTGGGCGCAGCTGTTGAACTGTTCCATGGACACTGAGGCAAGGCATTTGTACTTTATTGACCTTTATTCACAGAGTGAAATGACAAAGTAGATAGAATTCTGTGCAGCTGTGCCCCCAGCAGAATCCTGGGATGGGCCGAACATGAGGATATCTCAGTGTTCTCATCCTGCTGCAGAAAGGGGCTGCTGTTGAAAGCTGCAGGGGCAAAGGAACTCATTTCAGAAGCAAGCCTATGAGCAGAAGAGGCAGAGGACTCACGAGGTGGGTGTCGAAGGGCAGAGTGTGCCACAGGCAGTCAGAGAGGCAGTCTCCCTCCCTCTGCTGGAGGTGAGGTTGGATTAAGCACAGTGAGAATTTCAGTGAACACACTATTCTGGTTTAAAACCCAAGCAGCAGGAATACAGAATCTTGGTTGCAGGTGGGTAGAAACTAGTGTCACCTCATATTTGGGGTCCTGGAAGCTCATGCATCTTTAACACTATGAGGGGAAAAAAAACGTAAGCATAGTGAGATTTGCTAAATTTGTATTAAGCCTGTGGCCACTGAGTAAAAATTAATTTCTTTTCTTCCAGAGAAAACCAAAATGTTATGTTTAGATGGGCCTAAGTTGGAATCTGTGTTTTGTGATTTGATTAGCAATAAAACATGTGACTTGTGCTCATGTTTAAAATCTGTACCCGGAGGCTAACAATGCCCTCTTCCGAATGCTTGGAGAGAAATAAAGTGAGGGGATGTTATGTAATGAGCTAGCTTAGGGCCTGGCATATAATTCTTTGTTTGTTTGGTAAAGCTCTACAGATTATTTATAGTGTAGCTCTCACATGCTGGGCCTGAGCCAAGCATGGAAGACAAAGAAGAAAAGATGCATGGCCGTCTTCAGAAAGCTCACCGTCACAGTCCAGCAGCGGGTGGAGGGGTGAGGTTGGGAGCTAAACCAGAGACAATTTCAGTGTGACACAGTGGACAGGTGGTTTATTCACATTAGTTGGTAGTGCAGTGAAATCTAGCATAGTGCAGTGGCAGGACGTGGTGGGTGGAGTTCCACCTGAATCAAAGAGCCTCTCCATAGAGGAATTTGATGCCTGCTACTTCATTTCTAGGAAGCAGTGGCTTATTGAGATGTGTGTTATTCTAGGAAGTCCCTTCTTTCCGGGCAATATCACATGTACAGTTGTGCTCAAACCTGACTTATTGCAAGGAAGGGATCAGGTCAGAAAATGACCTTGCAATGTCATCTGTCCCCCAGTTTCAGTTCAATAAGGACCAAAATGGACAGAGAAGGAATTTATTTCCCCCAAGCATAACCTATAGACCTATATTTTTCCATATATTCTACTAGAAATGCTTATAATAATCATATTACCGAAAATATTTACAATATTTTGAATTTTGGATGCAGCACCACAGATTATCTATTATGTAGTGAAGCAGATGGACACCATGGTTAACAGATTAAATTAAAACAGAAGCTTCTTTCTTTATACTTCTGTGGTTGGGATTATGGAACCGTTCGAAAACGTATTGGATTCTAATACCTGTTCATTTAGGACAACAATAGTATCTGCTTCTCTTGAAATAACCTATGTAAAAGATTTAGCAGAGAGCTTACTAGTAGTTAGTATTCAATAATATCTTTACTGAAACCCAAAACTGTGATTCATTTTCAACTTAGAATTATTTTCTCAAGGGAGAGATGAACATTTGTTAACGTCTGTAAATGGTGATGACATTTTCAGATTAAAGGCCAGTATCATGTGGGCTCTGATGAGTCATTTACATTCTTCTAAGGATGTCAGTTTAAGGACAAGGTGTTTTGAAGTGAAGTGTATCATATACGCTTCCCCTTTTGTCACATTGGAAATATCTCCTTCTGTGTCTGTGCTTAGGCTGAACAATCTTTTTCTATCTTCTTCTTTTGATGGAAAAGGCAATTGTTTGCTTACTCTTTGTTTTCTTTTCCAAAAATGCTGAGACAAACTGATGATCCCTCTACCCATTGTGCTAACCTAGTTGCATGCACTTTCTGTTGTAACCTTCCTTTGACTGTGTATCATTTCCCCATTTTGAAAATTTTCTTCATTACTGATGTGCTGCCTTAGCATATGTGTATTGAAGTAATTTGTATTAATTATTAGGACAACTTAAATAATATTACTGTTTTAATTTTTTTTTTTTGAGACAAATCTCCCTGTGTTGCCCAGGCTAGAGTGCAGTGGCGTGATCTTGGCTCACTGCAACCTCTGCCTCCTGGGTTCAAGCGATTCTCCTGCCTCAGCCTCCTTTCAGGTGTGCACCACCATGCCCAGCTAATTTTTGTATTTTTAGTAGAGACAAGCTTTCACCATATTGGCCAGGCTGGTCTCAAACTCCTGACCTCAAGTGATCCACCTGCCTCAGCCTCCCAAAGTGCTGGGGTTGCAGGAGTGAGCCACTGCTCCCGGCCACTGTTTTAAATTTTATATTAGCTTCATGAAAATATGTACATGAAGTATGTATAATAAATGGTTAAAAGGGACAGAGAAATAGAACAATGTAGGACGTCACATAACTCTAACATTGGAAGTGGCGTTGAAAATTGGCCTCACTGATGGAACCCAAAGACCTGACTGGTCCAGTGATGGGGAGAACAAGGATAATGCTTGCAGGACATGCATGCTGCTCAGCAGGGAATGCAGCAGTCCAAGAACACGAACCTCATCTACATGAGCCACACACTACTGAGCGTGGCTTGCAGCGCCTGCAAAGCAGCTGTGCACCTTGTGTAAGGCTTGTGGGACTTGGCAGAAAAAGTAGGAGCCTGGAGAGAGTGAGTGCTGTGGGCAGGAGATGCCCATGCTCAGCATAGCCTGCACAGCAAGGGGAACAGGACATGGCCGGCAGGGCAGGAGCAGCTTGGAAGGCACTGTGGGAGGCCACAAGCAGGTGTGGGTAGCAAAGACCTGCTGCTGGGTAAGGTCAATGGCAGCTGAAAGAGCAAAGGAGGCCAGGAGGCAGGTGCTGGTGAGAAGGGCCCGTAGCAGCCTGGAGGCCAAGGTTGTACTCTCTAGGAACCATGCACTGCTCCCTGTGACTGAGAGGACCTTCCAAAGACTGGGAGAGGCTGCAGGGCCACATGAATGCTCAGAACGACTGAGGGCATCCTGTGGAGCAGGGATGCAGCCTGGAGGCCCGCCTGGCTGCTCAGGGTGGTCCGCAGCCTGCGTGGAGCCCAGTGATGCCTACAGCAGCCTGGAAAATAGGGACGCACTCTGCAGGGCCCACCTGATGCTCAGCCTTGTGCAGTCTTACAATTCCTTAAGGGAAACATGAGATGCAGATTTGGGGATGGCATTAAATTTTTTTGTAAATTTTGGAAACAAATTTAAATTAAAATATCTGTGTAGGCCAACACAATGAATGCATGGGCCTGAATGAACATTTTTCTCATTCTCTCTCAGCCTCTGATACGAGAGCATGCTCTTTTCTTAGGAAGTGCCAAGGGTAAAATTGCAGATGTTGCCATGAATAAGTTCATAGTGACATGACTGTTTCATACTTATCTGTGTTGTCTTCTCACAAAGTCTTTCTTACACCCTGGACGGTGGTAAGGAGTACAGAGTGGACCCTGCAGGCACAGCCTCCATCCCTCCCTGCCCCTTCCCTGTGACCTCTCTGGGCCTCTGCCCCAGCTCCCCCTGCCCTCTCCATAAGCTCTTGCTCCCTTGCTATTCTTTTTCAGATCACACTGTCCCCTTTCTTGAAGCCCTCCATGGTGTGGTTTCCCATAGAACCCCCTGAGCTCCTGAGTGGTTTCCATCTTCCTTGCTGTCCTATTGGAGAGCACTCCATGCTCCTAAGATCTGGAGCCTGTCCCTCCTCCTCCCTCTGCCTGGACACTCTGTCACTGAGTCCTTTCCTGATTCCTCCTATGACCCCCCCAGTCACTTTGTTACATCCATCCCATTGATGTTCCCTGGGACTATGTTGTTAAGTTACTTATTTACTCCTTTCTTGTTTGTGCTCCTGCCCCCACCCTGGAGTATAGGTCTCAGGAACAGGGGGACTTCACCTCTCTCTCATGCCTGCTGCATTTCCAGTGCCCAGACAGTGCTGGGCAGGGCCAGCCTCCAGCAGGTGCTTCCCATCTATACCCTGGGTGCATTTCTCCCCTCTCCAGGGTGTGACCAGGGACTCATCTGAGCAAGCAGATGATTGCTAAGGATTGAGGCTTAAGGGAATTATGTTTTCCCTCTGATCTGTGGGGCTGGAGTTAATAAAGCTTTTCCCAGTTGATTGCATCAAGGCCACTGGAATGTCTCAGTTTGTTGCTAGGGATAAATGCTTGCTTTTACTTTTTATATAGAGATAAAAAAATATTTTTCCTGAATCATAAGTTGCTCTTGGTTTTTCCTGTACACTCCACTAAAACAAAAGATTGTCACTGTGAGGCGGATGAATTGTGTCCCTCCAGAATTTGTGTGTTGAAGCCCCAACTCTTAGGACCTCAGGATGTGGCTGTATTTAGAGACAGTGTCTTCAAAGAGATAATTAAGTTAAAATGAGGCTGTTAGGGTGGGCCCTAATCCAGAATAATTGGTGTCCTTATAAAAAGAAGTGATTAGAACAGACACACACACATACTTGCACACACACACACACACGCACACACACACACACGCACACACATAGAGGAAGACTATGTGAGGACACGGAGAGGAAGGCCACCTACAAGCTAAGGAGAGAGGCCTCAGCAGAAACTGGCCCTGCCCACACCTTGATCTCATACTTCCAGCCTCCAGGAATGGGAGGAAATACATTTCTGTTGTTTAAGCTACTACTCAGTGTGTGTTTTTTTTTTTTTTTTTTTTTTTAATGATAATCCTAGTAAATGAATGCAGTTGCTTATAAAAGTCAAAGATTCAGCCAGGTGCGGTGGCTCATGTCTGTAAGCCCAGCACTTTGGGAGGCGGAGGCCAGTGGATCACCTGAGGTCAGGAATTCAAGACCAGCCTGGCCAAGATAGTGAAACCCTATCTCTGCTAGAAGTACAAAATAATTAGCTGGGTGTGGTGGTGGGGGCCTGTAATCCCAGCTACTCAGGAGGCTGAGGGAGAGAATTGCTTCAACTGGGAAGACAGAGGTTGCAGTGAGCCGATATTGTGCCACTGCACTCCAGCATGGGTGACAGAGTGAGACTCTGCCTAAAAAAAATAAATAAAAATAAAAAAGCCAAAGATTCCAGCAGTTTTATTTTGTGCATTTCTGTGTTTCTAATATGTTTATTTCTTGCAACTTGAAATGTGGTCTCTTATGGTCCCTCAGGAACTAGTGAAATTATATTTTTGTTTGCCATGTCAGTGTTGTATTAGAGATTTTGTGAAATATTTTATTCAGCTCATCCATTTTACAGCAGTGGAAACAGAAGTGAGCAGGCCTGTGTGAGCCATCCATGCTGCAAGTTGGGAGGCAGTAGAGATTCACCTGCTTTGGTGGGGAGCTCATCCAGCATCTTATTCCACTGTGTCCTTAACAATGCCATGGTGACTGTTTATCATGCGCAGTGTCAATGGGTGACAGAAGTGCATGGTTAGCCTTCTGTCTGGGAACACGTAGTTTTTTTGGCAGTTGAAGAGAGGAACAGAGAGCCAGAAGTCCAAATCCTGAGGCCTGGACCCTGCTGTGACAAGACAAGCAAAGATCCTTTTGGAACCAGAGTTATCTGGATCCATTCCCAGCACCTCGTACAGAGCTCCAGGTAGGCTGGGGTAGAGGGCAGCTATGAAGCCCAGTGGGAAGGGCTTCATGAATGGCGGATTTAGTAGGAAAAGAAAGAAGGAGAATCAAACCTAAGTATCAAGTCAGCTACAAGGAGGGATCGTAATTTTAAAAAATTGCTGAGAGCAGGACAAAGCCAGACGGGATTCGGCACACAGAGCTCCGATTGCACGCTGAGTGCAGTTTGGTTGGTGACAGGCACTTATATTTTTGTAATTACTGTCAAATGTACAAAGCTCTTTCACCTACATTTCATTAAACAACCGCTGTGGCTTCGTGATTACCAAATTCACTTAGCAGACAGAAAACAGACCAACTCCCTTGAGTTACAGGCCACAAACTGAAGATGGGAAAGACCCGTGTGCATGGCGGGCAGTTCCCAGAAAAGAAGACCAGACGAGGCACGACCACTGCTTTTTAAGTGAAGAGAATTCCTTTATATTACTCATGTGTTCAGGAAAAACACAAATATTTGTATGTTTTCTACTTTGGGGCATTTCCTAACTGCCTCCAATTCATCAAAGCTTCGAGGTTGTACAGAATTTTGTGGTCATTTGTTTTAATTTCTTACATACATGGAGGGACTGTTAGTTTTGAGACAACTTCACAAAGACTATCGTTCTCAAAATGTCCATATAAACATGATTGTTCTAGGCTCTATTGATTTTATTTTCTTATTTTTTGAGACAGAGTCTCGCTCTGTTGCCCAGGCTAGAGTGCAGTGGTGCAATCTTGGCTCACTGCAACCTCTGCCTCCCAGTTTCAAGCAATTCTCTTGCCTCAGCCTCCCAGTAGCTGGGAATACAGGTGCCTGCCACCAGGCCTGGCTATTTTTTTTGTATTTTTAGTAGAGACAGGTTTTGTCATGTTGGCCAGGCTGGTGTCGAACTCCTGGCCTCAAGTGATCCGCCCACCTTGGCCTCCCAAAGTGCTGGGATTACAGGCATGAGCCACCGTGCCCGGCCTAATTTTTTTATTTTATTTTTTGAAAAATGCTATGGTCTTCCATGGGGTGCAAAGTGACCTAAAAGGAGACGGCTTCCTGGATACCTGTTTCAGCATGGCTCTGAGGAGCCAGTGTCTGAAGTCCTCTTCCAGCATCCACTCCTCCCAAAGTGTGCGTCTTTGCTTCATGGTTTGTCATTTGCCTGCTCTCCCAACTGTGCAGATCTGGAGGTTGCTCCCCTAAGTTCCCCTAGGTGGATGCAGGCTGCTGGTCATACCCTCACAGGCCAGCAGGTCCCAGGGTAGCACACTATGCATTGCAGAACTCACAGGGATAGTGATTTAAAATTTTTGAATCCACGTATTTTGATTTCTCTCTTCTGCGGCTGAACCATGCTGGCTGGCACTCCAGGGAAGGAGACGGTGAGCAATCCTGAGAGTTTCTCTATCTCTGAATGACACTGTTGCTGGCCAACTCATAGCTATTCTCGTCCACCGAGGCCTCTCCTGGAAGAGCTGGCTCCTTGCAGCTAGCACAGGACACCTGTCCCAGGTCCTTGTAAGGGTCCCAGGTGGTCTGGGAAGGTGTCTCTTATTCTCTACAGAAAAAAAACAAAACTCCCTTTGAATGTAGCTGGATGGGGACACCATGACTAAATCTGTGTGGCTACCTTGCAACAAAGAGGGGTCTTTGAAGCAGGAAATCATCTCTTAAAAGGATTAGGCCAGCGTCTGCGTCGGAACTAAAAGCCATGGGTTCATCCACATTTTCTGTTATAAGAAATAGCAAATGTTTTGATTATTTTATTAAACACTTTCAGTTAGGCATTCTTCTCTGTGGATTGCAACAATCTATTTCCACCACTTTAGTGAGTAAAGGTTCAAAAATCAGGCTGGACGCAGTGGCTCATGCCTGTAATCCCAGCACTTTGGGAGGCTGAGGTGGGTGGATCACCTGAGGTCAGGAGTTTGAGACCAGCCTGGCCAACATGGTGAAACCCCATCTCTACTAAAAATACAAAAAATTAGCTGGGTGTGGTGGTGGGAACCTGTAATCCCAGCTACTTGGGAGGCTGAGGCAGAAGAATTGCTTGAACCCAGGAGGCGGAGGTGGCAGCGAGCTGAGATTGTGCCACTGCACTCCAGCCTGGATGACAAGAGCACTCCGTCTCAAAAAAAAAAAAACAAAAAAACAAAAAACAAGCACTGGTATACACACACCACACACACACAGAGAGAGAGAGACGAGAGAGAGAGAGAGGTATTCTAAATTTCTTGGCTCCAATAGGATTTTAAGATAAAATCTGCTTACGCCTATCATAGTTTTACTATAACACAGGATAGAAAGTTAGGAAATGGAGTAAAGGGAGAGGAAAGCCCAGCCCCTGAGGCCCCACAAATGGGGGAGAAGTCAGAGGGGCTCTAGGCTTAGCCACAGGGAAAGAGCTGAGAGATAAGGAGGCAAATGCAATGCAGAGAAGGTTTGGCTCTGCTCTTCGCCTGGGGTCTGGGCAGAGACCCTCTCCCAGCGTTTCTGGGGAAAACCTGGTGGCCATGCCCAGGTGCCTCCAATAAGGGAAATTAATTTTATCCAATTTTCATTTTCTTATTGCTCTATTTTTCTACCAGTGATTGAGCCTGTCTTGTTTTTAAAGCATGAATGAAGATGCAAAGACTGAAAGGAGATTTCTGCAATGATATCCTATCCAAAATAATTGATGATGTCCCCCAGTAAACAAAACCTGCTCAGGACGGAGGTGTGGCATGGGAACAGGTGCCAGTGAAGAAGGAATGGCACAGCCTGTCTGCCTCCTTGTTCCTGATGGAGCCAGGGAGCAAAGGATGTTTTCTTTTATCCTTAGAGACCAGAATTCTCACCGAAATATAGCTCAACATGTCCCCCTGAATTTTTTTTTTTGGCTTACACTTTGAATGTCATTTCAGTTTAAGCAGTAGGTCTTTCTCCTGTTCAATGGGATCCTCCCCTTCCATGTCTTCGATATGCTGGAAATCCTCTTAGGTGACAGTTCAATTGTCTAATTGTCACTCCTCGACTTTGATTTTTCATTTAAAAAATAGAGATCACTGATTTTGCTCTTGAGTGTGAGGCCTAGCAAGGCTCAGCGAGGCTGTTTTCATTCTGCATTCGCTGTTGCATAAGACGGTGGCGGGGGTCAGGGTCTTCTCAATGTCACCCTAACCCCCCATTCTCATCCTGGATTAAGAAGGCTCAGGGCTGCTGAGGTAGAGGGGCCTCCTTACTCTCTCTCTCTCCAGGGACCCCAGGTAACCTCTCCATTTGGTGAACTCAGACTGGGGATGCTTCTTGCATGGCTAAAGGAGAAAGAGGGTGACAAGGGAAGCTGGCAGGGATGTGGCCTCCTCAAACACAGCACCATTTCTTCTATCTGGGAGCAGTTAGGAGGCCCCCCAACCTCTAGAGCTGAGGGAGGAGACAGAGACCACCTCATATTGGGTGGGATGTTAGAGAATTTCCAGACAGGATTTTAAGTCACCAGAGTCAGACATCTGGCCACAAATCATGTACGTTCCTCCCGCATGAAAATGGTATCCACCCCTGCCAAATTCCCCCAAAGCCTCATTATTGCCTGAATCAGTTTGCGATACAGGTGAGGTTTCTGGCTTGAGGTTCCTCAGATCTAGTTTCTCTCCATCTGGAGAGAAACGAAAACCACAGAAGAGGCAGTGTCTCTGTCCCTCACTCACTTAACTTACAACTGCAGGGCAGAAATAAGATGGCCCCAATAAACTCTCAAGCTGAAAAAGGGAGAAATGGGGGAGTGGGCACAGCAGTTCCTGGTCCATATCACGTGGAGATGCATCAGACACTCACAGTCCACAGACTAGGGCCCATTCTGGCTTCACCCTCTGGGCTCGGAGTAACCCTTCTTCTTCCATAGGGAGTGACACGTTTCTGGAGCCGAATAGTGTCCTCATTCCAATTTCTGCTTTGGAACAAATTACAACAAATTAGTGGCTTAGAACAACACCTATTTATTATCTCACAGTCTCCTTGGGTCCTGAGTCCAGGCCCAGGCTGACAGGTTCTCTGCACAGGGACTCATGGGGCCAGGGCCAGGTTCTCATGGGGGATCAGGGTCCTCTTCCAAGTGCAGTGTTGCTGGCAGAATTCATCTCTGCGCGGGTGTGGGGCTGAAGCGTCTGTTCTTCCATTAGCTCTCAGCTCCTTGAATGATGCCCACGGTTCCTTGTCAAGTGGTCCTGGAGGGAAGTTTGCAGCACAGATATGGGCGTTCTGCCAGGCTCACCAGAGCGCATCCCTCCAACTTCCTCTTCTGCCGTCAGCTGGAGAGAAGCTCCTGCTTTTAAGAGACTCGTGTGATCAAATCAGGCTCACCTGATCATCTACCCATCTCAAGGTCAGATGAGTCAGGACCTTAATTACATTCACATAATCCCTTCACAGTGGTCCCTAGATTAACATTGGATGAAACAACTGGAGGTTGGTGTGTTTCCCCCAGAGATTTGGCAGCCGTCTTCAAATTCTGCCCACCACACCACTCCTGGCAGTTCAGGGGTCCATAGTTATCATTTTATTGTGTCTATCTTTGTTCCTTTTAGCCCAAGTGGGTCATGTTTCCATAGAATAATTCTCTTAAGAACTTTGGGGATCTCCTGTGAGATGAGGGTGCCTTCCACTACGCAAAGGCTGCAACCACACATCTCTGAGATAAGCCTGTCTCTACTTGAGGCTCCCAGTAAGACTGTGATCTTAAGCTTCTGAGAAGCCCTATTTCTAGCAGAATCTGAGAGGCCCGGACTTTCAAGTCTCAGAAGCTCTTCTGTCTCTCTGAAAGGATCTATGAGGCCCACCTTAGATCTTCCTGAGGTCTTAACAGGTCATCTCTGACACTGGATTTTAGGTTCTTTCTTCATTTTAGCATTGTTTGCCATCTGGACATGCTAAGAATAACAGAGCTTTATTTTCTCTATTTTTATTTTGGGATGGAGTCTCACTCTGTCACCCAGACTGGGTGCAGTGGTGTGATCTCAGCTCACTACACTCTCTGCCTCCTGGATTCAAGCGATTCTCCTGCCTCAGCCTCCCAAGTAGCTGGGACTACAGGCCTGTGCCACCATGCCTGGCTAATTTTTGTATTTTTAGTAGAGACAGGGTTTTACCATGTTGACCAGGCTGGTCCTGAACACCTGACCTCAAGTGATCTGCCTGCCTTGGCCTCCCAAAGTGCTGGGATTACAGGTTTGAGTCACTGCGCCTGGCCCTGAGCTTTACTTTCAAACTTCTGAGACCTGGAGGCTTATTTGTCTTTCCTATAAATTTTGCGTGAAAATTAAGTGGCCTTTTCTTTTCAACTCCTCTCTTTATCCTCATTTAATCATACATAGCCAAAATACACCAATTGTCACTTTTGACAAGTCTCCCAGATTTCCCCAGATTATTTATTACATTTACTCTTTCCTATGTCACTGTGTGGGGCCATATTGGTAGAGTTTCTGCCACTAACTAACAGGGTGCCCTTTTGTCTCCTTCACCTTCCAACATTTCCCTCACTTTCCTCCCAGCCCTTATCCCCCTGTCACCACCAGTATTCTTCCAACCTTGAAGGCTACCTGCTTGCAGAGCCACCATCTCACTCACAAGTCTTGGGCTTTGTGAATTAGCACTCCACTCCCAGGTATGCAAGTCTGCTCTGGCTGTCTTCAGCTCTGTGACAAGCAATCCATATGCAGGGGCTTCAAACGATGACCATTGTATATCTTGCTTAGAATCTGCAGATCAGTGGGGCTCAGCCAGGTGGTTCTCACTTGGGGTCTCTTATGCTTTTGTAGTGAGATGGTGGCTAGGGCTGTCTTTCAGGCTTCTTCACTCCCATGTCTGGTGTCTGGACTGGGGCACATCACGCATCTAGAGGCTGGAACTCTGGGCTTCCTTGAGCTTGAGCTCTCTACTGGTCTGTCCCTCTCTCTCTGTCTCCTGCCCTCTCTCCCCAGCTCTGTCTATCTTTGTCTCTCTCCACGTGATCTCTTCACACATTCTTTACACATCACAGCCTCTGTGTAGCTGGGCTTACATTGTGGCTACAGGCTCCAAGATCATGTCCCAAGAGGAGCTACTCCTTATCTCTTAAAGTTTTTTACATGGTTTTAATCTCTGTCACATTCATCGCACATGACACTTTATTTAGCTTTATTATTTAATTACTTGTTTTATTACTCATTTCACATAATTTATATTTCTTAACCAATTTATAAGGAGTTGATATGGCTATTTTGGTCATTTGTTGAAGGTTTTTTGCTTGTTTATTTTTGTCCTTTTCAATTTCACTAATTATATTTATATTTATAAATACTGATACTTTTTACTAAAGATTATAGAATAAATATAATACCCTCTTGAATCTATTGAAGTATTTTATGCATCTATTAATATATTTATTAATCTATTATGTACTTAAATATTTCACCAAGTTTTACTGGTTGAGTTGATTTTCCTTATTTAATACTTTTATGTTGATTCTTGATTTTTTTCTTTTTATTTGGATATAGGAAATTAGTTTGAGGAGGCCATGTGAGTGAATTTCTACAGCATAAAAGAAATCACTGATCATCTGTGAGTAAGCACACTTTTTGCTGCTTCTGGGATGGAAGGAGAGGGTATGATTTTGGGGATGGTGGGGTGGAGCACAACATCAAGCATGTTTTTCCGATTTCTTGGGTAACATGGCTTCTGGCTGTTAAAAGCTCCAGTTTCCTCTTTTATGCTGCTTCTGGTATCAAAAATATACTACTTCATACCTAAGACTTATGCTCTCTAAATGTGGTGGGTAGCGTAGTGGGAATGGGGGGCAGGACCATCTCCAAGCAAAACACCTGTTTCTCTATCCCACACTCCATCATATCCTCAACTCCTGTTTCCATGACCTACTAATGGTTAATCCACTAACACTGTGTAGCTGAATATGGTTATCTTCTCTATCAGTTTGTTTTCACACTGCTGAATATGGTTATCTTCTCTATCAGTTCATTTTCACACTGCATACCAAAGACTGGTTAATTTATAAAGAAAAAGAGGTTTCATGGACACACAGTTCCACGTGGCTGGACGGCCTCACAATCATGGCAGAAGGTGAAAGGCATGTCTTACATGGTGGCAGGCAGGGGAGAATGAGAGAACCAAGTGAAAGGGGAAACATCTTATAAAATCATCAGATCTTGTGAGACTTATTCACTACCACGGGAACAGTATGGGGGAAACCGCCCCCAGGATTCAATTATCTCCCACTGGGTCCCTCCCACAACACGTGGGAATTATGGGAGCTACAATTCAAGATGAGATTTGGGTGGGGACACAGCCAAACCATATTATCTTCCTTCATTAACATTACTCCTCCAAAAACATACACGAGTAATGGGAACATTAGTTTAATATCCTCCACCTTTATGGATAGGGACATTTGTTTTTCTTTCCTTTCTGTATCCCTGACATGTAGACATCATCCAACGGTGTGCACTCAACAATCCTACACTAAATAAATGAATGCACGTAAGAATAAATAGATAATATCTAAAGAAGTTTTTTTTTAAACTTGGTATAGGTTCAATACAACTTTTAATAAAGATTTATCAAACCCACAAAATGAAATAATTACTTGCATTTGACTAGAGCTTTTTCATTTTAATTCACAGAAAATTACATACATAACATAGCACAGTTTTCCTGTTACATTCTCCTTCCCTTCTCAAAAGAATGTTGGTGAGAAGCCTTAAGTAAGAAGTGGTTCGTGTTCTAGAGCAGATGGGGCTCCTTTGAGCCTGTGCCTGTCGGGTTCTGACATAGAACTGGGTGTCTATGCTTTTCTTAAGTCTCTATCCTTTTGCAGAGTGTAAATTACTCTTTCAGCTTCTTGTGAATTGTAAATTCAATTTCTAAATACAATTTGTCTCTTATTCTGTATAAGAAAGTTAGTTTTTATTTAGTACACTGCAAAATAACAGTTAGTACTGGAGATCATTCTCCCATATGTTCTTGTTTGGTCTGCCAACTCTTATTAAGGGAGAGTAATATCTTGACGGTGTCCCAAATCAAATTTTCCTACATTGAATGGTCAGTATTATTGACATTTCCTCTTCCATACCCTGCAAGACACACCCACTTACCTTATTTTAAGAGTATCACTCTTTTGTCATTTGATCAATTTTATGTGGGCCACACCAGACATAAGTAAGCACTGTTGGAAGATACCAGGAAATATAAGTGTGAATACAGTCGTGCATTGCTTAACAATGGGGATACATTCTAAGAAATTAAAATTGCACTATTAGGCAATTTTGTCTTGTGTGAACATCATAGACTGTACTTACCCAAACCCAGATGGTAGAGCTTACTACACAGCTAGGCTATATGTATAGCCTGTTTCTCCTAGGCTGCAAACCTGTGCAGCATGTCACTGAACTTGATACCGTAGACGAGTATACACAATGGTTCCATACTTTTGTATCTAAAGATATCTAAACATCAAAAAAGTAAAGTAAAAATAGAGGATAAAATATTTTTTAAAAGGGTGCATATATATGGAGAACTTACCATGAATGGAGTTTGTAGAACTGGAAGTTGCCCTGGGTAAGTCAGTGAGTGAGTGGTGAGTGAATATGAAAGCCCAGTGAGTCAATTACTCAACACTATGATAGATTTTATGAACACTGTGCATTTAGGCTACACTGAATTTACAAAAGAGTATTTTTTCTTTCTTCAGTAACAAAGTAATTTTAGCCTACTGCAACATTTTACTTTATAAACTTTTAAATTATTTAAACTTTTTGGCTCTTTTGCAATAACACGTAGCTTAAAATAAAAACACATTATATACCTGCTACAAAAACATATTCTTTCTTTATGTCCTTATTCTATAGGCATGTATCTATTTTTATTTTTCTTACTTTTTAAACATTTTTGTCCAAAACTAAGACAGAAGCACATAAATTAGCTTAGGGTTACACAGGGTCAGGATCATCAATATCAGTCTTCCATCTCCACAGCTTGTCCCACTGGGAGGTCTTCAGGAGTAATAACGTGCATGGAGCTGCCATCTCCTATGATGACAATGTCTAAGACCTGCCTGAGGTTGTTTTACAGTTAACTTTTTTTATGAGTATAAAAATACAATAAAAATATCAACAAGAATATAGTATGCTAAATGCATAAAGTGGTAACATAGTCACTTATTATCTTACCAAGTAATATATTCTGTACATAATTGTATGCACTATACTTTTAAACAACTGGCAGCATAGTAGTTTTGTTTACACCAGCATCACCACAAACACCCGGGTAATGCATTGCACTATGATATCACTAGGCAGTAGGAATTTTTCAGCTTCATTATAATCTTATGAGACAGCTGTTGAATACACAGCCTGTTGTTGATGGAAACACCATTGTGTGGTGCATGACTCTATGCTTTAGATTTGGCCCTCATGGAATAGACCACTGCAAGGTCAATGCTAGAGAGAACTCCTTTGCAGGAGAGAGAAATATGGTGGAGTAGAGGAACAGGGGAGTTCTGTGGATGACCTCTTTCATCTGGGCTTTGGAAGATGGGAAAAGCTTGGTCATACAGAGATTTGGACTAAACGTTTCATGAAGAGGAAGCAGATTACGAAATAATTACACAGAGGTCAGTAGTTCAACTGTTTCACCTAGAAACTAAGGTGGAAATTATACAGAAGTTAGTCTTTTCTATACTGGGCCCAAGAAAGTGAGCAAGGGCAATATGTTTTTGTTTGTTTTTTAGCATCTTTACAAGTTTTTTCCATCTGGTTTGTCTCAATTATCTTTACAAAATTCCTTGATCTGTAGATATAATTGTTATAATATTGTAATAATATTATCCTTCTATTATATTATAATTTATCTGTAGTTACATTATTTGATTTATCCCTATTGTATTCCATGCTTGTTTGGTTCCAATACTCAATAATAGCTTATAACTGAAATGTCAATTTAATCCTACAAACATTTAAAGAGTATCCAATACCTAGGTAATTATCCTGTTTTACAGGTGAGTCGATCTAAGCTATACTTATATGATTAAAAATAATTAGTTTGAGTTGTCTTTTGCTCTAATTGCTCCTTACTTCACTCGAAGTTCTTATTGCTCAGCTGCAGAGTATTGTGTAAGCACAGCAGGGAACTTTTATTTTGACTCTGTGTTAATGTAAAAATTATGCTTAATAATACAAGGAAGAATGATTCCAGGGTGTTTAGCCATGTGTTGCAATGGTCATTATTTCCTTCCAGTATACTTATCTCTGAACCGATCATTTTATTGGCTCTTTGGTTATAAATGTTTTCAGGAAGTGCTTTCTGAAACAATAAATACCTCTCTGTCCCATTATCCAAAAATTCCCTGCATTTCATGCCTACATTCAATTTTGGCTACACACGGAAAAAAATAAATAAATAAATAAAAGTAGCTTTTGTTAATCAGGCCTACAAACTAAAACCTAAAATTTTGGAATTAAAAACTAATAATTTGATAATTTTTTAAAAGGAATGTTGGAGAATGTTTAGTTCCAACTCTCACTTTAGTGGAGTCTGTAAGAAACAAATAATTATTATTTCTAGAAAGAATAACAATGTCTTTATCTGTATAGCCTACAATGTGCTTCAACGCTTTAACTTGTGTGTTCATCCTGAAGTGGGTGCTCTTGTCCTCATTTTAGAAAGGAGGAAATGAGTCTTGGAGAGGGTAGGGGACTTGTACCAAGTATAGGAGCAAGGAAAAAAGTGAAGTGACTCAATCACAGTGAGCCCTCTTCACAAATCCAGTGTTGTTCCCACTGCCCATCAACTGAGAAGCTGCTTTTCCTCTTAAAAACAAAATAAACGTAGAAACAAAGAAACAAAAATCCTCTCTTCTACTCTGGATTCAGATGACAGTCGTATTTTGCTCAAGAATATTGAGCAATCATAAATGAGTTTTCTCCCCTCCACACTGGAGATAAACCACAACTTATTATAACAAAACTGGTCACTGCTCTTGCCAAAGTATTTCATCAGCTTCTGGCATGCGTTATATCTTGATACACTTATCCAGCATGATGGCTGGCGTGATCCTCTGCCTATTTAGTATGTAGGCTAGTTCAGCAGAGGATTTAATGACAGGAGATTTTTCTTTGGCTCCAGGGATCGGCATGCACAGACAGGACCCTGTGTGAATTCCCCAGCATGTGATGATAAGATACTTCCAGTCTGCCAGCATCAAGCAGCTTCATTAATTAAAAACACATTGCGTGTTATCACTAAAGATTGATTTTTCTAGGAAGAATTACCCTTTGGCATTTATGATGAGCATGAAGAAGAACAGATAATACAATTACTGACAGGACTTTCCTCATTTTAGGACAGCAAATATTTAAGATTAGGATTAAGATTTCAGGAGAGACAGCCTTTGTGATTATTCTGCAAAGGAAATATTTGGGACTGCTGTTTTCGTTTTGTTTAGGCTGACCCTGGGAAGTAAACATTTGCTCAGCCATACTGAGTATCTGTGATTTAATGGGATATGGGCCCTAAACATATTTTAGTACTTCACCCCTTTATGCTTAAAACAAAACAGTGCAAAATAAACAATAAATGGACTAATAAAAAGTTTATATAGCTGCCAAGTGCTGAAAAAAGTCTGGTGAAGTCAAGTTATCTGTTTGAAGGAGATTACTGATATTTTCAGCAAGAAGGGCAGTGTTGTGAGAGTGTCTGGCCCTCATGGCACCAATGT
The DNA here is from genome assembly GCF_000001405.40 of Homo sapiens. Taxonomy (NCBI): domain Eukaryota; kingdom Metazoa; phylum Chordata; class Mammalia; order Primates; family Hominidae; genus Homo; species Homo sapiens. The sequence continues at coordinate 46,932,266 of NC_000007.14, read as the reverse complement.
AGAATGATGATGCAGGAGAATCTGGGTTCCAAAGCCACACAAGGAACCATTTATATTTTTGTCCAGCACGATGTAGATATTCCCAATATCCCATCAAGTGGTTGCGTAGTCCCTGTTTAAATTCCTTTGCAGACCTCATTATTTTACAAAATCTGTGATTAAACTAGAAGAGCTCAAATTGATAGGAAATCCTCCTAGAGTGGAAGTGATACTTTTTTACTTCCTGCTGTGACACATCAAAACTTTTCTATTTGAAACTTCTACATGTTGGACCTAAGTTTTCTCCTTTCTTACACTAAATGTCCTCCATGAAGTCTGCTACTTGCCACTTAAATTATCCAGGATCTCCTGGGTCTTGGACCCCTGCAACATCCAGGATCACCTCTAAACACATGGCAGTTTGCAGTGACTCAAAGTCAAGCACAGTAATCCAATGGCAAGTGCAACAAAACATCGTATCCTTAGGTTTCCACTATTCATTTACATTAAAGCTGCCTATGTTGAGTTTAGATGTTTAGGCAGAGCTTTCACGGGTATGTCATTTTTGAGTTGATGATGTAGCCTATGATGGCTTTTCTTCCATGAACTGCTGTTTAAATAAGTTCCCTTCTGCTTGGGTCTAGTTGAAGTGAGAGAATCAAAGGTAGATGTTTTTACCCCATGAAACACTGCCTCACTAGTTTCAGCCTTTTCTTTCAGCCACTTAACATCTCTAAAAATCTAACTTTACAATCCTTTGCTTTATTGACACAGCCTTGCTCTATGGCCTCTGTTTACCTATCTTTTACGTCCTATTGAAGATATTAGTGGGCGAATGTTCCTAGTAGATAGAGCTACCCCTTAGTCTATTCTGACTGGCTGTCCACAGAAATGTAGAAAAGTGCTCATAGGAGGGTCTACTTACAAAGTTATGACATTGACATAAATCATTTGCATTAGGTACATCAAACACTGGGATCCTTAACATTTTTTCCTCTCCTGTCCATTTTGATTTAATATAAACATAAGCTGGATGTATCATGATATCAAACACTTGTAGGTTACTTAAAGATTGCCCCAAACATGGAAACTCAGGAAAAATGTCAACGTAATTTGAATTGTTCACATCATATTTATGTTTTAAAAAGTTTACTGAATATTGCTCTATCAAACGACTTGTTTTGGTACCATCTAAAACCAACTAAGGCTCAGGTTGAGGAACAGGGTAGAATGGTTGCTGTTTATGGATATGTAGGAGGATTTGACATGAAAGTTCACTGGTTGTAGATTTGTGTTGGCTCACTTTTATTTACTTAGTGAAATCTACATGCCTTAGATGGCAGGTAAAGCACAAGACTGCTCTGATCTTGGCTCTCATGACATTCCTGTGCAACTCTCATTTTACTTCAGGCTCTACCTCTAAAATCCACCACATGGCCTCGCCGTCCATGCTTTGCTGATGTTTTCCTGTATCTAGAATGCCTTTTCATTTCTGGGGGCCTGTGAATATGGTCGCCATTTTTCAAGGTTCAGTGCAAATACCACATGCTTAGATTTTTGCTTCACTGCTTCCTTAATCAGCCACAGGTAGACTTTTGCTTATGCTGCCACAGAGGGTGAATCTTAAATCCTTGCATCACTACTAGCGGTGTACATTTCCATCAGCCTCACTTTTATGTGAGTTCTTAAAGGTTAGAGTCTATGCCTGATTTCTTCATGTCTCTCTCTCTCTTCCTTGTGTGCGGCAGAGCATCTGGATTACTGCTAGATGGAGTTGACTCATCTGCGGGCTCTGGGATTGACTCAGCCCTGGACTGTACTGGCACTTGTTTGTCTTAACCTGTGCTTTCATTGAAAAAATAATACTCTCTCTTCAAAACTTCTAAATCATAGGCTTTCCATGTCCCCAGGAATTCAGATTTACATTACTTTCATGGCACAGAGAATACCAATCCTAGAAATTAACATTATGTAGTCACACATGGGTAAGAATGCCTTAGGGTAACTGGCAGAAACAAACTGTATTTGGCTCTGACTTTCTGAAGGTTTGCTCCTTCAACCCATGCTTTCCAGGATTCCAGCAAATAAAATCCAGAAAAACATGAAATATAAGCTCACATTTGAAAATCACCAAGTACACAAAGAAACAAGCCACCACGAGAAAGCCAGCAGAAACCAGGATCTTCAGGTAACAGAATCATAGAGCACAAAAAAAATTATTTAGATTTTTCAAAGAAATACAAGATGAAAAAGAATAATATGCTCCAAAATATGCTAGGAAGACTAGAATATAACCAAATGTAGCGGCTAAAATAAAAAAAAAAAGTCATTAAAATTAAATACCTCACCAATGATGTGTTCAGTGGCAGGTAAGAGATACATGAAAAAGAATCAGTAACTAGAAAATAGACCTGAAACATTTACCAGGAGTTGGACACATGTAGAGAAAAGAGGAAATATGGAAGTATAAAGGAGAGATTAAGAGACATAGAAAATAGTAAGGGGGCAAATATTCATCTAATTGGATCTTTAAACATAAGGAGCATGAGAGGAGGCAATAGTAAAAGTGCTAAATGAGAGTTGTCTAGAATTAATGAAGAACAAAAATTTTCAGATTTAGAGAGTATAATGAATTCCAAGGAGAATGAATAAAAAGAAAAAAAAAAGACAATCACAGCTGGACACACAGAATATCACAGGCAAAGATAAGATCTCAAAAACAATGGAAGATAAAATAAACATTGCCTGTAAAGAAACAAGTATACCAATTGCAAAATTAGTAGTAACAGCAAAGTGGATGCATTTTTATAAATTCCAATTTCTAGTATACTTTATACTTTAAATATTTTTAAGAAACTAAGAGATTATAACTGATCATCTGGAATTCTCTTCTTTGGGAGATTAACATTTTAAAATAATAGTAATATTTTAAACACACAATAACAATATTTATGACCAGCAAACCCTCTCTAAATCAACTTCTAAAGGATTACTTTCTAAAGAGGGACATTTTAGGCAGAAGAAAAGACTGACATGCAAAAAAGAATGTTATCTGATAATCCAGGATTACAAAATAAAGCTGTAAATGCTCCTTTTGTGGGTATATGGCATACAGCACGATCTTGAATACTGTTGTTTTGTTATAACATTGGAAAGAAAAAAATAAATGATTCCTAGCCAGGACCACTGTCTGTTTGGAGATTGCACATTCTCCTCATGTCTGGGTTTTCTTCGTGTACTCCAGTTCCCTCCCACATCCCAAAAATGTGCATGTTAGGTAAATTAGCATTGAGGACTTACTCTATCATAGCAACTCATTTGGTTAATGAGTTGCTAACTTCGCTAAAAATCAAAACAGACTAATGTAAACCTGCAACTTGAAGCTTGGAAATCTTGAGAAAGACAATCAGTGACAGCTTTTGACTAAATGCAACGTGACCACTTAGTCTGATTAAAAAGACATCTAGCAGATTTGCTGTTTAACATAAATATAGCAATGCTACCATTTTGACTCTTAGCATGGTATATTCTGTTAGCAAACCTCTGAAGTCCACGACTGCAAATGATTAGACTTTAAAGAGGGAACAGGAGATTCCTATTAATAGCATAGTCAGGTGTGAACACCACTTATTTGGGATGGTAGAACTTAAATAATTTTTTTAATTTTTTGCATTTCCAAATATCTTACAATTACTTTCTTAATAACTGCAAAAAAATGAAATCAATTCTTTTTTACTACAAAGTGGATTTTTTAAAAAGTAAAAATATTTAAATATTCTCATAAAAAAGACAAATCAACAGTTAAGATTCACATTTTAAGATTATTTGCATTGTTGATGAGGTAATATTAAAAGGCACTTTTTGGACATGGTTCCCTTAGGAATTTGAAATATTATTAAAGTAATTAATTTAGGCAACTCATGCTTAGCATACTCTAAACACTAGATACTGAGCTAGATCATGACCCTATACAGAAATGCCAGATCCACATGTGGAGGTCCCCAGGGCTCAGGGGAGCAGGCAGAAGTGGGTCAGAAGCAGCACTTCATAGGGCAGTGAGTTGGAAGAGGAAACTAGAATCTGTGTTTGGGCCATAATGGGCTGTTACAAGGCTTCCAGGCAGGAAACCTGAGCTAAGTCTGAATGCTTTATGGATCTCTCTAAGTTTAGAAGGTTGGGAATGAATTCCATGGAGAGGAAATAGCTTTAACAAAGAAATTTAATTCTAGATTATTAAAAACCATTCATTTAATCAAATTATATGTATGTCAGTATGTCATGTATAATTTGACAAGAAAATCTATTTTTGTTTTACAATTTTCTCGTCATTATTTCTAATATTTGTAGAATAGTTGTCCATAGGTTAGCAACATATTTTATTTGATGTGGTTGGCCTTCTTAATGTAGCTTCCATTCCAAAGTTATGGATTTGTTAGTGGCTATGCATTAACCCATTTATGCCTAGTGTCCCATCATTGGAACACTAAACTTGTGGGAGTCATGTATATCCTACTGCTCAAGGTCATCGCCAAAGTCTGATTTTTCACACAAAAAAATTGCAACCTCTGGCATAAGTGGGTTAACAATAGCCTAGCAGGTTTAAGAACAAGTGGATACATTGCTATTGGACAAGGGTTGGCAAAATTTTTCTGTAGAGAGTCACATAGTAAATATTTTAGGTTTTGCAAGCCATACAATCATACTGAACTCTGACATTGTAGGACAAAAGTGTCTGTAGACAATCCGTAAACATATGGGCACAGCTGTCCTCCCATAAAAATTATTTACAAAAGCAAATTCAAGTGTCAGGCTGAATTTGGCTTAGGCTTCACATTGTCATCAAAGTACCCCATACGTTAAAATAATTGCATGATAGTTCATAGCATCATTGAAGCTCTTAAACATGGTTCAGGTACAAAGAATGACAGACAGATCTCTTTCCCAGCTTAACTGGTTCTGCCACATGCCCATGGTGTAAACACAGTTCACAAGTCACTTATGGCCCCTGCCCTGAAAGTATGTGGTTGTTGGTAAAAGGTATCTTTGGATTTACATTTTCTTTTCTAATTTTCTTCATGAAGTGAGTCTCGGAAAGTATTTTTCACCACATGATTTTAAATCACATAATTAAAATGTATGGGATGTGCCTGCATATATTGAATTGGCTTACCAACTTCTCAATTTTAGATGTATTTGCAATAATAATACTGATCTTTATAGTTCTTTAAAAATTAGATTGAATAACATTTAAATGATTAGCCTGACAATAGTTTGAATCATGTCCCATTTTTCTACTGATGTAGAGCATTTGTGTTCAATGCTGTTATCTGTCATAGTACTTTTCTTCTATGAATACAAAGCACTTTAAGTTTCTATTATACAATTAGAAACACTACCTAGGCACCTCCCATTGCATAGTTTCATTTCGTATTGAGAAAAATGCATAATAATGAAACTAATTAGTAGAATATTGAAAGATAACTAACTCTCTCTGTTTTCAAATATTATTTTTATTTTTCACATTTTATCTTTTTTTTTTTTTTTTTTTTTTTTTTTTGAGACGGAGTCTCGCTCTGTCGCCCAGGCTGGAGTGCAGTGGCGCGATCTCAGCTCACTGCAAGCTCCGCCTCCCGGGTTCACGCCATTCTCCTGCCTCAGCCTCCCGAGTAGCTGGGACTACAGGCGCCCGCTACCACGCCCGGCTAATTTTTTGTATTTTTAGTAGAGACGGGGTTTCACCGTGTTAGCCAGGATGGTCTCAATCTCCTGACCTCGTGATCCGCCCGCCTCGGCCTCCCAAAGTGCTAGGATTACACGCGTGAGCCACCGTGCCCGGCCCACATTTTATCTTTTATTCCTCTATGTGTAGAATTATTTTTACATTTTGAATTATAATTTTAAATTTATGATAAAACTATTTTGATTTTTGAGATAAAGATTTAAAATATGTTTGAACCATGTGTGTTTTTATGCCAGTATCATAGTATTTTGATTACTATAGCTTTATAATATATTTTGAAGGAATGTGATGCCTCCAGGTTTCTTCCTTTTGCTCAAGATTGTTTTGGCTATTCAGGGTCTTTTGTGGTTGCATACAAAGTTTAGGATTTTAAAAAAATTTCTGTGAAAAATTACGTTGGAATTTTGACAAGAATTGCATTGAATCTGTAGATTTCCTTTGGGTGGTGTGGACATTTTAACAATATGAATTCTTCCAAGCCATAAACATGGGCTATGCTTTAATTAATTTGTTTTCTACAATTTCTGTTATCAATATTTCATTAGTTTTCAGTATACAGAACTTTTATCTCTGTGGTTAAATTTACACTTATTTACGTTATTTAATTTAGTTATTGCTATTGTAAGTGGGATTGTTTTCTTTATTTCCTTTTTGGATAGTACATTATTAGTATATAGAAATGCTACTGTTATTTTATGTTGATTTTGTGTCCTTCAACTTTATTGACTTTATCAGTTCTGACAGGTTTTTGGTGGAGTCTAGGTTTTCTTTCTAGGTATAAGGTATGTCATCAGCAAACAGAAACAATTTTGCTTCTTTCTTTCCCATTAGGATGGTTTTTATTTCCCTCTCTTGATAATTGCTCTGGGTGAGAGTTCTTTTGTGATGTTGAAAAGAAGTGGTGGTTACTTTAAATTTCATATGGAACCAAAAAAGAGCTGGTATAGCCAAGACAATTCTAAGCGAAAAGAACGAAGCTGGAGGCATCATGCTACCCGACTTCAAACTATATTACAAGGCTACAGTAACCAAAACAGCATGGTACTGGTACCAAAACAGATATATAGACCAATGGAACAGAACAGAGGCCTCAGAAATAACACCACACATCTACTCTCTGATCTTTGACTAACCTGACAAAAACAGCCAATGGGGAAAGGACTCTCTATTTAATAAATGGTGCTGGGAAAATTGGCTAGCCGTATGCAGAAAACTGAGACTGGATCCCTTCCTTACACCTTACACAAAAATTACCTCAAGATGGATTGAAGACTTAAACATAAGACCTAAAACCATAAAAACCCTAGAAGAAAACCTAGGCAATACCATTCAGGACATAGGCATGGGCAAAGACTTCATGACTAAAACACCAAAAGCAATGGCAATAAAAGCCCAAATTGACAAATGGGATTGAATTAAACTAAGGAGCTTCTGCACAGCAAAACAAACTATCATCAGAGTGCACAGAAAACCTACAGAATGGGAATAAATGTTTGCAATCTATCCATCTCACAAAGGGCTAATATCCAGAATCTATAAGGAACTTAAACAAATTTACAAGAAAAAAAAACCCTATCAAAAAGTGGGTGAAGGATATGAACAGACACTTCTGAAAAGAAGACATTTATGTGGCCAACAGACATGAAAAAAAGCCATCATCACTGGTCATTACAGAAATGCACATCAAAACCACAATGAGATACCATCTCACGCCAGGTAGAATGGTGATATTAAAAAGTCAGGAAACAACAGATGCTGGAGAGGATGTGGAGAAATAGGAATGCTTTTACACTGTTGGTGGGAGTGTAAATTAGTTCAACCATTGTGGAAGACAGTATGGCAATTCCTCAAGGATCTAGAACCAGAAATGCCATTTGACCCAGCAATCCCATTACTGGGTATATACCAAAAGTATTATAAATCATTCTACTATAAAGACACATGCCCACGCATGTTTATTGCAGCACTATTCACAATAGGAAAGACTTGGAACCAACCCAAATGCCCATCAATGGTAGACTGGATAAAGAAAATGTGGCACATATTTACCATGGAATACTAGGCAGCCATAAAAAAGAATGAGTTCGTGTCCTTTGCCAGGACATGGATGAAGCTGGAAACCATCATTCTCAGCAAGCTAACACAGGAACAGAAAACTAAACACCATATGTTCTCACTCATAAGTGGGAATTGAGCAATGAGAACATATGGACACAGGGAGCGAAACATCACCAGAGCCTTTCAGGAGGTGGGGGAACAAAGGGAGGGAGAGCATTAGGAGAAATACCTAATGTAGATGACGGGTTGATGGGCGCAGCAAGCCACCACGGCATATGTATACCTATGTAACAAACCTGAACGTTCTGCACATGTGTCCCAGAACTTAAAGTATAATTCAAGAAAAAAAAAAAGAAAGAAAAGAAGTGGTGAGAGTGGGAATCTTTATCTTGTCCCTGATCTTAGAGGAAAATCTTTCAACTTTCCACTGTTGAATATAATGTTAGCTACAGGTTTTCATATATAATCTTTATTGTGTTGAGGTACATTTCCTCTATACCTAATCTGTTGAGACTTTTTATCATGAAATGGTATTAAATTTTGTCAGATGCTTTTTCTGCATCAATGGAAAAGATTGTACAGAAAGCCCAGAAATAAACTTATGCCTTTATAGTCAATTAATCTTCAATAAAGTTGCCAAGAACACACAGTGGGGAAAAACAATCTCTTCAGTAAATTGTGTTAGGAAAACTGGCTATCCGCATGCAGAGTTATGATATTGAATCCTTATCTCACACCATATGCAAAAATCAACTCAAATGAATTAAAAACTTAAATATAAGACCTGAAACTGTAAAACTACTAGAAGCAAATGTAGGGTAAAAGCTTCATGAAACTGACCTGTTCAATAACATTTTAGATATGACCCCAAAAGCTCATGCAAGAAAAGCAAAAATGGACAAATGGGATTACATTAAACTAAAAGATTTCTGTACAGCAAAAAAAAAAAAAAAACAATAAAGTAAAGAAACAACTCAATAGTGGGAGAAAATTTTTGCAAAGCATACATTGGATAGGGGGTTAATCCAAAATGTATAAGAAAGACCTCAATAACAAGAAAACAAACAATCCAACTAAAAAATGGGCAAAGGACTTGAACAGACATTTATCAGAGAAGACAATAAATAGCTAACAAGTGCATGAAAAAATATTCAACATCATTAATCATTAGAGAAATGCAAAATAAAACCACAATGAGATATCACCTCACACCTGTTAGAATGGCTTTTATAAAATAGATGAATGATAACGAGTGTTGGTGAGATTATGGAGACAAGGAAACTCTTGAGTGTTGTGGTGGGAATGTAAATTAGTGTAGCAATTGTGGAAAACAGTATGGAGGTGCCTCAAAAAACTCAGAACAGAACTATCATGATTCTGGGTATACATTCAAAGGAATTGAAATCAATATATTGAAGGGATAACTGCACTTCCTTGCTCATTGCAGCAATATTCACACACAGTGTGAATTCACAGCCGTCAAGATATAGAATCAACCAAAGTGTCTGTCAATGTATGAACAGATAAAGAAAATGTGAAATACTATTACAATGGAATACTCTTTAGGCCTTAAAAAAAAAAATCTGCCATTTGCAACAATGTGGATGAAACTGGAGGACATTATGCTAAGTGAAATAAGCCAGACACTGAAAGACAAATACCATATAATCTCACTTAAACGTAGAATCTAAAGAAGTTGAATTCACAGAAGTAGAGAATAGAATAGTGGTTATCAGAGGCTGGGAGTGGGGAAAGAATGGGGAGTTGTTGATCTAATGGCGCAAAATTTCAGATAGACAGGAGAAATAAGTTTTGAGATCTATTGCATATCAGGGTGACCTATAGTCAATATTCATGTATTGTATATTTCAAAATTACTAAGAGTAAATGTCAAATGTCTTACCACAAAAAGTGATAAGTGAGAAAGATGATGTATATGTTATTTAACTTGATTTAATCCTTCCACATTGTGGTCCATAAATGCATACAATTATAATTTGTCCATTAAAAATAATATTAATTAAAAAAATAAAAAACAGTATGTTTGAAAAATAGAGCAAAACATAAAAAGAAAAAAATCACAGTGTTTCTCATCGTATAAAATTATAAAATGCAACATATAAGAAACCCCTTGTGTTCATCTCCAACCTGAATCCCTCAGTAAAATGCTGTTTATAATTTGGGGCATGTCTTTCTAAATACACAGACACACCCACACATGCAAATATACAGTATTCATACATTCATGTCAACATACAAACACATACATTAATACATATATAAACACACAGAAAATAAACATATTCCTCTCTATGCTACTTTCCTTAACACAAATTAATTATATTACATGTTGTTTAACTTGTATTTATCAGGTAATAATATATAAGGAAAATGTATTTTTGTGTAAGTATATTGAGATGCTTATTCAAGCTTGTTATTACTGGTTTTAAAAATATTGAATTTGTTAGTTTATATTACTTCTGTCTACCACACTGAACTCTATTATGAGCACTACTTCGAGAGTTTCTTAGTATTTTTGTTATCATAGTCATGTATTAAAGTGACCAAATAATTTTTCTCTTCTCTTCTCACTTCTCTGCTCTCTCCTCCTCGTTTTCCACTTCTTTCCCTTCCTCCTTTTCCTTTTCTTCTTTCCCTCCTGACACCTCTGCCAATCATATCCTATTTTGTTACTCAATTTTGTATATTTATATTTTCAAAAGGTATCTTCGACTGTTATGTAGGTTTCCAGCTTTTGATATAAAATTGCTTGGGATATTTCTTTCAATTGTTTATTTTCTCCTGAGTTTCTCATAAATTTTCTTTTTCATGATTGCAGATATACATATATTTAATTTTATTTTTCAGATTCTTTGTTTTAAATTTTTTGTCTTATAAAAATAAAATTTTATTTTATCTGTAGATTCTTTATCTTAATAAGTTTCAATTTCTTGTTGCTATTTCTTAACTATTTCAATCTCACTTTTTTGTTTTTTAAATTTTGTTTTATTCTGTTTTTTTCCATTTTATTTTTCAATCTCACTTTTTAAATTGAACGCTTTTTTATTACCAGAAAAAAAATGCTTAGTTTATTTATTCTCAATGTTTTTATTTAACATAAAATTTTTTAAAGGTTAAAGATTGGAAACATCCAATGGGTTTTAATATAAAGCTTTTTCCTTGTTTTTATTATAAAATAATCTTAATTTCAGAGTTGAGGTCCTTTTGGATTCCAAGAATTTTTAATAGTTTTCTTTAATCAGTTCCATGTTTTTATTTTTGATGGTGATGTTTTGTAGTTATTTTCATTTCTACTTGATTGCATTAAGGACAAAAACATAAACTACAATTTAGCAACATTTTGGTATTTATTAAGGTACATTTTGAAAAAAATGCATAAATAATTTTATAAATGTCTCACTGTAATAAAAGATTGTGCCATCTCATTTTGTGAGGTACCAAGTAACAGACACAAACAGTAACAGTGAGCACTTTCAAAGTGGAAGAGGTTGTACTGGACACCAGCCATGACCACTTCTCAAAATTTCTTGTTTGATAATGTGTGCTACTTTTTAAAATCAGATAATTTATGAAAGAACTAACAATTTTTCAGTGTTACATAATATGGTAATGAAAATTATTATGCAAAAAGCTCTTGACTTATGTGGAGTTGTGATCAGTTAAATGAGGCCAAAGAGAACAATCAATTTTAGTGATTCTTATTCCTGAATTGCCACACTGTGTTTCCAAATAGCCATATTGAGTAGTTTGTTCCCAGGGCTAAAAGAGTGGGCACATTTTTCAGTCCTCAGGCACTCTTTACAGTCTTCTATGGGGTCCTCAGAGAAATAGCAACTGAAATCCACAGTAGCAGCTGCCACTTGTGACTGCACCAAGCATGTGTTAATGGAAACATTGGCTTTTACATAAACGGACGTGCTCATTTCTTGTCCCATGTCCCATCAGTCTAAGCGTCCATCCTCTCGCCACAAGTGGATTTACAGTGATTATACAAAGACAAGTTGAGTTTAATGGTTTTATTAAGTGGGATGCAATAAGATAAATCTAGATTTTTTGATAGGATTGTCAGTGATGAGGAACCCCTCTAAAAAGAATGTAAAGGCTACCTACCTGTCTGCTAATGCTATGGCATGAAGACAATTCATATGTCTTTGAAGACCTCAATTATATCATTTTTGCCCATAGATTAACTATGTGATGTTTGATTAGTTTGCCAGTTGCTTATTCATAAATGTGTTATATGTTTAACATAATCTGTAAGGCTTCTTACACTAAACCTTCCATATTTCTAAATTTTATATAACTGTATTAATGTTAAAAATAAATAGACAATTTCATAAAGAACAACACTTTTTTGGCATCATTCAATGTGGAAAAAAGGCTGAGAGAGTTGGTGGACCCAAGCTATTGGTGACCTGTCAATTTAATCTACCCTTAACTGAGCAATGTAGTCAATGACAGCTGGTATACCTGTGTACTAATCCTGGATTATCTGTGAGATAGTGAACAAACCTCTTAACTTCTAAGGGTCTTTGTTTTGTTTCCACATCTATAAAAAGGGATTCTTCAGTGTTTTGTGAGACATTAGGTATGACTGTGTTCTGTTAGCTACACGGTTCATTATTAGTGTAACACAGCATCATTAAAATAGAAGCAAACAAGTTATAGTACATGTAGATCATATTACACTTGGTTCTAGGCACCACTTATAAATAATAGAAAAGCAGATAGATGCATAAGATGCCTCAAGAGGACGATGCATGTGAGATGCTGTGGTCTCAATGTCCCCCCAAAATGCAAACATTGAAATCCTGAAAGTGATGGTGTTGAGTGGAAGGGCCTTCAGGCAGAGCCCTCATGAATGAGATTCGTGCCCTTATCAAAGAAACTCCAGAGAGCTCTATGGCTCTCCGTCCGCAATATGAAGACATGAAGAATGTGCCGTCTATGAGGAACAGGCTTTCATCAGACACTGAAACTGCTGGCCTTGGATTTCCAACCTCGAGAACTATAAGAAATGAATTTCTCTTGTTTATAAGCCAGTCTATGGTATTTTTAAATAGCAGCTTGAACAAACTAAGACATAAGGTGTCTGAAAATTGTATCCTACTATAATATCCTGAGAGATCTGGGCCTGTTTACCCATGAAAAGGAAATTCAGTGGTGTGCACACAGATGGCTTTATGAAGACTTATCATGATTGTGATTAGAGGTGAGTGAAATATTTTGAGCTTCCCAAGGATGCAGACTCAAAAAGAAAGCATACCAGAGGGGATATTTTTACTTAATATGGTATCATTTCACAAAGAAAAGAAAAGAAATCCCTTTTCTTTCAAAGTTGTGAGCTCCTAGTTACTAGTCATAATCAAGAAAAGTTGGGTGATCATCTTCCAGGAATTCTGTAGACAGGAGTCCTGTCTTGGGTAGACTGTTTTATAAGTGAAAAATCATTTTTTATCCAATGATTCTACATTCTAATAAAATCTTCCATCAGAAGTACTCTTGATTAAAAAACAACATGAAATAAGTTATGTTGTTACTACTTATAAATGTGGAATTCCAGGGTAATAACATTAATTGCTGGTATGAAGCCTCAGTTTTTCTATCCGTTACTTGTTCAGACGCACCCTTATGATGTGAGGCAGGCATTCTTGCTCCGGTGCTTGAAGGGAAAAACAGAAGCTCAGAGAGGTTAAATGGCCCATATGAAGCCAAATAAAAACCAGCAGAGCAAAGGCTCAGAATACTGTTTTATTTTAGATGTTAATCCAGGGGTCTGTCCCCAGGGACAAGTAATAGGAGACTTGCCAGGGATTTGCTCAGCCATCATTCTCTAGGTTCGCACACGTTCTCCCATGTACACAGGGAGACATCTCTGCCTGCTCTTCTCTCAGCTCAGGTCGTCCTCATTGTGTGGAGCAGCATAAGGGGCTGGTGAGACTGCTGAGAATTTTATGCAACAGAGAGAGGTAGAGATGTGGGTCTGTGGTTGGTCTTCATTTTTTTAAAACTCAGGCTCTCCATCAATAAATTTTTAGCTCTCTGATTTTATCTATATTTATATATTAGAAATCTTACACATTTACTACTGCATAGATATGGCATACTTGTTGAGAAGCATTTGAAACTACAGAAAATTTAAAATGATTATATAAAATCAATACAACAAGAAGGTGACAACACCTCTGTATAAAGGATGCTTTGGGAGACATGCAGGGTCAAGGAGTCCCATTAGTTGATGGAACAACAGTCCTGGAGGCAAAAGAGGAGGGCTTAAATGTTAGCCGTGACAATCTCTGTCTCCCTCAGGCCCAGAACACCACAAATGCTTCCTCTTAGTACTGTCCTTTTTAGCTGTGTCACGAGTTAACAAGATCTGCTATGTCTTGGAGGAGAAAGTGCTTTGTGAGTAGGACTTATTGCGGTGTTTGCGACCCGGACTTAAGAGCAGTAAATATATTCTAGCACCCGTGACCCAAGAAAGCAACAGGTCCTACTGTGTATGTAAAGGTAGCATCATTAAAGCTGTTATTGTTTGCATATGTGGATATTGGAGCTCTAAGGAAGAACTGAGTTACTAGTAATGAATAGTATAAGAGAAACAATAAAAATGTAACATGTTTCTTGCTAATTTTTCATTTATCTTGAAAAACCAGCTTTTTTTTTAGCAATTTCTGATTCCCTAGGCACAATTAATGTCTCCCTCTGCTGTAGTCTTATTGAATTTTCTATTGAAATGCTCATCATACCCCATTGGTTTTCTCTCTTGTTTTTGTTTTGTTGTTGTTGTTGTTGTTTGTTTTGTTTGTTTGTTTGATTTTGAGATCGAGTCTTGCCCTGTCGCCAGGCTGGAGTGCAGCGGCGTGATCTTGGCTCATTGCAACCTCTGCCTTCTGGGTTCAAGAGATTCTCCTGCTTCAGCCTCCTGCGTAGCTGGGACTACAGGCGTGCACCACCATGCTTGGGTAATTTTTTGCAATTTAGTAGAGATGTGGTTTCACCATATTGGCCAAGATGGTCTTGATCTCCTGACCTCGTGATCCTCCCATCTCAGCCTCCCAAAGTGCTGGGATTACAGGTGTGAGCCATCGTGCCAGGCCAGTTTTCTCTCTTGAATGCCTCAGCAGTCATAGCCTCATGGTCTGGCACCACATTTTAGTTACAGTGATTTCCCAGATGCTAGCAGAGTGCCTAAAACACAGTTATATAATTGTGTATTTCTTTTTAGAGTATTATAAAAATTTGTATTCATTTAACTCTATATTTTTTTCCAGGAAGAGTCTGAGATGGCTTTTAGACAAGTAGTGTAAAGTAAAATGTGACCCAATAACTCAATACATTTCCATGGCCTTCAAGTGTCAGGAGGGTTATGAAAAAACATGAAAAGGAGCTGATAGATTTCCACTTTCACCTTTGACAGATACAGTTCTTGGAAACTGACAATGCCACCCTTACAAAAATAAAATTTTAAAAATATGTCAAACTGAAAATCGACAACTTTTCTTGGATCCATAAGAGGTCATAGGGCAAATCATCTCTGCAGTCTGAAGAAATCTGGAGAGATGAAGGAATCTTGAGAGGCACAGCTAAAATCTGCTTGCCTGGAACCAAAGCTGCTGGAGCCATGAACTGCAAGGAACACTTCAGTGGTGATTTGGACCAACTGCCTGAGTGTTGGCTAGTGTGAGAGTGAGACACTCCAGGAGCTACAGTCTTCATGGAGCCCCACACTCCAGTGGGTTTTACCCCTTGAAGATCCAAGATCTCCACATGCCTCAGGCAGAGAGGAGAACACTATTGTGAAATCTGCAAAGGATCCTCCACAGCAAAAGCCTACTCTGCAGGGGAAAACACTTTTATCCGGGGCTTATCTTATGGATCAGGGGCAGGGGAGGAGATTTTTCAGACTCCAGCCTCTTCTAGCTTTTCTGCATCAACTAACGGCATGAGAGAGTGTTGGGGTGGGAGAATATTACAGCCCAGGAGCACGTTAAAGATTGGAAATTAATCACAATATTATAGAATGTTTCCTTCCCTTCAGTCCACATCAAGAGGGCCCCAGTATAACAACAGTGGATTGCAGCTGAAGGAGCTGAAATTCAGTCTTTTCCTGAGGAAAAATCTAAGGGAAACGCAATGATAACTTAGGAAAAAAAAAAAAAAAAGACACTGGAGGAATTTGAATCCTCTGATGCCTACTGATGCAGCAAACATTAAAGACAGCCTAACGTCTAGCCCAGTAAACATAAAAACTCACACCAAAGGCCTTATTAGGGGTTGAATGCTTGTGTCTCCCTTCACCCCCAAATTCACATGTTAAAGTCTAATCCCCAACATGGTGGTGGTATAAGGACATCGGGCATTTGGGAGGTTGTTAGTTCAGGGGGGTAGAGCCTTTGTATGAATGACAATAGTTTCACTGTAAGAAGAGACACAAGACAGATGATCTCTCTCTTTATTATGTGAAGACAAAAAGAGAAAATGGCCATTTTCAAACCAGGAAGGGAGCCCTCACCAGACACTAAAACTGATGCTGCCATGATCTTGGACTTACCAGGCTCCAGAACCCTGAGAAATAAATGCTGGTTGTTTAAGCCACCCAATCTATGAAATTCTGTTATAACAGCCCAAGCTGACTAAGGCATACCTATCAACTCCAGATCTTATTAGCCAATAAATCATGTCTGGGTTTCAGTAAAAAATTATAAGGCATGCTAAAAGGCGAAAAAAAGCCTCATAGTCTCAAGAAACAAGGCAAGCATCAGAACCAGAATCAGATATGACACAGATATTGAATTATGAGACAAGGAATTTAAAATAATTATGATTAATATGTTAAGGGTTCTATTGGAAATAATCAACAACATGCAAGAACAGATTGGGTGTGTAACGAGAAAGATGGACGCTCCCAGAAAGAATTGAAAGAATATCCGAAGGTCATGCCTGTAATCCCAGCAGTTTGGGAGGCCAGGGCAGGCAGATCACTTGAGCCCAAGTGTTTGAGACCAGCCTAGGAAACATTGCAAAACCCGGTCTCTACAAGAAATACAAAAATTAGCCAGGTGTGGCGGCTTGCACCTGTAGTCCCAGCTACTCAGGAGGCTGAGGCAGGAGGGTCACTTGAGCCCAGGAGGTGGAGGTTGCAGTGATCCGAGATCATGCCACTGCACTCCAGCCTGGGTGACAGAGTGAGATCCTGTTTCAAAAACAAAAACAAATTAACAAACAAAAATAGAAAATCCTAGAAATTAGAACAGTGTAACAGAAATAAAGAATGCCTTTGAAGGGTTCTTCAGTAGACTGGATAAGGCCAACAAAAGAATTAATACTCTTGAATATATGTCAATAGGAATTTCCCAAACAGAAATGTAAGCATAAAAAAGAAAGGAAAAACCAAATAGAGTACTCATAAAAAGTAAAATAATTTTTAAAAGTGCAATGCACAATTAATGGGAATATCAGGAGGTATAGAAAGATGGAATGGAATAGAAAAAGTATTTAAAGTAAAAATGGTTGACAATTTTTCAAAATCAATGACATAAACAAAAGCAGAGATAGAAGAAGCTTACAGAACACTAAAAAGAAAAGCAAACAAAAACCCCCTAAATATTGGAAACATCATATTCAAATTACATAAAACAAAGCATTAAACAAATTGAAAGAAGCCAGGGGTAAGGTGGGGGAAACCTTAGCAAGAGAGGAAAAAGGATAAGAATTATAGTGGGCATCTCATCAGACCATGCAGGCCAGACAAAGTAGAGTGAAATATTTAAAGTCAAACAAGAAAACAGAAACAAAAACAAAATTCTGGAATTCTATCTTCACTGCACATGAATCAGTATATTGTTTTTAAAGTTAGTTAACAAACTTATATTAGTTTTAAATGTATATTGCAAACTCTATGACAACAACAACAAAAACCTTTTTAAAAAATCTAACTGATATGTTAAGATACGAGAGAAAATGGAATCATATAAAATTCTCAATGAAAATCAGAGAAGGCAGGGCCAGGCTTGATGGCTCATGTCTGCAATCTCAGCACTTAGGATATTATCACAATTTCAATAATCACCTTAAATGTGAATGATCTAAATACACCAAGTAAAACACAGAGATTTTCAGAGTGAATTAAAAAAAAAAAACACCACAAAATCGAACTGTGCGCTGTCTTCAAGAAATCCATTTTAAATATTTCTCAGGTTAAAAGAAAAGAGATGGCAAAAGATATACTATGCTAATTCTAGCAAAAAGAAAACTGGAATAGATATTTTAATTTTGGACAAAAAGGACCTAAGAAAAAGAAAAATTATCGGGGATATAAAATGGCTTATGTAATGATAAAGGGGTAAATTCCTCAAAAAAGACATAGCAATCCTAAATTCGTACGCACTAGAAAGCTCATGTTAAAACGTGAGGCAGAACCCAAAAAAACAGCAGAGACATAGACAAAATCACTAATACATTAAAATATTGTGACAAAAATAAAAGTACAATTTGTTTTAGTGTGTTGGATGCAGCAAAGTATTGCTTAGAGGGAAACTTATAGCATTATGCTATAGAAGAAGAAACATCTAAAATCAGTAATATAGGCTTCCATCTTAGGAAACTAGGAAAAGAATAGCAAATTAAATCTAAATTAAGGAGAACAAAATAAATAATAAAAATGAGAACAGAAATTCATGAAATGAAAATAAGGAAATAATAGAGATGATCAACAAAATCATAAGTTTATTCTTTGCAAAGATCAATAATATTAATAGATCTCTAGCTAGACTAACTTAACCTAAGAGAGAATACAAAATCACCAACATCAGAAATAAAGTAAGGATCATCATTACTGATCTTATGAAAAAAATAAATAAATAAAATAAAGGAGTGCTTTGAAAAACTGTGCCCACAAATTTGACAAATTAAATAGTCCAATTCTTTGAAAGATACATACTACCAAAACTCACAAAAGAAGAAATAAAATAATCTGAATTGGTTTATACACACAAAATAAATTTAATCAATAATTAATAAACTTCAAAAGAAAAAAAAACAGGCCCAGTTGGCTTTAAGGGCCTGTCTCCAAAATATAGAAAGGACTCTTAAAATTTAGCAATAAGAAAACAAACAAGCTAATTAAAAAGTGAACCAAAGATCTGAACAGACATCTCACTGAAGAAGATACAAGGATTGCAAATGAGCACATGAAAAAATGTTCAACATCAATTGTTACTAGGAAATTGAAATTTAAAACAATAAATGAGATACCATCACACATATATTAGAAGGGTTAAAATTAAACAACAACAAAACAAATGACATACTGATTGCTGGTGAGAATGTGGAATAATACAACTCTCATTCATTGCTGTTGAGAATCCAAAATGATACAGTCAGTTTGGAAGACAGTTTGATTATTTCTTACAAAGCTAACTATATTCTTACCATATAATGCAGCAATTACAACCCTTGATATTTGCTGAGTGGATTTAACGACTTATTTCTACACAAAAATCTGCACACAGATGTTTATAGTAGGTATATTCATAATTGCCCAAACTTGGAAGAAACCAAGATGTCTTTCAATAAGTGAATACATAAATAAACTGTGGTACATCTATACAACGGAATATTATTCAGCAGTAAAAATAAATAAGCTATCAAACCAAAAAGATAAGGATAAATAGTAGATGTGTGTTTAAATGAAAGAAGCCAGTTTGAAAGATTACACAATATGACAACAAATATGTAACATTCTGGAAAATGTAAAACAGTAGCAACAATGAGAAGATCAGTGCTTTCTAGGGGTTCAGGGAGTAAAGAAGGCTAAGTAGGTGAAGCAGAACAGATATTTTAGGATGGAAAACTATCATTTATGATACTGTGATGGTGGATTCTATGAGTCCATTGACCTTTACAGTCAAAATAGTAAAATTCTAAGAGATTGAGGGATTCCAGAATGAAATTCAGAATATGACAAAACAATGTAACTTCATTACAAATGTATTAATCAACCTTATAGAAAGAGGTAATGAAAAAGCTGCCGACTTAATTAACTTTGGAAATGAATAGAGTATGTTAGACTACAGGAAAAGAAATGCAACAAGAACTATACTTTATTGAAAATGTTGATTTCCACAGGAATATGGGTTAACACTCTGATACTGCTATCCGTGTATACTGGAAAGGAACAGTTAAATGAGTGGATAGTGGAAGATGTGAGCCAGATTTCTTACTGTTAAAGTGAGAGTTTATAGATAAACATATGGAGGAGGCTAGAATGATCTTTGTGGTAATTAAGAATTGGAGATAGCAGTATGAACTCATGTTCAGGATATAGTCAAAGACGATACATATAGAAATATTCACAGATATGTGTCTATACACGGGCTAGTATGTACTCATCTATTTTCTTGCTATTTCAACCAAGAAGCCTAGATATAACTGCATCCCAGTGGCAACAAACATGCCTACCTTTTGTTTCTAACATCTTTTTCTAATGTAAGAAAATAGAGGTTCTTGGAGAAGTGGCTGGTGTTAGGACTAAGACAGGAAGTCTGTCTTACAGATTGAGCCTGTGGAATCTATCCTTTAGCACTGGAAAGTGGGGAAGTGCTCAAAGAAAAACAAGCAAGCAAGCAAATGTCCCATAATGGGGTATGTCAATGGGACACAGAAGTTAACTAAAAAAAACTTTCCAGTTGCCAATGCTTGAACAATTTGAGCAACAAAATAAATGAAGCAGTATTGGACCATAAGTTAATGAATAAAATAAATATATATCAGTATTGATATACTGATATAAATAAATAATTGCATAAATAAATGAGTAGAGAGAAGAAATAAATGTCCATCCAGGAAAGTCCCAAGTAATTTATGTATTTACTCTACATTCAATGAGATGGTGCATAACACTCCACTCCTAAGTGTGCCCCGTGCATAATGATTTCCTTTTTAAATCAAAAGGAATGAGCATGAAAAGAGGGGAAAAAGAGAAACTTTGCAGTGGAGAAACATGATAAACACTATGTTAGGAGCTTGGCACAGTGGCTCATGACTGTAATTCCAGTGACTGAGGAGGCTGAGGCAGGAGGATTGCTTGAGCACAGGAGTTTGAAACCAGCCTGGGCAACATAGCGAGACCCTGTCTCTACTAAAACAAACAAACAAAATCCACTACATTAGCCAGGTGACCAAGGTCAACATTAACAGTCATGCATTCTATTGATTGTATGTACCCTTGATGTGATGTGATGCAAATGGCACTTTACCTGCGTGGTCTTCCTCTGACAAGCTCATTACCCCATTCTAATCATGAGAAGAACATCAGACAAATTCCAACAGAGGAGAATTATACAATATAATACCTGACCCCTCGAAACTGTCAAGGTCATCGAAAACAAGGAACCTCTGAGAAGCTGTCATAGCCACAAGGGACCTAAAAACAGACATTGTGCCTAACGTAATAGGTATCCTGGATGGGATCTTGGAAGAGAAAAATAACATCTGGTGAAAACTAAGAAAATCTGAATAAATGGTAGACTTTAGTTCATAAACGTATATCACCATGGATTCATTAATTGTAACAAACATGCCATACAAATGTAAAGTGTTAATAATAGAAAAAATTGAGTATGGAAAATATGAGGACACCGTGTACCATCTTTGCATTTTTCCTTTGCATCTAAAACTGTTCTAAAAAATAGAGTTCATTAAAAAAAGGGGGGCTGAACTTCACAACAATTAGGGTATAGGGAAACCTTGCTGGAAGAGGGACATTTGAGCTACAAAGAGGGTGAGGAAGAATTGACAGTAAAAGAGGAGACAGTGCTTGTCATAAGAAACGGCTGATGCACACATTCAGGTTTGAGAGGAAGAATGGTCCTCGGGGAGCACTGCAAGACAGGTGGCCCACACATCATCCTCAGCCAGTCTTTCTCCAGGAGCAATGGGACAGGAGGCTGAGTGCCATGTAAGCAACATTGAGAATCTAGAACTCTTCAGACAAAGGGAAGTCACTGGAGACTTTCAGGCAGAGGAGTGGCATGATTAGACTTGTGTTTTTGAAAGATTACCCTCAACATTTTTTTGAAAGTGAAGAGCTCAGTTATTTAACTTCCTTTCCTTGCTGCTTTTTTCTTACCCTTGCCATTAGATAACCCTAGGGGCTGACTCTGGAATACCTGCCTTTGGATGGCAATATTGAAGGAAGCCCTTGGTCCCAACCCCAATTCCCTCCTTCATGCTTGGGAGTGTGAAGCTCATCACGCAAAAGCCATAAATGGACCTTATAAGGAGGCGAAGAAACCTCCTTCTCAGATGTTTCTCCCCTGGAGCCATCGCGAGTATCTTAAATATGTTTGCTAATTACCTGGAGCCTTGGAAAATAGGCTTGTGCCTTGCCTCCTTCAGACATAATGTTTCAGTAATTAGTAATCAATTACCTCTCTGCTCCCTAGACAAGCTCGATTCCTTTTTTTCCATGATGTTCTTTCCTCACCCAAGCTGTGCTGACAGGCAATTGAGTCATATCTTTCTCAAGCCCGCCAAAAGCCACACACTGAATAAAGGGGGAGGAAGAGGGGAAAATGAAACGATACACCCCGGATAATAGATAATTAGATAATTATCCCTAGCTGAAAGCACGTTTTGGAATTTGCATTCAAAATGAAGGGAATTGGCAGAAAGAATGCTGATGTCAGGGAATGGGTAATTTTATTTCAGGGAAGTAGCTAGCGGGGAGGATTTAGTCATCCTCTGACTTGCTCCAGCCTCTTCATTTGTCTTCTTCCCTTTAGCTTTTTCGCCTATAATCTAAACTCCCCACCATTGCCAGAGAGAACATTCTAAATGTCATGCCAACATTTCTATGAGAAAAAGAAGGTATGGGGGGTGTCAAGACACTTTCGAGATAAAATCCAGATGTACCATACCTTCTATAACCTATCTCTTCCTTCATTTTCTGCCCCATTTCCCAATCCCTTGTATGGTCTATTTCAGCAATATTGAGCTACGCATTGCTCCCCAGACTCAACTTGGTTTCACAAATCTGTGCTCCCTTCTAAACTCTGTAAAATGCACCACTCTCAACCCTGGTGCTCGGAACACATATCTACGTGTCCTTATGGATTATTCTTTTCTCTTCCCCACATCTTATCTATTGGTATGTTCTGTTGATTTTGTCTTTTCCATTTATCATCAAATTTTCTATGAACACCTTGTCCAGACCACCACCTGACACCCCCATACAGTCTTCTGACTCACAGTCCAGTGCTCTCTCCTGGACAACTGCAACAGCTCCCTGACTAGTCTCCTTTTTTTTGTTTGTTTTTGTTTTTTGTTTTCTGTTTTTTTTTTTTTTTTTTTTTTTGGACCTGTGTTTCTTTACAACCCACTAGGCTTTTAAAGCTGGAAATTGGATCACATTACTCTCTGCCTAACACATTCCAGTGGTTCTCATTGTTCTTACAATAAAATCTTTTATTTATTTATTTTTAACCACATCCTGCATTGCTGACCTCTGCTCTCCTTCGTTCTTTTCCTTACATGCTTCATTTAAGTTATGGCAGAAATTGTGGCACCCTAGGGGTTGGAGGAGCCCTTCTTGAAAACCTCAGATGTCCCCTCCTCATTGCCCAGCTAAGAAAGGTCATATGAATTGCCCTTTACACATTTCAAACAGGGTGCAGCTTTGGAGACCAGGCCTCCTGAGTTACAGTCCATGCTCTTGGGGCTTGACTAAGTTCTTTGCTGTCAGTAAGGGTCCCCTTGGGCCAAGATCTGGCTGCATGGGCCCTGGGTCCCCAACTTTTCCAGCATGATGAGGATCTGGACCAGGAGCTACAAGCTCACATGCTAACAAGGACTAGGCAAGCCATGCAGAATGTAGATATGAGCTTTTTATAAGAAGAGAATAGGGGTCTTGATAGGGGTGATGGGGAGACCTTCTGTCCCTACTAAAGTGGGGAGCCACTATTTAGCATTGTTAGCTTTCACATACATAATCCACTGTTAGTAATTTTTTTTATTTTAAAAGTAATGTTCAGTTTTAATAAACAAACAAACAAAAATTGCCTGGGGGGGCTGTTAGGCCAGTGAGTGGTCTATGGTGTCGACATTCCAGGGGAAACTGCAGGGTAATGATCCAACCCTGGGAGATGAAAAGGTAAAAGGTTCAGGTAAAGGGGGAGGGGCCAAGTGTGGAAATAGGAGAGAATTGTAGGGGAAGACCAACACTGTGGGAAGGGAAGAAAGAGGTGAGGAAAGGAGGAGAGGGAGAGAAGCCAAAGAGTGTGAAGACCCTTGGAGATTCCCTTGTTACTAGTGAGCTAAGATTACATTATTTGCTTGAACATCAAGATGAAGGATAGGCCTCCACATGCCTTCCCCTGCACTCCTCATCTCTTTTTGGTGCGGTCCTCTCAGGCAAGCCCTCCGACCTGCCCCCTGCAGCCCCCGCGCTGACTTTCTCCCCTCTGCACACAGGCACACACTGCCCCTTCTCAAACTCATGGATGCATCACCAGGCAAATAGGAAATGCTACTAAATGCTGTTCTATGAGGGACAATAAATGAGTGGGAAGGTGGAGAGGAAATATTAGGAGACAGAATACAAGAAACAGGATGTCTAAGGTGGGTAAGGAGGAGCTGTGGAAGCAATCATCAACTCGGAAGTCCTGGAAATGAAGTAAATCTGTGAACAAAAGATCCAAACACCTGAAGACCTCTTCCCTTCTCACCTGGTGTTTGGGCCACACTCAAGCCTCCCACGCCTCTGTGCTCTTGGTTTCTCTGTGTGACTGCTGCCCACAGATGACTGGAAAGACATCCATTTCTAATTCTCTGCACTGGAAGTTTGGACCATGGCTCCAAATTGCTCTACCGTACACAATGTAGAAAGCTCTCCTCGGATTTGTAGCAAACTTCCGTAGGACAGGAGCCTGAGTTAAAGCATCAACAGGCAGGGGTAACATGTGAGGAGGAGAAGCTCAACCCCACGGCTGCTCTTCTTCCACTTTTCTATGTATACATTAAAAATTTTACCACCTTTCCCCCTCACCAATATTATGAGGCAGATAGAAAAATTGCTACCACTGTATAGATAAACTAAAATCCAGTTACATGATCTAGATCTAACTTCAAACTTTTTTTTTTTACTCCATAAAAAAGTTACTCATTATTTTTCAGTTACTCCTTCTCCAGTTTCCAGTTACTTATTCTCCTTTCCTCAATCCTACATCTAGGACCACCTGCCCTATAAGTTTGATCAGGATGTCAATGCAGAGTTGAGCAACTCCTCTGCCTAACTCATCTAACCCCTATCAGAGTTCACTTTTTTCTAAGCATGTTCATCACAGGGGAAATATACATTGACCACTTACTATGGGCTGGGAGTACGGCATGTAATAACTGATCTAATTTTCCTGTAATAATATCAATCTGGAAAAGACTTTTTGAGTTAAATAATCACAACTTTTCATACAACAGATCAATAATTGCTGGGTAATATAATAATTTCCATGTTTATCTTTTGGAGAAACTGCCAAACTGTTTTCCACAACTGTTTGCCACT